>NC_000002.12:86887610-87192994 GCF_000001405.40 Homo sapiens
AGCCACGGCACCTGGCCTCATTTGAGAAATAGATTGAGCTTCTTAGGAAAGAAGAAATACTGTGTCTTTAGTAACTGACTTCAACTTGCATTCTTACAAGGAAATTGCTATTTTATTCTAATTATTGTTTTTTTTTCCTCTTTCTCTTTATTTTGACTTAAGGAAGAGAATGTTGTTTTAAAGTTCTCTGAACATGGGGGAACCCCACGGAATGTGGCCACTAGCAGCTCCCTCACAGCACATCTCAGAAGCCTCTCCAAAGGAGATTCCCCTGTGATTTCACCTTTCCGGAATTACTCCTCCATTCACAGCCAGAGTCGCTCAACCTCATCACCCAGTCTACATTCTCGCTCACCTTCTATTTCCAACATGGCAGCTCTAAGGTAGAAGGGTTTCCTGGTTTTTCTTTCTAAGCTTTCTGTTTTGTTTTGAAGGATTTAGAATTGCTGTTGACAGCTGTTTTTAGGGGAAATATATTTAGGGGAGTTTTTTTTAGGGGAAATAGCCATTATCCCAATTGAGACCTTTTTTTTTTTTTTTTTTTTTTTTGAGACGGAGTCTTGCTGTGTCACCCAGGCTGGAGTGCAGTGGCGCAATCTTGGCTCACTGCAAACTCCGCCTCCCGGGTTCATGCCATTCTCCTGCCTCAGCCTCCAGCTGGGACTACAGGCGCCTGCCACCACGCCTGGCTAAGTTTTTTTTTTTTTGTATTTTTAGTAGAGATGGGGTTTCACCGTGTTAGCCAGGATGGTCTCGATCTCCTGACCTTGTGATCCGCCCACCTCGGCCTCCCAAAGTGTGGGGATTACAGGCGTGAGCCACCGTGCTCAGCCCTGAGCCAGTTTTACTAAGATTTCTAAGTTTACCATGTCACATTCTTTCCTGAGTCATATTTTGAAGCTGCCTATGCTTGTCCTAAGGTTAGTTGCCTCATTTCTACCACTATGTGGGCAACAGTTTGATGAATATTAATTCCCAAAATATTGTGGCACTATTTTATTTTTGCCTTAATTTATGTTAGTTTTTCTTTTTTTTCTTGTTATTTGATATCTAAATGTATCTATTTCTCTATATAGATATTTATTTAAATCACCAGATATGTATATCTGGTGCTACAGGGACATTGTTTTGTTGATATATATATGTCTGACTATACAGGGACATAGTTTAGAGCTTTTTGAATAATCATTCATTTTCCGAAAAAGAAGATGATCTAAGTTTTAGTTGTAAAAGATGAGTTCTTCTAATAATAATTCTAAATCTTTAGAATATAGTAAAGCACATTGACATGAACCATTTAAATAGCTACTCCTTTTTGAAAAATTTTAATTTCTGACCTGGATTATGCCATGAATGCTCTTCTGTCTGTGGAATTTTGGGAAGTGTCATTGGAGTGTGTGTCATATAAGCCTGCCCTGCTAACTGTGATGTACTCTCTCCTCTGTTTCTTTTGCAGTCGTGCTCATTCTCCTGCCTTAGGAGTGCACTCTTTTTCAGGGGTGCAAAGGTTCAACATTTCAAGCCATAATCAGTCTCCAAAGAGACATAGTATTTCTCATTCTCCAAATAGTAAGTCTAATGGCTTCTTTCTTGCACCAGAAACGGAGCCAATTGTTCCTGAACTGTGTATTGACCATTTGTGGACAGAAACGATTACTAATATAAGGTTTGTTATATATATTATTATATTCAAAGAAAAATGTTGCTGAAAGTCTTGGGAAATATATGGCATTTTGTTTAAAGTTTCCTTTTAATGTGATCAGTTATTAATATATGTAAAAATATATAGAGATATGTATTAAGGCCACCTCAGTTTCAGTAGAGGATATTAATGAGATTAAAGTGATCATAGGCTGGACGTGGTGGTTCATGCCTGTAATCCCAGCACTTTGGGAGGCTGAAGCTGGTAGATCACTTGAGCCTAGGAGTTCGAGACCAGCCTGGCCAACATTGTGAAACCCTGTCTCTACTAAAAATACAAAAATTAACTGGGTGTGGTGGTGCATACTTGTAATCCCAGCTACTCAGGTGGCTGAGGCAGAATTGCTTGAACCCAGGAGGCTGAGCTTGCAGTGAGCTGAGATCGTGCCACTGCACTCCAGCCTGGGTGACAGAGTGAGACTATCTCAAAAAAAAAAGTCATCATAAAAATATTATTTTGTCATCTGATATTTCTTCCTTTATAGTAATAATCTCTCATTTTTCAGGTGTTTTTTGTTCTGGGGAGAAACAGTTAATTTCTATCCGTGAGGAAATGTGGGTTTTTTAGCACGTTTCCTAAGTTTTATGTTCATGTTAGTTGAGTGCCAGCTTTACTTTTTGGGAAACATAGCTTAGATCTCTGTTCTGGGTGACCTTTCTTCTTTTATATTCTCTTTAATAATTCACGTGTTAATTTATATGCCAATGTGTGTGCTAGTTAACAGTCTAATAAGTCACTGTCCCTGTCCTCAAAAGAGGCAGATAGCTGAAGGATGGTGACACAGGAGGGACTACTTTTGCTGGTAGGGCTTTGAAAAATGAACAGGTATTTGCTAGGCAGGTAAGTTTAGAAAGACCACAGACGGCAGCTGGGATCAGAACAAAAGTTCTGGTGAGTGCGTGGTGTATTTAGGGAATTATAAATACTCCCACTCTGGTTTTTGCAGAGGGGAGGGAAAAGGCTAATGAAGAGGAGGCTTCCTAGGTGCAGTGGCTCACACCTGTAATCACTCACTTTGGGAGGCTGAGGCAGATGGATCACTTGAGCTCAGGAGTTCAAGACCAACCTGCCCAACATGGTGAAACCCCATGTCTACTACAAATACAAAAATTAGCCAGGCATGATGGCGTGCATCTGTAGTCCCAGCTACTCTGGAGGCTGAGGTGAGAGAGTCATTTGAACCTGGGAGTTGGAGGTTGCAGTGAGCCAAGAGCACACCACTGTACTCCAGCTTGGGTGACAGAGTGAGACTGTCTGAAAAAAAAAAAAAAAAAAAAAAAAGGAGGCTTGAGAGATTACTGATTGCCCTTTAGGCCTCTGGTCTGTTTGATGACAGCGGTAAGAAGGCACTTCATAAGTGTGTCGGAAGTTTGGGAAACAGCAGAACAATAAATGTGGAATTGTCAGCTTATAAGTGGTGATTGAGGTAAGAGAATTAGATTAGAATTGAAGAATTATTGTATTCAATAATTGTGTGTACATGTAGTATATAGGCCTTTTCCCAAGGAGAGGGTTTTAACAGTCCTTAGATTCTCAAAGGGATTTGTGGCCTCCAAATAGTTAAAATCCAGTGGTGTAGAATTAGAAGAGGGCTAGGAACTGAAGTCCTGGAAACTTAAGATTTGGGGAATGGAAAGAGACAAAGCTGGCGCAGAGAGACAAAGCAAAAGAAGTCAGATGGGAGAAGCAGCAGGAAATACAGAATACAAAAAAGAACATTTCAAGAATACAGAGATGCCAGTATTGCCAGGTACTGGTGAAGTGTGGCCCTGAGAGTTGAACCCAGAGAGGAGGTACCTGGGTGGCAGTGGGTTCCTTGGTGACCTTGGCCAGAGCATTTTAAGCTGGGAGGGTGGCGGGGGAAAGTGGGGTAGAAAAAGTAAATGGGGACTGAGGAAATGAACATAGGCATACAGACTCTTTAAGGAGTTTGCCTTTGAATAGGAATGAAGATACAAAATTAGAGGGAGTCTTGGTCAAGGAGAGTTTTGTTTTTGCTGAACTATAATAAAATTAGTTTTCATGACATCTTGCCCCAGTATTTTCTTTTTCTTTTTTTTTTTGAGACAGGGTCTCACTCTGTCACCCAGGTTAGAGTACAGTGAGTGACTCAATCACAGCTCACTGCAGCCTTGGCCTTCTGGGCTCAGGTGATTCCCCAACCTCAGCCTCCCAGGTAGCTGGGACTATAGGCACACACCGCCACGCCTGACTAATTTTTGTAGAGAAAGGATTTTGCCGTGATGCCCAGGCTGGTCTCAAACTCCTGGGCTCAAGCAACCTGCTTGCCTCTGCCTCCCAAAGTAATGGGATTACAGGTGTGAGCCACTGTGCCTGGCCCCCAATATTTTCTTACCTAACCACAATACAAGTTTTATATCCAGTCAAATTGAGAAGGTCTTTTATATACTCTAATGTTGAGTCTATTTTATATTTTAAGACTTTTAATGTGAAATAGTAGGCTATACGGACTATACTCAAGGGAAAGTATTGAAAATACAGAAGAGAGGAAACGATTGATGGAACAAGTAACCAGAAAGGTGCACAAGTGGTGAGATTAGCGTTGGGATAAAGAAGTGAAGGTTGATCAGATACGTAAGGCAGGAGGTTGAGCTCAAGCCTTAGAGCCTCATTTTATCTGAAATGGAAGGCAAATGCATAATCTTAGAGAGAATGAAATGGGGGATAGGTAGTCTGAAGAAAGTAAAGATGTGGATACAATGTTGAAGTAGTCTCTCTGGCTTGTTTCTCATATATCAAATAAAAGTATCCTACAATTATAGATCATTTTTCTTTAAATAACTTATTTGTAAGTTGAATATATTATAGACTCTTATTTTTTAGATTTATGGGTCTTCTGTAGCACTTTATTTATTTATTTATTTATTTATTTATTTATTTTTTGAGATAGAGTTTCGCTCTTGTTGCCCGGGCTGGAGTGCAATGGCCCGATCTCGGCTCACCACAACCTCTGCCTCCCAGGTTCAATTGATTCTTCTGCCTCAGCCTCCCGAGTAGCTGGGATTACAGGATTACTGGCTAATTTTGTATTTTTAGTAGAGACGGGGTTTCTCCATGTTGGTCAGGCTGGTCTTGAACTCCTGACCTCAGGTGATCTGCCCGCCTCGGCCTCCCAAAGTGCTGGGATTACAGGCGTGAGCCACCACACCCGGCCTTCTGTACACTTTAGAAGGAAGGGTTTGGGAATTAGAGATACAATTTCAAAAAGAGATGTGAATGAGGTCTAATCTGAGAAGGAGAGGGGGTAGATAGGAGAAACAGCATTATGAAAGATCTGGCCCTTTGCGGGATAGGAATTCAAGTTTGCATGCATTACTTTACAAGTAGGTGGCTTAGTTTGCATTACAAGTAGGGAGCTTAGATAGTATGTAATTTAAAAGTTCATCAGTAATTGTTAAATTTATTGTAGCTTTCCCCAGCAAAGCTGTGTAATGAGCTCATAATCAAAGAACTGAAAGGATCTTAGAGATCATGAAGTTTAATTCTTAGAAATGTTTGTGTCTTTGAGATTATTGCTTGACCTAAGTAGTTTTTAGATTTCTTGCAGAATATTTTCAAAGACTTTTTTTTTTTTTCTCTCTCTTTTTGAGACGGAGTCTGGCTCTGTCGCCCAGGCTGGAGTGCACTGGCGCGATCTTGGCTTACTGCAAGCCCCGCCTCCTGGGTTCATGCCATTCTCCTGCCTCAGCCTCCAGAGTAGCTGTGACCACAGGCGCCCGCCATCATGCCTGGCTAATTTATTTTGTATTTTTAGTAGAGACGGGATTTCACCGTGTTAGCCAGGATAGTCTGGATCTCCTGACCTCGTGATCTGCCCGCCTCGGCCTCCCAAAGTGTTGGGATTACAGGTGTGAGCCACCGCGCCCGGCCTCAAAGACTTTTAATAGTTACTGTGGTAGATTCTTGGACCAGTGCTGACAGTTACTTTATTGATGTATCTATTATAGAGAGAAAAATTCACAAGCCTCAAAAGTGTTTATTACATCTGACCTATGTGGGCAAATTTCCTGTGCTTTTCAGTGGAGTCCCAGCTCCAGTTATGGTAGGTGTATGTATTTCCCATTGTTTCTGTATAAATAACTCAGCATTGCTTTTTCTTTTTCTTTTCTTTCCTTTTTTTTGGCTTAAGTAGTTTTATTTAGAAATAATTTACATGTCATAAAATTAACATGTTTTAACTGTACAATTAAATGATTTTTAGTAAATTACAGTGTTATACAACCATCACCATGACCCAATTTTACAAGATTTATATCACCATAAAAAGATTTCCTTGTGCTTGTTTGTAGTCAGTCTTGTTCCCATTTCCAGCCTCAGGCAACCATGCTAGGCTTCTGCCTTTATAGATGAGTTTTTCTGGACATTTATATATATATAATGTATGTACACACAGTGTAGCTTTTTGTGTTTAGCTTTCACTTAGCGTGATGTTTTTAGGATCCACCGTTTTGTAACATGTATCATTATTTCATACCTATTGCTATGTAATAGTCCATTGTATAGATCTACCACCATGTTTTGTTTATCTGTTCATCAGCTGATGGACTTTTGGTTTATTTCCACCTCTTGACTGCTGAGAATTAGGACAGTATGAACATTTGAACAAAGGTCTTGAGCAAAAATGTGGACATATGTGATTTTATTTTTCTTGAGTAAATGCCTAGGATTGGGTCATTGGGTTGAATGGTAAATTCATATTTAACTTTTTAAGAAATCACCAAACTGTTTTCCAAATAGCCTGTATCATTTTATATTCCCACCAGCAAAATATGAAGGTTAATGTCTCTTTATCCTTGACAGGATTGGATATCATCACACTCTTTGATTGTAGCTATTTTCCAGTGGTTGTGAAATGGCTTTAATTTGCTTTTCTCTAATGCATTCTGATGTTGATCATCTCATGAAGTTATTAGCCATTCATTTATCTTCTTAGGTAAAATATCTATTCAGATCTTTTGCCCATTTATTTACCTTCATATTTTGAAATACGATAGATCACAGGAAGTTACAAAATAGTAAACAAGTCCTGTGTACCTTGCATTCTTTTTCCCTCACAGGTAACCTCTTGTACAACTATAATACATTATCATAACCAGGAGATAGATGATGTACACACTTTATTTCAAATTTCATCAATTTGACATGTACTCATTTATGTGTATGTATGGTTCTATGCAGTTTTTTCACATATGTAGATGTGTGTAAATACCACCACAATCAAGATACAAAACATCTTTATCTGTCTTACGTTAACTCCTTATAGTCACATACACCATTACCCACTGATCCTGGTAACCACTAATTCTCCATCTTGATAATTTGGCATTTGTGAATGTTTTATAAATGGGCTCATACAGTATGTAAACTTTTGAGATTGTCTTTTTCTGTTCAGCATAATACTTTTAATACCCATACAGGTTGTTGCATGTATCAAGTTTCTTTTTATTTTATTATTTAGCTGTGTAAAGTTTCAAGAGAGTAATGATAAAACCCAGCTCATCTTTGTTTCAGTGACCAACATACCAGCGAAGGATGCAGCACCAGTGGAGGTAATGTAGGCACATTTGAGAAGTTGACAATTACGCTTCATCAGATTTTTCAGTCAAAAAATCTATTAATTTGCTCAAATCGGGAAATAAATTTTTAGTCTTTTTTTTTTTTTTTAAAGAAAATAGACACCATGCTGGTCTTGGAAGGCAGTGGAAACCTGGTGCTATACACAGGAGTGGTTCGGGTAAGCAATAAGTAGCACTTCATGCCTTTAGTAGGACTTCAGGCTGCCTGCATGAATATTTGTAAAGTTACTTTAGATTGATATTTTAAATTTGTTATGTTCCTGTCTGCACAATTTGGCAGAAGAATTTTGTTAATAATTCTCAGTGAAGCTTCCCATTTAGGTGGGTCCTAATTTGGAGGGCTATGGCTCACTGCTATTAAATGCATTGGTACTCTAAACCTGTCACAGATGGGAAACCTTCAATGAGTATAGGTAGATTTTTTTTTTTTTTTAAAGTTAAACTAGTTTTGAAATTGAAGCATGGGTACCTTTGAAATTGAAGCATGGGTACCTTTGGTAAGTACTAAAGTTTTGGTAAAGTTTCACTATATTAAATGTGGTGTATGTTAGCTGTATTTTTTTTTTTTTTGAGATGGAGTCTCGCTCTGTTGCCCAGGGTGATCTCGGCTCACTGCAAGCTCCGCCTCCCGGGTTCACACTATTCTCCTGCCTCAGCCTCCCGGGTAGCTGGGACTACAGGCGCCCGCCACCAAGCCTGGCTAATTTTTTGTATTTTTAGTAGAGATGGGGTTTCACCGTGTTAGCCAGGGTGGTCTCGATCTCCTGACCTCGTGATCCACCCGCCTCGGCCTCCCAAAGTGCTGGGATTACAGGCGTGAGCCACCGCGCCCAGCTGTTAGCTGTATTTTTTTAACATTTGTGAAATGTACATAGAGAATATACATTTTACAAATTTAAATTATGAAATTTAAATACATACAATTTGAATAATAATAATGAAGTGAATATTCATCTACCCAGTACTCTGGTTAAGAAATAGAATATTGCCAGTATCCTTATTTTTATTACATTCTTTTCTGATTGCATCCTATCTTCCCCTGCCCTCGAGATAGACAGAATCCTGATTTTGTGATAAATCAGTTGTTTGTATTACTAGTTTTTACAGTTATGTATGTATCACTAAAGAATGCATTATTTAGTTTTCCTTGTTTTTGAATTTTTATATAAAAAATACCATGTACTCGCCTCTGATGTACTTATTTTGCTCAACATTATATTTGTTTTAGATTTGTCTGTGTTGATGCGTACTGTTGTTTACTCATTCAGTGTGATGTATATATTCAATAGTATTCCATCGTACCTCATTTTGTGCTTTGCTTTATTGTACTTCACAGATACTGCATTTTTTTTTTTACAGATTGAAGGTTTGTGGCAACTTTGTGTTGAGCAAGTCTGTTGGTGCCATTTTTCCAGCAGCATGTGCTCATTTTGTGTCACTGTTTCAAATATTGATAATTCTTGCAGTATTTCAAACCTTTTTGTTATTAGTTTATCTGTTATGGTGACCTGTGATCAGTGGTCTTTGATGTTACTATTAGAATTCTTTTGGGGCACCACGAACTGTACCCATATAAGATGAGGAACTTAATTGATAAATGTTTTGTGTGGTCTGCCTGATCATTTGACCCCTTTCCTGTCTCTCTCTCTCCTCCTGCCTCACTATATCCTGAGACAAAACAATATTGAAATTAGACCAATTAGTAACCCTGTAATGGCCTCTAAGTTTTCAAATGAAGGGCAGAATCACAAGTTTCTCACTTTACATCAAAAACTAGAAATGATTAAGCTTCGTGAGGAAGGCGTGTTGAAAGCTGAGATAGGTCGAGAGCCAGACCACCTGTGCACAAGAGCCAACTTGCGCATGCAGAGGAAAAGCTCTCGAAGGAAATTAAAAGTGCTATTTCAGTGAACATGGCAACTGATAAAGCGAAACAGCCTTATCGCTGATATGAAGAAAGTTTTAGTGTCTGGACAGAAGATCAAACCAGCCATAACATTCCCTTATGCTGAAGTCGAATCCACAGCAAGGCCCTAACTCTCTTCAATTCTGTGACGGCCAAGAAAGGTGAAGAAGCTGCAGACGAAAAGTTGTAAGCAAACAGAGGTTGATTCTTGAGGTTTAAGGAAAAAAGCCCTCCCCATAACACAAAAGTGGAAGGTGAAGCAGCATGTGCTGATGTAGAAGCTGCTAAGATAATTGATGCAGGTGGCTACACTAAACAGATTTTCAGTGTGGATGAAACAGCTTTCTGTTGGAAGAAGATGCCATCTAGGACTTTCATAACCTGAGAGGAGAAGTCAGTGCCTGGCTTCAAAGGACAGTCTGACCCTCTTGTTAGGGGCTAATGCAGCTGGTGACTTAAAGTTGAAGCCAGTGCTCATTTACCATTCCAAAAGTCTTAGGGCCCTTAAGAATTATGCCAAGTCTGCTCTGCCTGGGCTCTATAAATGGAGCGACAAAGACTGGATGGCAGCACACCTGTTTATAGCATGGTTTACTGAATGTGTTAAGCCCACTGTTGAGACGTATTGCTCGGAAAAAAGATTCCTTTCAAAATATTACCGCTCATTGACAGTGCACCTGGTCATCTAAGAGCTCTGAGGGAGATGTACAGGAGATGAATGTTGTTTTCATGCCTGCTGACACATCTGTTCTGCAGCCTGTGAAGGAGTAATTTTGACTTTCAAGTCTTACTATGAAATACATTACTTAACTAGAGCTGCCATAGATAGTGATTCCTCTAAGAGATCTGGCAAAGTCCATTGAAAACCTTCTGGGCCGGGTGTGGCAGCTCACACCTGTAATCCTAGCACTTTGGGAGGCCGAGGCAGGTGGATCACGAGGTCAGGAGATCGAGACCATCCTGGCTAACACAGTGAAACCCTGTGTCTACTAAAAGTACAAAAAATTAGCCGGGTGTGGTGGCGGGTGCCTGTAGTTCCAGCTACTCGGGAGGCTGAGGCAGGAGACTGGTGTGAACCCAGGAGGCAGAGCTTGCAGTGAGCCAAGATTGCGCCACTGCACTCCAGCCTGGGCGACAGAGGGAGACTCCATCTCAAAAAAAAAAAAAAACCTTCTGGAAAGGATTCACCTTTCTAGATGCCATTAAGAATATTCATGATTCATGGGAGGAGGACAAAATATCAACATAAACAGGAATTTGGAAGAAGTTGATTCCAACCCTCATGGGTGACTTTGAGGGGCTCAAAACTTCAGTGGAGGAAGTCACTGCAGATGTGGTGGAAATAGCAAGAGAATTAGAATTAGAAGTAGAGCCTGAAGATGTGACTAAATTGCCAAGATCTTATGATTAAACCTGAACAGAATTGCCAAACTTGAACAGAATTGCCAAAATCTTATGATCAAACTTGAAGAGTTGCTTCTTCTGGATGAGCAAAGAAAGTGGGAACATACAGAAAACAAACATTAAATGGCAGATTTAAATCCCACTAGGCCACTAATTAAATACAATGGTCTAACACAAATAACAGAGACTAGCAGAAGAGATTAGAAAATACAGCCCAACTATATATGTTGGTTATAAGAAGTGTTCTTCAAATATAATGACATAGGTAAGTTAAAGGATGGAAAGAAGATATATTATGCAAACAGTAATCAAAAGATAGCTGGAGTCGCTATAAAGTGGGAAAAAAAAAATGACCAGGAACAAAGAGAGACTTTAAAGGGCCAAATCACCAAGAAGGCACCCTTGAGTATTTTGTAAATGTCAGTTCATTCCATTTGGTTGATAATGTTGTTCATGTCCTCTCCAACCTTGGCAATTTCTTTTCTTCTTTTTCGATACAGTATCTCGTTCTGTTACTCAGGCTGGAGTGCAGTGGTGGGATCACAGCTCACTGCACCCATGACCTCCTGACTCAAGCGATCCTCCCACCTCAGCCTCCCAAAGTGCTGGGATATTACAGACATGAGCCACCACATCCAGCCTGGCAAACTTTTTATGTAGGAGTTCAGACAAGTATCTTAGCCTCTATGGGCCGCATGCAGTCTCTGTTACATATTTGTCTTCTGTTTTTTTTTTTCCTTAACCATTTAAGTACATAAAACCTATTCTTAGCTCACAGACTGTACAAAAATGGGATACAAGCCAGATTTGGTCATGGAACATGGTTTGCTGACCAAGGATCTAAATAGATGCAGAGAAATCATTTGATAAAATCAAATATCCGTGATGAAAAAAAATCCTCAGCATCGAGAAATAGAAGGGGACTTCCTCAAATAGACGAGGGACATTCAAAATTTTCACTGTGCCTCCTGATGAGGAGGAAGGGACGGCCATGACTTTTTTCTTGGTGTTTGCAAAAAGTAGGGCAGATATAGTGAAAAGTTTCTGTCCTGGTCGGTCATTCTTTTCCCAACACTTTGGCTGGAAAGAGTAAGATTTTCTTAGGGCGTGTTTTGTCTGTGAACGTTGGCATGTCTGTGTTATAGGCACTTTGAAAGCCTGAGGCCTGGTTATGTAAGGAGTCAAAAAAACCAGAAACCTAGGAAATTCATCATTAGGTCATTCCTGGGTCTCAGGTTACTAGCCAGTTTGTCTTCTTTTCTTCACTTTTTCAGAATCCTCTGTTAGTTGCATTATAAATTTTATTCAGTTTTTTTTCTTTCTGGTGATTAATGAGGGAATAGCATGGTATGTGCTTATTCCATCTTTTCGTAAATTAGGGGTTTGAGATAGCTTTTAAAAAATTATGCATAATTAGTTCTCACTGTTATTTTGTTTTTTAAGCCTAAGGATTTTATTGGGGCAACTTCTGTTATTTTGTTAGCTGTTGAGTAGTGTGTTAACATGAATATGTACGTTGTTAAGATCTCATTTTAGTTCTGAGCATCTCCTTTTTAGTCTTATCAAGTTTTCAGCCTGTACAGATGTGAATTTCTGTTTTTGCTAAGTACCCTACAGATAGCCAAAATAAGGAGTGGTTAGCACGGATTGTCAACTCATTCTTTTTTTTTTTTTTGAGACAGAGTTTCATTCTTGTTGCCCGGGCTGGAGTGCAGTGGCGCGATCTCGGCTCACTGCAAGTTCCGCCTGCTGGGTTCACACCATTCTCCTGCCTCAGCCTCAGAGTAGCTGGGACTACAGGTGCCTGCCACCATGCCCGGCTAATTTTTTTTTTTTAATTTTTAGTAGAGATGGGGTTTCACTGTGTTAGGCAGGATGCTCTTGAACTCCTGACCTTGTGATCCGCCTGCCTCGGCTTCCCAAAGTGTTAGGATTACAGGCGTGGGCCACCGCGCCTGGCCGCTGTTCTTACTGTCTTTATGACCAATAAGGTAGAAGAGTACATAGTGTACAGATTTTTATATAATGTGTTGACTATATTAACATTCCTCTCCTTGCCTTCCAAAAAAGTCTTCAGTAATGAAGAGAAGGAATCCAACCAAGAGAAATTATACCAAGGTATGAGAGGTCTAGGTGGGCAGATGGCTTCAGCCCAGAAGTTCAAGACCAGCCTGGATAACATGGTGAAACCCTGTCTCTACCAAAAAATACAAAATTAACCAGGCATAGTGGCATGTGCCTGTAGTTCCAGCTACTCAGGAGGCTGAAGTGGGAGGATCACTTGAGCCTGGTAGGTTGAGGCTGCAGTGAGCTGAGATCATGCCACTGTACTCCAGCCACAGGGAAAGAGTGAGATCTTATCTCAAAAAAAAAAAAAGAAATTATACCAACATATTTGCAGTTGGATAGTGGAATTCAATAGATTATTGACATTTGAATTGTTTCTTTGCTGTGTTTGGTGAGAATAAACTTAGAAATATCAAAAGAAATATATGTTTATATTCCTTAACATTTTATTTAAGGATGTGATGCATTAAAGGCAGTATTTTTTTTTTCCACATGTTTTTATTGCTTAAAGGTGGGAAAGGTTTTTATTCCTGGACTGCCAGCTCCCTCTCTGACGATGTCCAACACAATGCCTCAGCCCAGTACTCCACTTGATGGCGTTAGTGCTCCAAAGCCTCTTAGTAAACTCCTTGGATCATTGGACGAGGTAAGAAAAGGACTAGGTGCTGCCAAAAAGTTAACATTTTTTAAAGAAGTTTGGTTAAATATTAGTTCTTTCCATGGTTAACTTAATTTTAGTTTCTACTTGCAGAATAAATGTTTTCAAACAGAAGTGATTCAGTTAACATACGCTGACCTCCCTTGTGATGTATGTGATACTTTTTGAAGGTGCTGGAGAGATGGAAATGATACATTCTTTTCCATCTAGGGATCTCACAATCGTGTGGAGTTGATGTACTGTCTGCATAAGAAATTAGAATTTAAGAAAGACTCATGACTCAGTAATGTGGAAAAGAGAGTACCATCGTTGATTGACTGATGGGAAGATAACATCCAATGGGAGGACATGGCAAAATCAAAGCCTCATCTCTGAGAGACATGTCAGTCTTCGTTTGGACCTTGGGGATGAGTAGGATATCTGTAGGTAGAAAGGAGCATTCAGGGCAAGGAGAAACCACACAGGCACAGGCAGGAAGGCCAGATAATGCGGAACATTTTTTAATGGATATTTGTATCTTCATCTCCTAGTCATAAGGACTGAATAAATCTGTAGAATAAATACTTATAAAAGTACAAGTAGTCTGTAGGGTGAGGCAGGATAGGGTTTGGATAACAATAATAACCTTTTTTGAGCATTTTCTATGTGCTAGGCATTGTTCTCAGTGCTTTATTGGTAATAATTATTTCCTTAGAACAGCTTTATTGAGAAGATAGTACTATGATTCTTTTTTTTACAAATGAGATAGAGGTTACAAATGAAATAAACCTACTAAGTGGTAGAACTGGGATTTACACTCTTACTAATGTGCTCTTAAAGGGAGAAAGGATGAAAAGGTGGTTTTCTTCTGAATGCAATTGACAGGGCATTACAGGATTTTGAGAAAGGAGTTACGAGGTTTTGGATCTGTGTTGTAAATAGGTGTATTTTGGGATTCAAGATAAGGAGACCAGTTAGCCTCCAAGTGAGGTTGTCTGTGTCAGTTTAAGAAGTATGAAGAGGGTCTGAGCTAGGGCAGTATATGTGTGGAAAGGAGGGATTAATATGAGAGGCCTTGAGAGGTGGAAATGAGTTTGTCAGCTGATTGGTTTTGTGCTGCTGGGCTGGGGAAAGGTGATGTGGAAGGAGGCTCTGAATTCTCTGAACGACCTGGGAAGGTACCTGGATTTACCAAGTTAGGAAGCCTGGAGAAAAGTGGTTTGTATTTAAAGGACATGTGAGTGTGGATGTTTAGGGACGGTTCAAAGGGAAGGTTAGTGCTATCTGTTGTATTTGATAATGTCTATGTCTTCATTATATTTTTAAACATGTGCCACATTGAATTTTTTTTCCTTCAAACCAGCACATTTGCAGAACATTCAAAGGGGGAACTGGAGAAGTGTCAGAGTGTTTTGTGTGATTTGGAAGAATTTCTTTTATAATGGAAAATGGTTTCCAACTTTTTTAGAATTCTATAAGCCTGGTAATAGTGCCTTTTTGATAGGTGTAAGGTCATGGAAATGATAGTCTGACACATTGGCTGATGGCTTTTCCACTTCTCTGGAAGATTTTGCTAGTAGACTTAGAGCCAGGACCAGTGGAGCTGAATTTTTCCTGGTGACTTTTAGAGTAGAATCTGGAATAGAATAAATACATCTTAGTCTTGATTGTCAGTGTTGACAAGATATTCACTTAGAGATATATAAATTGAATTAAAGGAATCAAAAAAGGATCAGTGGTCATGACTAGAGATTAAGATTGGAAGCATCTGCATGTAGATAGTAACTAAGACCATTTAAATTTTTTGTTTGCATATCTGCAGTTAAGCAAATAAATGCTGTTCCTGTATTTTTGAATAAATAATTGCCTATAGGGGAAATACCACTAAATCCTGGTCTCATTTGTTGGCTTTTTCATTACTGTCCTTTCTTCCTGGGCTCTTAGTTCCTCAGCTGCCTCAAATCACAGTTTAGTCTTTTGTTTTTTGTTTTTTGTTTTTTTTTGAGATGGAGTCTTGCCCTGTCATCCAGGCTGGAGTACAGTGGGGCAATCTCACCGTACTGCAACCTCCACCTCCTGGGTTCAAGCGATTCTCCTGCCTCAGCCTCCCAAATAGCTGGGACTACAGGCACCTGCCACCGCACCTGGCTAATTTTTGTATTTTTAGTAGAGATGGGGTTTCACCATGTTGGCCAGGCTGGTCTTGAACTCTTGACCTCAAGTGATCCGCCCACCTCAGCCTCCCAAAGTGCTGGGATTATAGGCATGAGCCACCACGTGCCCCGGCTCACAGTTTAGTCTTTAGCCCTGTAAGGTTGCTAACAGTGCTGCTGGCTTCTCTCCCTCTTAGCTATGACTTTCCTTGCATATTGTCAGCCTTTCCATATGTTCCTCTTACCACCAAAATTTGCAGATGGCCAGAGCAGAAAAAGCAAGGTTCTCCAAGAACGTTGGCCCCTTTCCCTGCAGTTGCCTTCTCTCCTAGATCTTGGTCCCTCAAGTCCAGGTTGCTTCCACAGCTTTTCCACAGCCACCAATCAGATGTTTTCCTTTTACCTACCTTTTCTAGCTGTTTCCTGTGAGGACCTTGGTTTGCTGGTACTTCATTGTATCTGGAACAAAATGTTTTAAACAGCCTGGGTCTTGCCGTGTCATCCAGGCTGGAGGGCAGAGACTATTCACAGGCTCACTACAGCCTCAAATTCCTAGGCTTAAGTGATTCTCCTGTCTCAGTCTTCTGAGTAGCTGGGACTATACAGGTGTGCACCACCATGCTTGGCTTGGAGCAGAATGTTTTTGAATCATTACATATTATTGTTTGTTAGACCATATGCAAAAAAGAAATAGTTAAATTTCCTTGTCCTTAATTTCTCAGAAAACAATTCATTTGTGTTGTATTTACGACTTTTTACAGGTTCTCCTGTTGTCCCCAGTTCCAGAACTGAGGGATTCTTCAAAACTTCATGATTCTCTCTATAATGAGGATTGTACTTTCCAACAGCTTGGAACTTACATTGATTCTATCAGAGATCCTGTCCATAACAGAGTCACCCTAGTAAGTATAAACATTTGGTAGCTTTCCAAGAAGTGGGCTGGCATTTCAAATTTGACAGAATACAGAATTTTGTCTGAAAAATGACAACAAACATTTCTCATGATTTAAAAAAATCTATTGTGTCATTTTTTGGCACTATTTTACTTTTTACTATACAGTAATTCTGCTTGTTTTCTACAGTTTCTGTATTATTAAAAACTTAGTGAAAACAAAAGCTTGTTGAGTCAGTTGAATTGTAAATTGATGTGATTTTTTGTCGTCTCATTAAAAGTAAATGTCCTTTTGATGATGGTGACTCACTGTATAAAGATTAGACACTTTTTATTAAAACAAGCATTTTGGAAAACATTTTGCAAATAATTACATTTAAAGTTTCTGAAATTTGGAAGTGTTCATTTCTGTTTGAAAATTGTTTTTCATTTATTTTATTGCTTTGATGGGCAAAGTCTTGTACCAGCTATTTTTAAGACATTCAAAGACTTAGAATGCACAGATTTTATTTACTTTCTCATTTGTTTCCATCTAGGAACTGAGTAATGGCTCCATGGTTAGGATCACTGTTCCTGAAATTGCCACCTCTGAGTTAGGTACGATTGAGAAGTTTCATTTATAAGACATGAAGTAATTGTGATTTACATTAATAATTGGGGTTTTAAACATTATTTTGCCATTTTTGAAGCCACTGGATCAAGTTCTTAGCTTTGTAGAGGAGCCTTAAAGAGCTAGGGAGTGCTTTGTGATGTCCACTCTATGTGTGCTCTAAGGCTGGAGTACAGGTGAAGGATGTGCTATTTCTGTTCTCTGAGGTTCTTCTGTTGGGGAATATTGTGCAGTATAATAATATATGGACATGCCTGCTGGGCATGGTGGCTCACTCCTGTAATCCCAACATTTTGTGAGACTGAGGCAGGTGGATCGCTTGAGGTCGGTAGTTCGAGACCAGCCCGGCCAACGTGGTGAAACCCTTTCTCTACTAAAAATACAAAAATCAGCGGGGTGTGGTGGTGCACTTCTGTAATCTCAGCTACTTGGGAGTCTGAGGCAAGAGAATCGCTTGAACCCAGAATGCGGAGGTTGCAGTGAGCCGAGATCGTGCCACTGCGCTCCAGCCTAGGTGATAGAGTGAGACTCAGTCTCAAAAAAAAAAAAAATATATATATATATATATATATGTATATATATATATGTATATGTATATATATATGTATATATATATATGTATATGTATATATATATATGTATATGTATATATATGGACATGCCTCTTGCAAGAACATCTGGGAAACTGGAAGCCTAAGCGACTAAGATAATTCTTGGCATATTTAATGTTTTTTTCTGTAATGTATTAATGATGTTTTTAATTTTAAAATGAATATCTCAATTTTCAGATAAATTGTGAAAGTAACCTAATTGCCTTAATTGAATAAAACTTAATATTATTGTCAAAATACAATCAGAATTATCTTAATAAATATTGGATTCTGCTTGAATTATTCCTGAGATGCAATTTCAAAAATGCTAGAGGAGAATATTTCTGAACATAGCATAGTAAACAAAATGTTAGAATTGAAGGGATTTGCCAACAAACGTAGGTTAAGAAAAGAATGCCTGTATGATATAAGGAAGTTCATGACATATCTTGGTTTCCAATCTAACTGCCAAAGCAAGACATTGGCAGATTGTAGACAAGAATAACTTTTTCATTTTAGGAATTTTCACTGCTGGTAAATGGTATTCCAAGTTGCTATAGAGATTCCTTGCCTTCTAAAAGGTATTTCGTAATCACAAGGCCAGGTACCTAGAAGTATGATAAGCCTAAGCAAAATATATAAAAACAAATAATAATGGAAGAAATTAAATAAATAAAAACAAAAAATCTTACCCCTTTATAGCCAAATAGAAGCCCCATAGTTTATGCACATAAGTTTATGTACTTTACCTGCAAAGGGTTCTCACACACTCATGCAGCATTGGGTTTACACTTATTTTGGATTCAGCTATGACATACTTGGTTATATGGTATTTTAATATTATTTGCTTCCAACCTGTGCTGTGTGAGTTTGCATATTGCAAACTGACGGGATAGAGGATATGCTGATGAGGGTGGGCCCAGTGGCATGACAGTGGAAAGGGAAAAAAGAATCCTGGAAGAGAGGATATGTGAGTACACAAACATTGCAGTTTGGGATTATTTACTACTAAAAGCAGATTTGGGTCTCTTCACAGTGGTAGCCCTGGCCACTCTGAGGGGATCATTGTATGACAGTGTAGTGCTATAATTGATGTGGAGCCACTGAGAATGGTATAAGGCCAGGTGTGGTGGGCTCGTGCTTGTAATCCCCTCCCTTTGGAAGGCTGAGGTGAGGGGATTGCTTGAGGCCAGGAGTTTGAGACCAGCTTGGACAACATAGTGAGACTCGGTCTCTACAGAAAGAAAAATAAAATCAGCCAGGCATGCTGGCATGCATCTGTAGTCCTTGCTACTTGGGAAGCTTGAGCTGGTGGACCACTTGAGCCCAGGAGCTGGAGGTGACAGTGAGCTATAATTGCACCACTGCACTCCAGCCTGGGGACAGAGGAAGACCCTGTTTCCACTTACCAAAAAAAGAATGGTGTAAATTATGTGGTATCAACTCTTAACCCTTTTAAGGCAGAGAGCATGTGAAACATTTTAGAAACTGAACGACATCAGAAATAAAGTTATAAAGCTTTGGTTAATAGGCATGTTAAGTCATTTAGAACATCATGTAATGCTAGCTAAGCATTGCTATTCGTGGATGCATATATTGAATATTATATATTTACTGAAGTATGTAGGCAGTATTTTATATAAATGTATAAACATAGAAGTTGTATGTTTTTCATAGTGACTTTTTTTTTTTTGAGACAGTTTTGCTGTAGTCATCCAGGCTGGAGTGCAATGGCGTGATCTTGGCTCACTGCAACCTCTGCCTCCCGGGTTCAGGCGATTCTCCTGCCTCAGCCTCCTGAGTAGCTGGGATTACAGGTGCCTGCCACAATGCCCAACTAATTTTTGTATTTTTAGTAGAAATGGGGTTTCACCATGTTGGTCAGGCTGGTTTCGAACTCCTGACCTCAGGTGATCCACCCGCCTTGACCTCGCAAAGTGCTTAGATTACAGGCGTGAGTCACCATGCCTGGCCCATAGTGACTTTTAATTTGTCACCCGAGCTAGAACATCTTTAAGAGTGAAGGGGAGCAGTTAGTAATTGCTAGGCAATGGATGTAAATCAGGACTGTCTCTGGCAAACTGGGCTATTTGGTTACTTTATTTCTGATGCAAAATTAATGATCAAAAAGCTGTCCTTGGCCGGGCACAGTGGCTCACACCTGTAATCCCAGTGCTTTGGGAGGCCAAGGCAGGTGGATCATGAGGTCAGGAGTTTGAGACCAGCCTGGCCAACATGGTGAAACATGGTCTCTACTAAAAATACAAAAATTAGCCTGGGGCAGTGGCAGACGCCTGTAATCCCGGCTACTTGGTGGCTGAGGCAGGAGAATCTCTTGAACTCAGGAGGCAGAAGTTGCAGTGTGCCAAGACTGCGCCACAGCACTCCAGCCTGGGCAACAGAGCGAGACACCCTCTCAAAAAAAAAAAAAAAAAAAAGCTGTCTTCAGACCCCTTTCAAGCCCTGTTGAATTCAGTAGTTGGTTTTAGTTTCAGATGATGGGTTAGGTAATGTTTGCATCTCATTGGCTCTTTAATGACAGTTTTCTTTTCATAATAATTGGCCTTTACATAGTAGAAGTTAAAGAAACTTGGTTATTGAAAGGGGAAAAGAAATGCATGCAGAGTAAGAATACTAAAATTAATCTTTGCTTTTAATAGTACAAACGTGTTTGCAAACAATTAAGTTTATCCTGCCAAAAGAAATAGCAGTTCAGATGCTTGTCAAGTGGTACAATGTCCACAGTGCTCCAGGAGGACCCAGTTATCACTCAGAGTGGAATTTATTTGTGACTTGTCTCATGAACGTGATGGGTTTTAACACAGACCGCTTAGCATGGACTAGAAATGTAAGTAAATACAATTGTTTTCTTTATGAGTTATTCTGTTAATGTAATGGTTGCATAATTGGTAATATAACATTGAGACTATATAATAGGCGTACCATATTCAAAATAATAGAATAATATTAAGGTTTATTGTATCTATATGTTGTAAATCAAATCTCACTTAATATTTAATGTTAACATTTTACTAGTGATTATAATTACTGAGCTTTAGAATGTTAAAGCATATATGACTATTTCTCATTTCACCTTTGTAAAATGACTGCAAGTTATGCTAGGATTAGTGATAGTCTTGGTTTTATTGATGAAGAAACTGGATCACAAAGAAATCACAGATCTGTGATTTTTTAAAAACTATGACTAGACTGCATCTTCTGACTCCTTGTTTAACATTGTTTTCTGAAGATAAGATTGTCTTTTTACACACATATTGCTTGGGATGTGAAGAGGAAGGTTTGATTTGAGGGAGATTTAAAGTGCTTTAGCCTGAGTATCTACTCTGTTAATGGTAGAAAGCCTTACCTCTCACCCTCTTCCCCCAGTAACATCCTTACAGGCCCTTATTAGATTATTTACAAAATCAGCAGAGTGGTGTCTTCAGTATTGGTGATCTCCTTCTAGCTTTGGAGATCACTCCCAGGACAACTTTGCCTGGGTCACTCTGAAAAAAAATCACTCTAGACTATAATTACCCCTTTTCCAGGTAGCTCAGCTGTACCATTCTATATGTTTTAGCCTTGCACACCAAATCCTTTTTTTTTTTTTTTTTTTTGAGACAGAATGTCGCTCTGTCGCCCAGGCTGGAGTGCAATGGCACAATCTCAGCTCACTACAGGCTCTGCCTCCTGGGTTCATGCCATTTTCCTGCCTCAGCCTCCCGAGTAGCCGGGACTACAGGTGCCCGCCACCACGCCCGGCTAATTTTTTGTATTTTTAGTAGAGATGGGGTTTCACCATGTTAGCCAGGATGGTCTCGATCTCCTGACCTCGTGATCTGCCCGTCTCAGCCTCCCAAAGTGCTGGGATTACAGGTGTGAGCCACCGTGCCTGGCCAGCAAATCCATTTTTAAAACTTGTTTTTTGTCTTAATTATGAAAGGAAAATGTGGAAAATGGAGGAATTAAGAAAATAATTATACTACTCAGAGATAACCACTCTAAATATTTTTGATGTTACCTTCTATATAAAAATACCAATGAAAATTTCCCGTTATCATTAAAAATTTTTTCTAAAATATCTCCATCATTTCTTCATAGTGTAGTTTTATCATAATTAACCAATAGCTAATAATTGTACCTTGTGAATCTGTTGTTTTCGTTATTGGAATTTATAAACATCCTTTTTCACGACTCTTTAACCACATCTCTAGTTACTTCCCAAGAATTGAATCTTAAAAGAGAAACTGTGAGGTCAAGTAATGTTTGGAAAGGGGTTCCCAGGTGACATTCTTACTAGCATCATTTAAAAGCGCCCATTTCACCACAGTGTTTATTTGTGGTGTGGTGAACCTTTGCCAGCTTCCTGAGAAATTTTATCTTATTTCTCTATAAGTAAATGGGAATGGTTTTTTCAAAATTTCATCAGTTATTTATAGTTCTTATTTTTTGATTCGTATTTCATGTCCTTTGTCTATGTTCCAGTCTCTTCTCAGACCAGTGGCCAAAGTAATCCTGTTTGATAACGTCAGGTTGCGTTCGTCACGCCTCTGCGTAGAATCCCCCAGTGACTTCCCATGTCACTCAGAGTAAAGGCCATAGGCCTATAAGATGCCATGTGACCTAGCCCTTGCTCACCTTCCTGGTCTTATTTCTTAATGCTTTGCACACATCATCCCGGCCACATTGGCCTCAGCTCTGTTCCCTGAGCACTGCCAGCATGTTTCTGCCTCTGAGTGTTTGCACTTGCCATTACCTCTATGGAGAATGCTTTCCCTCCGACAAGACGTGCTTAGGTCTTTATTCAGATGTCACCTCAGTGCTGCCTGTCCTGTCTCTCTCTATAGAATTACACCTGCCTCCATACCTTTAGTGCCATTTACCTGTTTTTCTTTCTTCTCACTTAATTAAATATAATATACTATATGTTTTACTTATTTTGTTTTGTATCCCTCCTCCCCCAACTGGAATGTAAATTCTAGGAAGGCAAAGATTTTTGCTTAGTTTTGTTTACTACTCTCTCTCTCCAGGACCTGTGGTATTGCCTGGCATAGAAGGATACTCAGTGAACATTTGTTGAGTGAATGCCGTTTTCCATCTGAGTGAGGTACTGTTTTTAAGAGTTTGTGTCTATTTCAGCACATGAAGGAATTGCTGTCTGCAATTTCCTTTAGAAAAATCTTATGGGAAAATAGGGACAATTTTCTTTTCTTTTCTTTCCTTTTTTAAGACGGGGTTTCACTCTGTCGTCTAGGGTGGAATGCAGTGGCGCTATCCTGGCTCACTACAGCCTCTGCCTCCTAAGTTGAAGCGATTCTTGTGCCTCAGCCTCCTGAGTAGCTGGGATTACAGGCATGCACCTCCACGCCTGGCTAATTTCTGTATTTTTAGTAGAGACAGGGTTTTGCCACGTGGGCTATGCTGGTTTCAAACTCCTGAGCTCAAGTGATCCTCCCACCTTGGCCTCCCAAAGTGCTAGGATTACCTTCTTTTCTTATTTTAAACAATTGTATCCAAGTGACATTATCCCCAATTTTTCTGTTCTTTATTACATGTGAAAAGATTAAGCCTCATAGAAACTGGATTTCTACATTATGAAAAAGCATGTCAGCTTTCTGTAGTTTTGTGTATCATTGTCCTTGGAACTTGTTGATGAGTACAGATTGTTGTGTCCTAGTCTCTGGCAGAGAACCTATGCCCCCTCGCGTTTCCATGTTTTGGGGAGGACTGAGCACCTACCCATTTTTTCCTTTGCAAAGAAGGACATGGCTCTTTGACTTACTTATTGCATGATAATTATAAAGGAAGGAATAAGGAAATCAATTCTTGAGGCCAAGTTGCTTTGCCATTTATTTATAGGACTGCGTGGTTAAACCCTTGCTATCTTTTGTCCTCATAGTCAAAGCTTAGGATGAAATGGTCCTCATTGGCAAATGGTTTTCATTTTGCTTTGTTCAGATTTATTCTTTTTGTTTTCACATATATAATGTGGTGGAGTACAGAATTTCTGCCAATGACTCGTTACACAATTTTTGGCATTTCTTTGTGCTTTCTTTAATTTGCTGATGTGTTACATGAGTGCACTGGACTGTACATTGTAGGAACAGTTGCATTTGGGGTTAACTTTTTGTGGCTTTTGGGCTGCTCTTTTTTTCATTAGATAAATATTGAATCCCTGCTGTGGGCCAGGCATGATGCCAGGTTTCTCACATATACCCCAGACAAAACAGATTGTTCCTCTGGAATTGACTGTCTTGAGGGAAACAAATAAATAATATTTGATACATGTGTTATGATAGATGAAGGGTAAGGGTCCATAGGAGCATATAACAGGGTTGGCTAACCTGAGACACATTGAAAGAGTGAAGATTAAACAGATCCATGTATGGCACAAAGAGCCATCCTTATCAGGCAGTTTCTACTTTCTCATAACTCCAGGCCTTATGAATCTGATAATTATAGCAGGGACATTCTTTTTGACTGTGGGACTTTGTGTGTGTTACATTTTGGTTGAAGTTTTAGGTTAGATAGTTACTGTTATATTTGTTGCTTTGATTTCACTGTTACTACCAGGTTTTTTATAATATATATGAGTTGGGCTGTTTTTTATTTGAATGCTTCACAAGCAAATCTTCTCTCTCAATAACATTCGGTTTTAAAAATCACTTTATTGCTACCTATGTTTAGTTTTTATATAGAAATCAACTCTGTTTAGGTGAGTGAGTTGATAAATATGTAAGTTTTTCAGCATAGGAAAATAGCCATTGCCATTTATAGAGTTACAGTTTATTAGTTGATGGTCAATGTCCATGTGAAGTAGCTGGGGCAGCAAAGATTATGCCAGGGGAAATTGAAGAAGAGCAACTTGCAGAAAACTGCTTTGATGTAGTTGTACTAGTTAAAAGATAGGCTCACTATTGTAATAGAAAGGCCTCAAAAGATACAATGGCTCAAACACAATAAAAATGTCTGTCTTGTTTACATAACAGGGCTTAGCAGATAAACAGGCCACACAGTTATTCAGGAACCCAGGTTGATGGAGGATCTTTTGTCTTCGGTTCAAAGCTTGCCGTTGGTTGACTGCATTCCAGTCAGGTGGAAGGGGCAAAGAGCCTGGAGGAGCAGGGGTAGGACTGGACTGGTCCTGGAAGTGATGACAGTGACTTCCATTTATAATTAACTCTGTCAAAGGGTCACACCTAACTTCAAAGGAGGCAGACGTATGTATGTAGTCTGGCTGTGGGTTCAGTAGAAAGAGGAGAAAAAAGATTTTCCAGAGTAGCTACTTGTCTCTGCCATAGAATTGTTAGATAGTTTACTGTAGGTGGACTGTAAATAAATGTTTGCTTAGTTCTAACATTTGACTGATATTGGGTTGATCCTTTGAGACTTGGTATATTGTGGATATGCCTAAAGTTTCTTTTTCTACCAAAGATGTGATGTAATCTATGTCGTTACAGAAGTAGGAGAGGGAAGGAAACTACCATTAAAATCAGTCCTTAGGAGCCCAGGCACTGTTCTAGATGTTTGCATATATTAATATGATTTCATTTCATCTTTACAGTAACCTGGAAGAAAGATATTTAAATAATGACTTTCCAGATCAAAAAATGAGTTTTGATGGCTTTTCTCAGTTTTCATAATTGGCAGAACTGATTTCCGAATCCTTTAAGTTGATCAGTTGACAGGAATGCATTTATGATTTTTATCTTTTCTTTTGGGGTTACTTTTCAGTTTGACTTTGAAGGATCACTTTCCCCTGTCATTGCACCCAAAAAAGCAAGGCCTTCTGAGACTGGATCTGATGATGTAAGCATTATTATTTCTTGCTAATATAAATTAATTTATGGATATTCATACTATTCTTCCACTTCTGTGGTATTCCTATCAATTCCTCTATCTTTCCAACACCTTTCACTTTATTTATTTTAATACTGAATAGCAATTATTTTGAAGAGTAGGATCTGTTACATTTTCTAGGGTCTTTAATGATTATCCAAAAATTAATGTATGTATTACTGCATGATTTCAGTTTGGGTTTGTAGACATTTTATTATCAACTGATCACCTGAAATGACAGCATTTACCTTTTTTATGCAGTGTTTTTTAAATTAAGGTTCTCAATCGTATCAGGTTCCATGGTATATTCCTTTTTTTTTTTTTTTTTTTTTTTGAGACGGAGTATCGCTCTTGTTGCCCGGGATGGAGTGCAGTGGCACGATCTGAGCTCACTGCAATCTCCGCCTCCCAGGTTCAAGCAGTTCTCCTGTCTCAGCCTCCTGAATAGCTGGGATTACAGGCGCCCGCCACCATGCCCGGCTAATTTTTGTAGTTTTGGTAGAGACAGGGTTTCACCATGTTGGCCAGGCTGGTCTCCAACTCATGACCTCAGGTGATCCGCCCGCCTCCGCCTCCCAAAGTGTTGGGATTACAGGCGTGAGCCACGGCGCCCGGCGGGCAAGACACCCTCAGAGCACAGGGTGCTGCCAAGAGCCCGGCCGAGTGCAGCTGGAGCGCCGACGTCGCCAAGGATACACAGTGCTGACGCAGTACACAAGTGCGTCACAGTGGTCCTCCGCCGGCTACGTCAGTGGCTTTCAGGCGCTTTCCTGTTGGAATTGGCGACTGCTGCGGGGCTGAGCGCTGGTTTCACGCGTCTCGGGAGCCAGGTTGGCGGTGCGATGAGGCGCAGCAAGGCCTACGGGGAGCGGTACCTCGCCTCGGTGCAGGGCTCCGCCCCGTCGCCTGGAAAGGTGAGTGGATCTCGAAGAGACCGACGGCCTCGACCTGGCGGGGCGGTGGCCTCGACCTGGCCGGGCGGCGGCGGCGGCCTCGGCCTCGGCCTGGCCGGGCGGCGGCGGCGGCGGCGGCGGCGGCGGCGGCGGCGGCCTCGGCCTCGGCCCCGGCCTGGCCGGGCGGCGGCGGCGGCGGCGGCGGCGGCGGCCTCGGCCCCGGCCTGGCCGGGCGGCGGCGGCGGCGGCGGCGGCGGCGGCCTCGGCCTCGGCCTGGCCGGACGGCGGCGGCGGCCTCGGCCTGGCCGGGCGGCGGCGGCGGCCTCGGCCTGGCCGGGCGGCGGCGGCGGCGGCGGCCTCGGCCTCGGCCTTGGCCTCGGCCGGGCGGCGGCGGCGGCGGCGGCGGCGGCGGCGGCGGCCTCGGCCTGGCCGGGCGGCGGCGGCGGCGGCGGCGGCGGCGGCGGCCTCGACCTGGCCGGGCGGCGGCGGCGGCGGCGGCGGCGGCCTCGACCTGGCCGGGCGGCGGCGGCGGCGGCGGCGGCGGCGGCGGCGGCGGCGGCGGCGGCGGCGGCGGCCTCGGCCTCGGCCTGGCCGGGCTGCGGCGGCGGCGGCGGCGGCGGCGGCGGCGGCCTCGGCCTGGCCGGGCGGCGGCGGCGGCGGCGGCGGCGGCGGCCTCGGCCTCGGCCTCGGCCTTGGCCTCGACCTGGCCGGGCGGCGGCGGCGGCGGCGGCCTCGACCTGGCCGGGCGGCGGCGGCGGCGGCGGCGGCCTCGACCTGGCCGGGCGGCGGCGGCGGCGGCGGCGGCGGCCTCGACCTGGCCGGGCGGCGGCGGCGGCGGCGGCGGCGGCGGCGGCCTCGACCTGGCCGGGCGGCGGCGGCGGCGGCCTCCACCTGGACGGGCGGCGGCGGCGGCGGCGGCGGCGGCGGCGGCGGCCTCGACCTGGCCGGGCGGCGGCGGCGGCGGCGGCGGCGGCGGCGGCGGCGGCCTCGACCTGGCCGGGCGGCGGCGGAGGCGGCGGCCTCGACCTGGCCGGGCGGCGGCGGCGGCGGCGGCCTGGCCTAAGGTACTTCTGTTGGGGAATATTGTGCAGTATAATAATATATGGACATGCCTGCTGGGCATGGTGGCTCACACCTGTAATCCCAACATTTTGTGAGACTGAGGCAGGTGGATCGCTTGAGGTCGGTCGTTCGAGACCAGCCTGGCCAACGTGGTGAAACCCTTTCTCTACTGAAAATACAAAAATCAGCGGGGTGTGGTGGTGCACTTCTGTAATCTCAGCTACTTGGGAGTCTGAGGCAGGAGAATTGCTTGAACCCAGAATGCGGAGGTTGCGGTGAGCCAAGATCGTGCCACTGCACTCCAGCCTAGGTGATAGAGTTAGGGTTAGGGTTAGGGTTAGGCAAGACATTGGCAGATTGTAGACAAGAATAACTTTTTCATTTTAGGAATTTTCACTGCTGGTAAATGGTATTCCAAGTTGCTATAGAGATTCCTTGCCTTCTAAAAGGTATTTCGTAATCACAAGGCCAGGTACCTAGAAGTATGATAAGCCTAAGCAAAATATATAAAAACAAATAATAATGGAAGAAATTAAATAAATAAAAACAAAAAATCTTACCCCTTTATAGCCAAATAGAAGCCCCATAGTTTATGCACATAAGTTTATGTACTTTACCTGCAAAGGGTTCTCACACACTCATGCAGCATTGGGTTTACACTTATTTTGGATTCAGCTATGACATACTTGGTTATATGGTATTTTAATATTATTTGCTTCCAACCTGTGCTGTGTGAGTTTGCATATTGCAAACTGACGGGATAGAGGATATGCTGATGAGGGTGGGCCCAGTGGCATGACAGTGGAAAGGGAAAAAAGAATCCTGGAAGAGAGGATATGTGAGTACACAAACATTGCAGTTTGGGATTATTTACTACTAAAAGCAGATTTGGGTCTCTTCACAGTGGTAGCCCTGGCCACTCTGAGGGGATCATTGTATGACAGTGTAGTGCTATAATTGATGTGGAGCCACTGAGAATGGTATAAGGCCAGGTGTGGTGGGCTCGTGCTTGTAATCCCCTCCCTTTGGAAGGCTGAGGTGAGGGGATTGCTTGAGGCCAGGAGTTTGAGACCAGCTTGGACAACATAGTGAGACTCGGTCTCTACAGAAAGAAAAATAAAATCAGCCAGGCATGCTGGCATGCATCTGTAGTCCTTGCTACTTGGGAAGCTTGAGCTGGTGGACCACTTGAGCCCAGGAGCTGGAGGTGACAGTGAGCTATAATTGCACCACTGCACTCCAGCCTGGGGACAGAGGAAGACCCTGTTTCCGCTTACCAAAAAAAGAATGGTGTAAATTATGTGGTATCAACTCTTAACCCTTTTAAGGCAGAGAGCATGTGAAACATTTTAGAAACTGAACGACATCAGAAATAAAGTTATAAAGCTTTGGTTAATAGGCATGTTAAGTCATTTAGAACATCATGTAATGCTAGCTAAGCATTGCTATTCGTGGATGCATATATTGAATATTATATATTTACTGAAGTATGTAGGCAGTATTTTATATAAATGTATAAACATAGAAGTTGTATGTTTTTCATAGTGACTTTTTTTTTTTTGAGACAGTTTTGCTGTAGTCATCCAGGCTGGAGTGCAATGGCGTGATCTTGGCTCACTGCAACCTCTGCCTCCCGGGTTCAGGCGATTCTCCTGCCTCAGCCTCCTGAGTAGCTGGGATTACAGGTGCCTGCCACAATGCCCAACTAATTTTTGTATTTTTAGTAGAAATGGGGTTTCACCATGTTGGTCAGGCTGGTTTCGAACTCCTGACCTCAGGTGATCCACCCGCCTTGACCTCGCAAAGTGCTTAGATTACAGGCGTGAGTCACCATGCCTGGCCCATAGTGACTTTTAATTTGTCACCCGAGCTAGAACATCTTTAAGAGTGAAGGGGAGCAGTTAGTAATTGCTAGGCAATGGATGTAAATCAGGACTGTCTCTGGCAAACTGGGCTATTTGGTTACTTTATTTCTGATGCAAAATTAATGATCAAAAAGCTGTCCTTGGCCGGGCACAGTGGCTCACACCTGTAATCCCAGTGCTTTGGGAGGCCAAGGCAGGTGGATCATGAGGTCAGGAGTTTGAGACCAGCCTGGCCAACATGGTGAAACATGGTCTCTACTAAAAATACAAAAATTAGCCTGGGGCAGTGGCAGACGCCTGTAATCCCGGCTACTTGGTGGCTGAGGCAGGAGAATCTCTTGAACTCAGGAGGCAGAAGTTGCAGTGTGCCAAGACTGCGCCACAGCACTCCAGCCTGGGCAACAGAGCGAGACACCCTCTCAAAAAAAAAAAAAAAAAAAAGCTGTCTTCAGACCCCTTTCAAGCCCTGTTGAATTCAGTAGTTGGTTTTAGTTTCAGATGATGGGTTAGGTAATGTTTGCATCTCATTGGCTCTTTAATGACAGTTTTCTTTTCATAATAATTGGCCTTTACATAGTAGAAGTTAAAGAAACTTGGTTATTGAAAGGGGAAAAGAAATGCATGCAGAGTAAGAATACTAAAATTAATCTTTGCTTTTAATAGTACAAACGTGTTTGCAAACAATTAAGTTTATCCTGCCAAAAGAAATAGCAGTTCAGATGCTTGTCAAGTGGTACAATGTCCACAGTGCTCCAGGAGGACCCAGTTATCACTCAGAGTGGAATTTATTTGTGACTTGTCTCATGAACGTGATGGGTTTTAACACAGACCGCTTAGCATGGACTAGAAATGTAAGTAAATACAATTGTTTTCTTTATGAGTTATTCTGTTAATGTAATGGTTGCATAATTGGTAATATAACATTGAGACTATATAATAGGCGTACCATATTCAAAATAATAGAATAATATTAAGGTTTATTGTATCTATATGTTGTAAATCAAATCTCACTTAATATTTAATGTTAACATTTTACTAGTGATTATAATTACTGAGCTTTAGAATGTTAAAGCATATATGACTATTTCTCATTTCACCTTTGTAAAATGACTGCAAGTTATGCTAGGATTAGTGATAGTCTTGGTTTTATTGATGAAGAAACTGGATCACAAAGAAATCACAGATCTGTGATTTTTTAAAAACTATGACTAGACTGCATCTTCTGACTCCTTGTTTAACATTGTTTTCTGAAGATAAGATTGTCTTTTTACACACATATTGCTTAGGATGTGAAGAGGAAGGTTTGATTTGAGGGAGATTTAAAGTACTTTAGCCGAGTACTATACCATCTACTCTGTACTTATACCATCTACTCTGTTAATGGTATAAGGCCTTACCTCTCACCCTCTTCCCCCAGTAACATCCTTACAGGCCCTTATTAGATTATTTACAAAATCAGCAGAGTGGTGTCTTCAGTATTGGTGATCTCCTTCTAGCTTTGGAGATCACTCCCAGGACAACTTTGCCTGGGTCACTCTGAAAAAAAATCACTCTAGACTATAATTACCCCTTTTCCAGGTAGCTCAGCTGTACCATTCTATATGTTTTAGCCTTGCACACCAAATCTTTTTTTTTTTTTTTTTTTTTTTTGAGACAGAATGTTGCTCTGTCACCTAGGCTGGAGTGCAATGGCGCAATCTCAGCTCACTACAGGCTCTGCCTCCTGGGTTCATGCCATTTTCCTGCCTCAGCCTCCCGAGTAGCCGGGACTACAGGCGCCCGCCACCACGCCCGGCTAATTTTTTGTGTTTTTAGTAGAGATGGGGTTTCACCATGTTAGCCAGGATGGTCTCGATCTCCTGACCTCGTGATCTGCCCGTCTCAGCCTCCCAAAGTGCTGGGATTACAGGTGTGAGCCACCGTGCCTGGCCAGCAAATCCATTTTTAAAACTTGTTTTTTGTCTTAATTATGAAAGGAAAATGTGGAAAATGGAGGAATTAAGAAAATAATTATACTACTCAGAGATAACCACTCTAAATATTTTTGATGTTACCTTCTATATAAAAATACCAATGAAAATTTCCCGTTATCATTAAAAATTTTTTCTAAAATATCTCCATCATTTCTTCATAGTGTAGTTTTATCATAATTAACCAATAGCTAATAATTGTACCTTGTGAATCTGTTGTTTTCGTTATTGGAATTTATAAACATCCTTTTTCACGACTCTTTAACCACATCTCTAGTTACTTCCCAAGAATTGAATCTTAAAAGAGAAACTGTGAGGTCAAGTAATGTTTGGAAAGGGGTTCCCAGGTGACATTCTTACTAGCATCATTTAAAAGCGCCCATTTCACCACAGTGTTTATTTGTGGTGTGGTGAACCTTTGCCAGCTTCCTGAGAAATTTTATCTTATTTCTCTATAAGTAAATGGGAATGGTTTTTTCAAAATTTCATCAGTTATTTATAGTTCTTATTTTTTGATTCGTATTTCATGTCCTTTGTCTATGTTCCAGTCTCTTCTCAGACCAGTGGCCAAAGTAATCCTGTTTGATAACGTCAGGTAGCGTTCGTCACGCCTCTGCGTAGAATCCCCCAGTGACTTCCCATGTCACTCAGAGTAAAGGCCATAGGCTTATAAGGTGCCATGTGACCTAGCCCTTGCTCACCTTCCTGGTCTTATTTCTTAATGCTTTGCACACATCATCCCGGCCACATTGGCCTCAGCTCTGTTCCCTGAGCACTGCCAGCATGTTTCTGCCTCTGAGTGTTTGCACTTGCCATTACCTCTATGGAGAATGCTTTCCCTCCGACAAGACGTGCTTAGGTCTTTATTCAGATGTCACCTCAGTGCTGCCTGTCCTGTCTCTCTCTATAGAATTACACCTGCCTCCATACCTTTAGTGCCATTTACCTGTTTTTCTTTCTTCTCACTTAATTAAATATAATATACTGTATGTTTTACTTATTTTGTTTTGTGTCCCTCCTCCCCCAACTGGAATGTAAATTCTAGGAAGGCAAAGATTTTTGCTTAGTTTTGTTTACTACTCTCTCTCTCCAGGACCTGTGGTATTGCCTGGCATAGAAGGATACTCAGTGAACATTTGTTGAGTGAATGCCATTTTCCATCTGAGTGAGATACTGTTTTTAAGAGTTTGTGTCTATTTCAGCACATGAAGGAATTGCTGTCTGCAATTTCCTTGAGAAAAATCTTATGGGAAAATAGGGACAATTTTCTTTTCTTTTCTTTCCTTTTTTAAGACGGGGTTTTGCTCTGTCGTCTAGGCTGGAATGCAGTGGCGTTATCCTGGCTCATTACAACCTCTGCCTCCTAAGTTGAAGCGATTCTTGTGCCTCAGCCTCCTGAGTAGCTGGGATTACAGGCATGCACCTCCACGCCTGGCTAATTTCTGTATTTTTAGTAGAGACGGGGTTTTGCCATGTGGGCTATGCTGGTTTCAAACTCCTGAGCTCAAGTGATCCTCCCACCTTGGCCTCCCAAAGTGCTAGGATTACAGGTGTGAACCATGGCTCCTGGCCTTCTTTTCTAATTTTAAACAATTGTATCCAAGTGACATTATCCTCAATTTTTCTGTTCTTTATTACATGTGAAAAGATTAAGCCTCATAGAAACTGGATTTCTACATTATGAAAAAGCATGTCAGCTTTCTGTAGTTTTGTGTATCATTGTCCTTGGAACTTGTTGATGAGTACAGATTGTTGTGTCCTAGTCTCTGGCAGAGAACCTATGCCCCCTCGCGTTTCCATGTTTTGGGGAGGACTGAGCACCTACCCATTTTTTCCTTTGCAAAGAAGGACATGGCTCTTTGACTTACTTATTGCATGATAATTATAAAGGAAGGAATAAGGAAATCAATTCTTGAGGCCAAGTTGCTTTGCCATTTATTTATAGGACTGCGTGGTTAAACCCTTGCTATCTTTTGTCCTCATAGTCAAAGCTTAGGATGAAATGGTCCTCATTGGCAAATGGTTTTCATTTTGCTTTGTTCAGATTTATTCTTTTTGTTTTCACATATATAATGTGGTGGAGTACAGAATTTCTGCCAATGACTCGTTACACAATTTTTGGCATTTCTTTGTGCTTTCTTTAATTTGCTGATGTGTTACATGAGTGCACTGGACTGTACATTGTAGGAACAGTTGCATTTGGGGTTAACTTTTTGTGGCTTTTGGGCTGCTCTTTTTTTCATTAGATAAATATTGAATCCCTGCTGTGGGCCAGGCATGATGCCAGGTTTCTCACATATACCCCAGACAAAACAGATTGTTCCTCTGGAATTGACTGTCTTGAGGGAAACAAATAAATAATATTTGATACATGTGTTATGATAGATGAAGGGTAAGGGTCCATAGGAGCATATAACAGGGTTGGCTAACCTGAGACACATTGAAAGAGTGAAGATTAAACAGATCCATGTATGGCACAAAGAGCCATCCTTATCAGGCAGTTTCTACTTTCTCATAACTCCAGGCCTTATGAATCTGATAATTATAGCAGGGACATTCTTTTTGACTGTGGGACTTTGTGTGTGTTACATTTTGGTTGAAGTTTTAGGTTAGATAGTTACTGTTATATTTGTTGCTTTGATTTCACTGTTACTACCAGGTTTTTTATAATATATATGAGTTGGGCTGTTTTTTATTTGAATGCTTCACAAGCAAATCTTCTCTCTCAATAACATTCGGTTTTAAAAATCACTTTATTGCTACCTATGTTTAGTTTTTATATAGAAATCAACTCTGTTTAGGTGAGTGAGTTGATAAATATGTAAGTTTTTCAGCATAGGAAAATAGCCATTGCCATTTATAGAGTTACAGTTTATTAGTTGATGGTCAATGTCCATGTGAAGTAGCTGGGGCAGCAAAGATTATGCCAGGGGAAATTGAAGAAGAGCAACTTGCAGAAAACTGCTTTGATGTAGTTGTACTAGTTAAAAGATAGGCTCACTATTGTAATAGAAAGGCCTCAAAAGATACAATGGCTCAAACACAATAAAAATGTCTGTCTTGTTTACATAACAGGGCTTAGCAGATAAACAGGCCACACAGTTATTCAGGAACCCAGGTTGATGGAGGATCTTTTGTCTTCGGTTCAAAGCTTGCCGTTGGTTGACTGCATTCCAGTCAGGTGGAAGGGGCAAAGAGCCTGGAGGAGCAGGGGTAGGACTGGACTGGTCCTGGAAGTGATGACAGTGACTTCCATTTATAATTAACTCTGTCAAAGGGTCACACCTAACTTCAAAGGAGGCAGACGTATGTATGTAGTCTGGCTGTGGGTTCAGTAGAAAGAGGAGAAAAAAGATTTTCCAGAGTAGCTACTTGTCTCTGCCATAGAATTGTTAGATAGTTTACTGTAGGTGGACTGTAAATAAATGTTTGCTTAGTTCTAACATTTGACTGATATTGGGTTGATCCTTTGAGACTTGGTATATTGTGGATATGCCTAAAGTTTCTTTTTCTACCAAAGATGTGATGTAATCTATGTCGTTACAGAAGTAGGAGAGGGAAGGAAACTACCATTAAAATCAGTCCTTAGGAGCCCAGGCACTGTTCTAGATGTTTGCATATATTAATATGATTTCATTTCATCTTTACAGTAACCTGGAAGAAAGATATTTAAATAATGACTTTCCAGATCAAAAAATGAGTTTTGATGGCTTTTCTCAGTTTTCATAATTGGCAGAACTGATTTCCGAATCCTTTAAGTTGATCAGTTGACAGGAATGCATTTATGATTTTTATCTTTTCTTTTGGGGTTACTTTTCAGTTTGACTTTGAAGGATCACTTTCCCCTGTCATTGCACCCAAAAAAGCAAGGCCTTCTGAGACTGGATCTGATGATGTAAGCATTATTATTTCTTGCTAATATAAATTAATTTATGGATATTCATACTATTCTTCCACTTCTGTGGTATTCCTATCAATTCCTCTATCTTTCCAACACCTTTCACTTTATTTATTTTAATACTGAATAGCAATTATTTTGAAGAGTAGGATCTGTTACATTTTCTATGGTCTTTAATGATTATCCAAAAATTAATGTATGTATTACTGCATGATTTCAGTTTGGGTTTGTAGACATTTTATTATCAACTGATCACCTGAAATGACAGCATTTACCTTTTTTATGCAGTGTTTTTTAAATTAAGGTTCTCAATCGTATCAGGTTCCATGGTATATTCCTTTTTTTTTTTTTTTTTTTTTTGAGACGGAGTATCGTTCTTGTTGCCCGGGATGGAGTGCAGTGGCACGATCTGAGCTCACTGCAATCTCCGCCTCCCAGGTTCAAGCAGTTCTCCTGTCTCAGCCTCCTGAATAGCTGGGATTACAGGCGCCCGCCACCATGCCCGGCTAATTTTTGTAGTTTTGGTAGAGACAGGGTTTCACCATGTTGGCCAGGCTGGTCTCCAACTCATGACCTCAAGTGACCTTCCTGACCTTGGTGTCCCAAAGTGCTGGGATTACAGGCATGAGCCACTGCACCTGGCCTCCATGGTGTTATTCTTAAGTGGTCCAAATATGTTTTTTTAAATTGTGGTGTAATTTACAAAAATGAAATACATCTTGAGTTTACAGTTTGATCAGTTTTAATATATGCACACTCATGTAACCTACACTCCTATATAGACACAGAATATTTTTATAACTCCATAAAATTTCCTTGTGCGGTTTTTTTTTTTTGAGACGGAGTCTCGCCTTATCGCCTAGGCTGGAGTGCAGTGGCACGATGTTGGCTCACCACCTCCTGGGTTGAAGCTATTCTCCTGCCTCAACCTCCTGAATAGCTGGGATTATAGGCATGCGCCACCACGCCTGGCCAATTTTTGTATTTTTAGTAGAGATAGGGTTTCACCATGTTGGTCAGGCTGGTCTTGAACTCCTGACCTCGTGATCTGCCCACCTCGGCCTCCCAAAGTTCTGGGATTACAGGCATGAGCCACTGGGCCTGGCCCCTCTTGCTGTTTTTAATCAGCTTTATTCTCTTCTTCTAGCAATCACTGATCTGAATTCTGTCACCATATCTTAGTTATGCCTGTTCTAGAACTTGATGTAAATAAAATAATATAGTATGTAATCTTTGGTATAAGATTTATTCAGCATAATGCTTTTGAGATTCATTCATATTGTTACAGATACCCGTAGTTTGTGCTTTTTTATTGCTGAGTAGTATGAATATACCATAGTTTGTTTATCCATCCTTCTTCTGCTGGTAGATATCTAGGCTATTTCCATTTTTTTTTTTTAAGTCATGAATAAAGCAAGCTACTGCCAAAATTCACTGGCAAGTCTTTGTGGATATATATTTTCTTTTTTTGGGGGAGGGGGACAGAGTCTTGCTGTGTCATCCAGGCTGGAGTGCAGTGGCACGATCTCGGCTCACTGCAACCTCTGACTCCCAAGTTCAGGCAGTTCTCATGCCTCAGCCTCCCCAGTAGCTAGAATTACAGGTATGCGCCACCATGCCTGGCTAATTTTTGTATTTTTAGTAGAGACTGGATTTTGCCATGTTGGCCAGCCTGGTCTCAAACTCCTGGCCTCAATAATCCGCCCATGTTGACCTCCCAAAGTGCTGAGATTACAGGTGTGAGCCACCATGCCCGGCCCGTGGACATACATTTTCATTTCTTTTTTAAGAGACGGGGTGTCACTTTTTGCCTACGCCGGACTGCAGTGATGCTATCGTAGTTGGCTGTAATCTCGAACTCATAGGCTCAAGCCATCCTCCTACCTCAGCCTCCAAGTGGCTAGGACTACCGGTATGCTCCATCATGCCTGGCTAATTTTTAAATTTTTTTGGCAGAGACAAGGTCTTACTATAATATGTTGCCCAGGCTGGTCTCAAACTCCTGGGCTCAAGCAGTCCTCCTGCCCCTATCTCCCAAAGTGCTGCGATTACAGGCATGAATTTTAATTTCTTTTAATTTAATTTAATTTCTTTTAAATTAAAATTCACATCTGTAATTTTAATTTCTTTTAATTTAATTTCTTTTAAATGAAAATTCACGCCTGTAATCACAGCACTTTGAGGGGTAGGGGCAGGAGGACTGCTTCAGCCCAGGAGACCAGCCTGGGCAACATATTATATAGTAAGACCAGTTGTCTACCAAAAAAATTTGAAAATTAGCCAGGCATGATGGCGCATAACCTGTAGTCCTAGCTACTTGGAGGCTGAGGTTGGAGGATGTTAAACACTCTTTCATGTGCTCATTAGCTGCTTATGTATCTTTTTGTGAAGTTTCTGTTCAAATCTTTATCAACTTGTAAATTAGATTTTAAAAAATTTGTAAGCTGGTGAAGTTCTTACATGTTCTAGACATGAGTTCTTGACCATATTTTCCCTTAGAATGTGGCTTTAACAGTGTCTTTGATGAGCAGAATTTTTTATTTTAGTTATCCAATGTATCAGTTTTTTATTTTATTTTATTTTATTTTTGAGATGGAGTCTTGCTCTGTTGCCCAGGCTGTAGTGCAGTGGCATGATCTCAGCTCACTGCAAGCTCCACCTCCCAGGTTCACACCATTCTCCTGCCTCAGCCTCCCGAGTAGCTGGGATTACAGGCACCCGCCACCACACCTGGCTAATTTTTTGTATTTTTAGTAGAGACCACGTTTCACCATGTTGGACAGGCTGGTCTTGAACTCCTAACCTCAAGTGATCCACCAGCCTTGGCCTCCCAAAGTTTTGGGATTACAGGCATGAGCCACTGTGCCCAGCCAAGGATATTCTTTTTATAACATTTTCAAAAATTAAGGCATATTGTATATACAGGAAAAAAAATGAAGCCTATGATTTATATTTACAATTGCTTTGATTTAATACAAATTAAAATATTACTGTTTATGAGAATGAGATTCTAAATGTAAATGGAATTCACAGAATGCATAATTTTTTTCTCGTTTAAAGAAATAGAGTCTCGCTGTATGCCTAGGCTGGTCTCGAACTCCTGGGCTCCAGCCATCCTCCCATTTCAGCCTCCCAGAGTGTTGGGATTACAGGCGTGAGCCACCACGCCTGGCCTTGTACATGTTATATAGTGACCATTTTGCACAAGATTGTTTGCCAAATGAATAATTAAAAAAATCCATTTAGTGTACTTTCCTTTAAATATTTTCACACCTGGAGTTAAAACATTGTATTTTATAAAATGTTATTAATATAAAAATACTTGTAAATAAACTTGTGGCTATGTAGAATGTAGTAGAGGACTTTTGCATAAGCCCAGAGCCTAGTTTCTAAAGGTCTTTAGAAATATATAATAGACATAGAGGGGAAAGAGTTGGGGGAAATCAGAGGGAGGTATAATTCTGGTCTCTCGTCGTTCAGTTCTTTTTCATTCAGTTCTCTCAGGCACGACTCCAGCCACTTAGTTTTATATTTCAACTGGATGTTGACCCAATTAAAACAATTCACAGCTCCTGAAGATGAAATACTATGAGTCCCTGCTTTGGACACATCTGTAGTAGAGTAGGAAAAGATAAATATAACCCAAGTAATTGTTACAGAATCTTCTGAAATATACAAATGGTAAAAGGTTTTGTAGGGCGTGTACTGGGGAAAAAGATAATTTTTCAACATGAACCTTTTAAGAGCTTGTGAGTCTCAAAGAGTCTTTAATTGATAGGTGATATGGATAATACTCCCCTTTGGGAGGAGGTTTATAATACATAAACAACCTCCCCACCCTTCCCTCACAGCTTTCTGTCCTGTACTACAAGAACAACAAAACTCCAACTAGTCAGAATTGCAAGTGGTTTATGGCCCCCCATATAGATTGAAAACTTGCTAAGAGACTGCACTGGAGAACCTGAAAGGATGAGGATGGAAAAGATGATTATACTTTTCATTTGCAACAGGGCTTTCATTTGATTCTCACATTAATCCCATGTGGTAGTTAATTAAGGTAGTATTACAAGGTTCAGTGAATTGTCTGAGATCTCACAAATACAACCTAGATAAGAACCCAGGTATTATTATTTTCAGTCTTGCAATATTATTTTCCTACTTGCAATATTATCTTCACTCTTCATTAAGTTTGCACAGCAAAGTAATGGAATAAGTTCTGGGCTTTAATCCTTGAGTAGTTTGGAACTGTAATGTGTTACATTTGAGAGAGAGCCCTTCATTTTGAATAAAACCTTGGTACTGTTCCTGATCTTCTAACTTGGGTTAATGCTCTTCCCATTTTCATGATTTTTTTCATTTGTGAAATGAAGTAGTTGCACTAGATCATTTTCAATTTTCCTTCCCACTTAAATCAGTTTTAATTAAAAAAATTGCAGATGCCTTTTCTCAGATTGGAGTACACTTTTTGCTCCACACAATATCTGGTGTGTAAATTGGTATGTTCCGTGGAGTAAATACCTTTCCTGACTAGCCATTAACTTACTTCTGATTCCTGAATCCACTAATTTAACTATTGTTGAAATTACTAAAGGAAATTTTTCTTTAGCAAATGTAAAAACTCATATCAGGTCTCAGGTTTGATGTTGTAAAGCACTCTGACTCTTAGGAAGACTCTTTTTTTCCCCCAACCTCTCATAAACAAATTATTTCATTCATTATAAAATTTCATTCATTACATTTTCATTCTTCAGACTTGCAGTGTTTCCTCTCTGCTAAGTATAGTGTTAAACACTGGCAAAAGAACTCTGGACACAACATCATGAACTTGCTCTCTGGGATCTTATAATCTAGTTGCAGAAGCAGATTGGTAAATACATAGTATAGCACAAGTACTATAATGGAGGCCTGAACTGAGTGCTGTGGGGGTACACAGATGAAGGCTTCTGGGAGACATCATGGCATAACTAGACCTGGAGGATGAATAAAACTTTGGCCAAGTAAATACAGAGATACATGAAAAGCATGGATAAATGGCACAAGTAGGTTCAGGGATGATAAAAGTGTTAGTATGTGGAGAGTGTACAACTATTTTGGGGAATGGGGAAACAGATTAAATTTGGGGCCAGACCCCGAAGGATGTGGGGATCCCATCAAAGTCTTTTAAGCAGGAGAATGATCAGATGCATTTTTTGGTATACTACCTGGGGGATAGGAGGAAGTGGACTACAGAAGGGGAGATCAGTAGAAGGAAGACAAGTTAGGAAGCTTTTCAGTCATTTTCATTAAACATGAAGCTTAATACATATTGTTCTAAGATCAGGAATACAGCAATAAAGAAAAAAACTTGCTGTAATGAAACTTACATTTTCTTGGGAGAGACAGAAAATAAACATGAAAAACAGATGTGTTCAATGGTGATAAAGCAGAAAGGGAGATGGGGAGTCAAGTGCATGTGGGGAGGGTGTTTAGGGAAGCACTTATGAAAGAGTAACATTTGAGCAAAGAGCCCTGATACAAGACAACAATCCAGACCCAAGACATTTGAGGAAAGAGCATCCATATAAAGGGAGTGGGAGGTAGAGAAAACCTGGACCAGGAATGAGCCTGGTATGATTGAGGAAAACACAAGGGATGTGGCCAGAGAATAATAAGAGAATAAATTAGAGGGGTAATAGGCAATTGTATAGGGCCTTGTGAGCCATTGTGTGGACCTTGGATTTCACTCTTGAGTGACCTGGGAGCTAATGGGGGATTAAACAGAGGAGGGACAGGATCCTCTATGGTATATGGTAAATGAGTAGTATGGTAAATGAGGTAAATGAATAGTAAAAGGAACTGCTGTGGTAATTTAGGTAACAGATGATGATGGTTTAGGTGAAAGTGGTTGGATTGTGGATATGGTTTGATTGGTGTTAGAACCAATAGGATTTAGTGGTGGCTGGATGTGGACAATGGGAGAATAGAATGAACCAAAGCTATTGTAAACGTCTAGAAATCAGATGAGGACTTGACGAAAGGCATTGGCAATGAGAAAGTAGACAGGCACCATTCATGAGGTATTTCTTAGCATTGATAGAGTTGGATATAAATATCTGGAATTCTTAGCTGATTGAAATGTTAGTTGAAATGAATGATACCACTCAAGGTATGTGTGTCAAGAGGTATGGAGAAGAGCACAGAAGTTTTTGGAAACCAAGGGAGGAGAAAAGAAGGGATAGTCACAGAGCAGTAAAGAAAAATAAAGGTTAAAAATAGGTCACAGGATGTACATTATCCTAAGTTAAAATATTTTAAGGTTTGAATGAAAGGGTGCTGCAGGGTTTGCAAACTGGTGGGCTTCAGGCCTAAAATCTGCCTATACTGTTGTTTTTGCCTGACAGAATATCTTAAAATATCTGTATTTGAAAGCATTTAAGGCTTGACTTGTGCTCTACGCTCCACAGTCTTATCGTTCATAGTTTCTTGGCAAACTCACCACTCAAGCTGTGCCTCACTTATTTAGGAGATCTGCCTCACTAGGGTAGACATTTTAGGTTTATGACTCTTAAGTTTTCACCTGGACAGATTGGCTAACAAAAAGAACCTCACAGGTGGGTGACCTTGAATTCACCAGGTCATGCCATCAGTTCAGAGCGGCCGGAGAACTCTGTTCTCTTGTGCATTGATGCCCCCGGAGTTGTGAAACACAGTGGCCCTGCTTCAGTTTTTTAGATTTAGAAACTGGTCAGTGTCAGAGCGATCAGACACAGAAATGTTAATTCATGTTCAAAAATAATAACCAGGCTAGCATTTGTTTAGCACTTGCTATGTGACAAGTACTGTTTTAAGTGCTTTACATGAATTGTTTAATCCTCACAACAACCCTGGGAAATAGGTCCTATTATTAGGCGCCCTTTCTACAGATGAGGAAACAGACAACAGATTGGTAAATTTCCCAAGATCACAAAGTAAGTCAGTAGGAGCTCAAAGTAACCTGACTCCAGAGCCCACACTCTTTTTTTTTTTTTTTTTTTTTTTTTTTAGCTGGTTCACGTCTCTTTAATGAGATCAAAGGCTCCTGTGTATGTCTTGCGGGGGTAAAGCTAGCACAGTCCCCCAATACTGCCCCTCTCCTCAGGGCTCCAGCCCTTTCAGGCAGATTCTAGGTAGGCAGGGAGGGGCCAAAAGGAACGCAAGGAGTTGGGACTAGGGCTGTTTCTGGTGGGCAAGTAACCCATCCACCCTCTCAAAACTACTTATGGGATGTCCCCTTCACTGGAAGACAGCCCCATGGGAAAGACCTGCGGTACAGAATCTGGGGGCAGTGCACACGGGGAGTAGTCCTCCAGATCTGGCAGGGTGGCACTAACCCTCACCTCCTTGACTGGCTCAGCCTCACCGGAGGCAGGACAAGGGCAGAGCTTAATACCGGAGTCGCCAGTTAAACGGCGATAGCGGCAGGAGGGGGGTGTGGGGGCAGGGGTCACCCCTGCCCCAGACTCACCCTCCTGATGAGGGAGGGCACTCTGGTGGGAGGAAACACCTTCCACATTTGTTCCTTCAAAATGGGCAGGGCAGCTGGATGAGGAGGAACAGCAGGTTTGTTCACTGGAAGCAGTCAAGGGGCGGCCTGGGGCGACAGTATAAGGCGCGGAGGCGGGGGGCGGGGGGTGGTGCCTGGGCGGTGAACCACATCCTCGTAGGCTGGGGGCTTGAAGGTGCTGAGGAGGCGAAGGTCAAGCAGTGAACCGGTAGGGAAAGGACCAGCCCCATGGCATGCCCCATGATAAGCCAACAAGTTGATTTCACGCTGCCGCTGCTGTTGTTGCAGCCTGAGTTTAGCTCGTCGGTGGCGGAAGGCCCAACAGCAGCTAAAGAGGATGAGGACAGTCCAGAGCAGCCAGAACCACCAGAGCTCATAGTAGTAGGTGCAGCAGCCAGTCTCCCCGCAGCAGTGAACACTCTCACAGAGGTAGGGCTGGTTGTTCACTCCTGGGCACAGCTCTCGAAGCTGCTGTTGCGGCGCCCGAAGTGCCCCCCAGGCCTCCTCGCTGCCGTTCCCGCTGCTGGCCCGAGCCATACCTCCACCTACAGCCCCCTGAGGACCACAGCCTCCTCTACCGCCAGCCGCCCCGCCCCTGCCACCTCTGCTGCCACTGCCATGGTCCCTGCCCGGCCCATCTTCGCTGAGGCCACCATCACTCCGCGGCCGGAGCTTCCATCCCCAGAGCCCACATTCTTATCTGAGCATATACATCCCCATCACAAGAGAACGCCAGTTTATTCAAGTAAAATAAGGACTAGAAATTTACATCAGGGAATGTATTCTTTCACTGTAGAATGCTGAATGGAAAACCAAATTTCAATAGTTGCCTACTGAACAAGATCATGAGATAACAACAAGGGAGTTGATTATAAATGACTAGAAGTTTTAAATGGCATCGACTCTGATAAAGTGATAATCTCAGCTCCATGATATACTCGTCAAGCAGTTACTTACATCAATCTGCCTTATAGGATATCCTTTCTCCTGGTTAATGCTTATGTGATAGTGTTTTGTACCTTTCCTTTTTCACTGCTTTCATTACTGACCAAACTACTCACCCCCATATTTCTGGTAGATATATTTCTTTTCATTGCATGTTAGTATCTTAAATTTAGTCCTATCTTTTACTTGATCCTCCGTGCTTGACTTCCTAATCTATGTTCTGGTTTATGTTTTAGTTTTACAGTTGAGCTTTCTGAGGACATTCTTATTCCCAGTATCTTTTTTTGGGTGGTTGGGTTCTGGGAGGTGGTATTTGACTGCTGCTGATGTGTACCAACCAAGACAGTAGTCATTAAGTGACTAACAATAATGATTTCAGCAGATTATTACTCTTGGCAAAGAGCAAGCTTTCTCTATTATAAATGATTTTATATTTGTTTTGTTTTTCTTTATTTGTAATTTGAGTTCTAGCTTAACATTATTACTTCAGATAACTGTTAATACATTTTCATAAATCATACATTCTTGAATGGCAAATAAATAAATAATCAAGTTCCAAGTAGTTTCTAAAGAGAGTAAACATTAAAAGTAAACATAAAACTACATAAAAATCGATCACAGTCTATTCATAAAGTTGGTATGAAAATAAAGATCCTAGATTTGGAACCCTCATGATACTCAATATTTTACATATATCAGAGTTTGTAATTTCCATAACTTCATTTGGTAGTTAGACATATAGACAGAGAAGATAATAATATATTCATTATATATATATTTATGTATTATATTCATTATATATATATTTATATATAATATTCATATTATATATATATGTCTATAACATATAGACAGAGAAGATAATAATATATTCATTTTATAGTTTAGGAAACAGACTTGGAAGGGCAAATAACTTGTCTAAGATGACTAAGCAGCTGAGTGAGAACCACAGCCTATCTGTGGCATTCAGTTTCAGCCATCTTTCCCTTGCTTCATAAGGATAGTTACTCTGGTATCAGTTGCTGGATTGGGATTTTGGGCATTTATAAATGTTTTTATTTTGGATATTACTGAATCACAGACAATTTCATCTTAGTTAATTAAAAATTCATCTTACGTGACACTTGTCTAAATCTTAAAATATTAAAATTTTAATGTATAAGGATGTTAATAATCTTTATATTTTAAGAGACTATGAAGTCAAGTCTAGCTAACTTAGATCTGTAAGTTTTTAGCTATGGAAAGCAATTCTATTGTGTACAAGTTTCAGCCTGTGAAGGGAATTCATTGAAAATGTATAGAGATCAGAAGAACTAACACCTTTCTTGCATGGATTTTTCTTGATTATTGGCAGTTAACAATAAAATGTTATTAGATCACTGGTGCTTCTGTGTGGGGTTGAGTTTTTTATGATATCTTCTGTTAGACCCATAAGGGAGGCTGTGAGTTGTTTTCTACATCCTTGGAATATATAAGATCCTCTTTTAAAATTATATTTTATATAAGCACATGAAAATGGAATGAAATAATGAATTGACATAGGAATTACCTACATATTTTGGCTGTACATTTAGTGCACAAAATATCCCTTTTTTGAATGCCAAATGGCCAAGTGTGAAAACCAATATTTGTTAAAGCTGGAGCAGAAGTCGGTATCATCATCATAGAGTAAACTTCTGGCATATGTGAAGATATGAAATGTTATCCCTGAAGTTATTATAATTTATTCTCAGAAATATTAGTAATCTTATTTTAAGAGTAGGACATTATAGTGCAGTAATGATAATTTTCTCAGTGCTGCCTGTTGCTAGATTGTTCCTATGATTGCTGTCATGCACATACAGACACTAAATTGAGGGTCACTTTCCACTGAAGTTAGTGGAATACAAAATAGGTGGAGGAACTTTCTTCCTCTAACGTCTTTATATGTGTCTGTGTTTATATATACGTGTATGTATATAAATATGTATACACATATATAATATCTGGAGCAAAAATGATTATGTTGTAAGAACTTTTGGAGGTTTTCCTCCTCGTAAAATTCCGAAGTGGTAGAGTTAACATTCTGCTTTTAATTTATCTACAAAAACATGTGAAGAATCCCCAAATAAGATTTTCTCATAGAAGATTCATGGATTTTGAGTCTCAGAAAAAAAAGGAAGAAAAAAACTTCATGGTATAAAACAACTAAAAATTAAATATAGTCTTTAGAAATGATTTTGTTTAGTATAAATAATACTGGTATGACAACTGAATGCAATTGAAATTATGATATAAAATTTCTATTCTGCTTTGTATTTTTCATTAAAGTTTTTATAATTGTCATCTGAAAAAGGATTTAATATTCTTAAATTCATTAGCTAACTCTCTCAATATTATTACACTATTATTTGCCTATTTGAAAATTGTTACTTTCTTTCGTACATAAATAGCATTCATAATCATTGTGACATTTTCTTCTTGCATTAATGTACATTTATACTTCATCTAATTGAGAAAATTTTAACATACAAAGTGACACAAAAAGATTTTCATTCCAAGTTTTATGTAAAACACCTAAAATTGGAAAATGAATATTCAGATACTAAGAGTAAATTTTTTTTTTTTTTTTGAGACGGCATCTAACTCTGTCACCCAGGCTGGAGTGCAGCGGTGGGATCTTGGCTCACTGTAACCTCTGCCTCCCGGGTTCAAATTATTCCCCTGCCTCAGCCTCCTGAGTAGCTGGGACTACAGGCCCACAATGCCATGCCCGGCTAATTTTTGTATTTTTTGGTAGAGACGGGGTCTCACCATGTTGGCCAGGCTGGTCTCAAACTCCCAATCTCAAGGGATCTGCTGGCCTCAGTCTCCCAAAGTGCTGGAATTACAGGCGTGAGCCACTGCACCTATATGACATACTTGAAAAAATATTCTTGGGCCGGGTGTGGTGGCTCACGCCTGTAATCTCAGCACTGTGGAAGGTCGAGGGTGGATCACCTGAGGTCAGTAGTTCAAGACCAGCCTGGCTAACATGGTGAAACCCCATCTCTACTAAAAATACAAAAATTAGCTGGGTGTGGTCGCATGCGCCTGTAATCCCAGCTACTTGGCAGGCTGAGGCAGGAGAACTGCTTGAATCCAGGAGGCGAAGGCTGCAGTGAGCAGATTGCACCACTGCACTCCAGCCTGGGAGACAGAGCGAGTCTCTGTCTCAAAAAAAAAAAAAAAATTCTCACTTTCTGTTGTTGTTGTTTGTTTAATGATTAATAGACGATTTATTTAAGCAAGAATACATAGTCATCATTGCCAGACTTAATATGACAGGTTAAATGTTGGACCCAATTTTCCTTCCCAGATAAGTTTTTCTTTCCTATCCCTGTCAGTTTTGAAAACATAATACCAGAAGAAGAGGGGCCCAATTCCACACAGAGCTCCCAAGAGTGAGTTTTTAGGAGTGGGTCTGAAATTAGGAAAGACACTTGCTGATCTTGCATAGGTCCAAGGAATCAAGGCAGGATTTTCGATGAGCCCTCGGCAGTTAGGGTAAGCAGGTTTCAGCCAGGCTCTTAATGGTCAACCACTTGGCTTGCGCCTGCTGGGTTTCCGAAGACATGTCCTATTCGGCTGGTTTGAGGGCATAGTGGCCAGGGGTGAAGGAGTATACTTTGGGAACGACATCTTGGCGACCCAGTGCACAACTCACTTTTTTTTGGAAACGAGGTTGGCTCTGTCGTCCAGACTGGAGTGCAGTGGCGCAATCTCGGCGCACTGCAACCTCCGCCTCCCGAGTTCGGGCGATTGTCCTGCCTCAGCCTCCCAAGTAGCTGGGACTACGGGCGCACACCACCACGCCCGGCTAAATTTTGCATTTTTGGTAGAGACGGGGTTTTGCCATGTTGCCCAGGCTAGTTTTGAGCTCCTGGGCTCAAGCGATCTGCCCGCTTTGGCCTTCCAAAGTGCTGGGCTTACAGGCATGACACTCTGCCTGGCCAGATTTTTGTTACCCTGTTTAGATATGATGGTAACTGAATGATCATGCAATCTCTGACCATGTGACATTCAGGGATACCAAAAATGACTTGAGATGGGCCAAGGCAGAATTGGAGAAGCATACTTTGGCTGAATACTTAGGCCAAAGTATAATTTGGAACATTTCTTTTAAAAAATCTACTCCCCTATGCCTCCCAGTTGCAGTACCTTACAATTACAGTTAATCTAGTAGCAGATACTTGATTGGGATATTAGGTATTTACAGACCAAATGCCCATTGGGATATTACTCGGTAACAGGCAGTTTCACTCTGGTTCATTGTAGATTCATCCAGTAAGCATTTCTAGAGAACTGCTATATGAAAATATTGTGGAAAGTATCAACTTTTTAAACTTTTGATGTCATGACACCTAGAAGATTATTTTCTGATACTCATATTCTAAGGGAATTTTATTTTCTGAGATTTGTTTCTGTGGAATTTTTAGTTCCCCAGTCTGCACTGAAAGCCTAAATCAAGAGGATAATTTGAAAGGTAATGAAAGTAAATCAATTCTAGCTTAGATACCCAAGAGAGTAAATGAAATATAAAAATAATAACTTTTAAAATGTCTCAAAAAAAAGCTATGGTAAGCTAATTCTGTTTGGTTTATTCATGCAATAGTCTGTCTCTGCTTATGACATAAAGTATAATATATTTTAGGAATAGTGTGGTTTTCTTCATGATGTCAAACATACAAGCTTATGGATATATTTAAAAATTCTTAATTTTCTAGATTAATGTTCAGCACTACTTCTTCCATCTTGCATTGGATGGGGGCAGATAATTAATAATTATCAGATATTTTCTTATCAAAAACAAATTTGTTGGAAAAAAAATTTTTTTTTTTTGAGATGGAGTCTCGTTCTATCACCCAGGCTGGAGGTGCAGTGGCGCAATCTCGGCTCACTGCAAGCTCCACCTCCCGGGTTCACGCTGTTGTCCTGCCTCAGCCTCCCACGTAGCTAGGACTACAGGCGCATGCCACCATGCCCAGCTAATTTTTTTGTATTTTTAGTAGAGACGGGGTTTCACTGTGTTAGCCAGGATGCTCTAGATCTCCTGACCTCATGATCTGCCTGCCTTGGCCTCCCAAAGTGCGGGGATTACAGGCATGAGCCACCGCACCAGGCCTCAATAAAATATTTTATAAATACCTTTAAGGAATAATACAAACACAACCAGAGCTTAAATAAATAAATGTAAATCAATCTGCTTGCTGGTTAAGTAATGAGTTCAGTGTTTCCGCACAGAAAGTGGGAGAGATAGATGAAGAAGAAAATAAAGCTTATTACATGTTGGGAAGGATTCTAGGCACTAAGTTCCTTTTTTTGAGACAGAGTCTCATTCTGTCGCCCAGGCCGGACTGCAGTGGCTCCATCTTAGCTCACTGCAACCTTTGCCTCCCAGGTTCAAGAGATTCTCCTGCCTCAGCCTCCCAAGTAGTTGGGACTACAGGCACCTGCCACCATGCCTGGCTAATTTTTGTATTTTTAGTAGAGATACGGGTTCACCATTTTGACCAGGTTGGTCTCGAACTCCTGACCTGAAGCGATCTGCCCACCTTGGCCTCCGAAGTGCTGCGATTACAGGCGTGAGCCACTGTGCTTGGCCAGTTCTAGGCATTAAGTTATAATTGGTTCATTTGGGGACTCGAAATTCTCCATTTTATTTTATTTTATTTTATTTTTTCTGCTTTTGTCACAAAAGCACAGACATTGCTTAACAAAGAGGTCTGAGACAGGATATGAATGTTAAGCTCAGGGACATAGGGTCAACACTTTTGAGTGCACAGACTGGGAACCTGGCAGAGTTTTAACAATCCCCTCCCCTATTTTCACCATCCCTTAGTCCTGTAGAAGTAGAGCAGATGATTACGTATTCACTGCTGTATGGCTTATTACCTTTGTAGGAATTCTAACTGAAGGGCTTGGCATTTGGCCTGACTGAATATCAGAATCCCTTTATTTTTCGTTCCATTGCAAAATAATTTTTTGTGCCATCAGTGAAATAACAGCTATGCAGTGGCATATACAGCTCTGGAGACCAGGCATTAGAAGACTGAGACAAGAATAACCAGAATGATGATAAGGAGACACTGGAAGTCACTTTAGATTGATGACCAAAGATTTCCTTATTCTGACCAGGAGGTCAGATCTCAAGGGTCCTTCTGAGTCCACTTTTGATTAGCCAAATTGTCTTTTCTTTCAGTTTGACTATAGGTTAGTCAACCTTCCCTCCACATTCATCAGGGACTGTTAGCAATATGTCATATTTTTTTCTTGGTGTACCATTAAGCAATCTAAAGCTATGCTGTTACCTGTAACCACTTGGATTAATTATTTTAGATTAGTTGGTTATACTTCTAGGGCTTTATGGCTTTATCTTTTCAGTCAGCATTATTAACCAAGTTTTGATAGCTTTTTCAACTTTTGTAACCCCCATCCAGGGAGATCAGTGTCCTCTCAGACACTTCCAGGTAAGCATGATCTCCTGGAAGACATGAGAAGTCTCTTAAATTGTCTAATTATTACATTGGAGCTACATAATAACTCCAATATACCTGGAGTTATTATGTGTATATGCAAGTTAGGTTCTAATGAGGCAAATATAAGTAAATATGTTGTTGATTCAGGAGGTAAAAATTAGGAGAGCCACGTGTAGTTTTAAAAACAAAAGAGGAATTACTTGTAACAGAAGTAAGTAAGAAAGGAATTCTCAGTTATCTCTTGGGTAGAGATACCTTGCATAGAGTTCAGCAAAAATTGCAAAGGTTGTCATAGGACTATGGAGGCCATTAGGCTAATTAAAATTTATAATATTGCCCATATATTTGTACTAAGTCTCATTCCTGAAGGATTTTATATTTGGGTTGAGGCTTTGAGAAATTCTAAGACTGGCTTGGGCAGTAAAACAAACCAAGTAAAAATTGCCATGGCTGTAAATAGTCAAAAAGGGGTAAGCTAAGTTTCTGCAAACTAAACAATTTCAGAGGGTGTAAGAATGTATTGGATAAAGGATGAAGATAAAAAGCACTTTGGAGACTATTGATACTCATCAGATTTTACCACTGATAATTTTTCAAGAGGAACTGTTTATGAAACTATAAAGAGAAAATGGAGATACAAAAAGCCATCCAAGATGTAAATGCCGAAGGCCAAGTTTTGAGATAAACAGAAAATCACAAAAACTCATGTCAGGTGGTTCTTCCATGGCCCCAGTGTGAGCAGACAGTATTTTCCTTGAGGAGAAATACTAGTTTGGTGGGGGTAAGGTAGGGAGTTAAACTTTAAGGATTAATCAAGAGAACTATACATATGCTATTTAGGTTGAGGGTAAAGATCAGAGTAGGCATGGGCAACGCCTAGACTCAATCAAGTTACCTATCAAGCAAGCTGACATATTCAGACAAAGCAAGACTCCATCTCAAAAAAAAAAAAAAATAAATAAATAAAAAGAATTCCTTCATTATTTTGTCATGCTTTAAGGCCCAGGACAGGCCTAGGCAAAAGTTTTGATGGCCTTTTGTTACATCCCAGCCTTTGTATAAGGGCACTGGCTTTTAGTATTTAACTTCATTCAGTCATTACTGAAACAGTTGTTATGGAAGTCTGCATTAGTGAGACCTGGCCTGCCACAGGAGGTTGCAGTGAGCTGAGATCGTGCCACTGTACTCCAGCCTGGGCGGCAGTGTGAGACTCTCTCAAAAAAGAAAAATGATGCAGAAAGATTTGTTTGACACAGAGTGGGCATAAACTTTCAATTTGTCAAAAACATAGTATCTGTGAAGTACAATAAAATGTAGTGCAATAAAATGAGGTATGCTTGGATAGCAAAACATCATGTTGTACCTAGTAAAGGTATACAATTTTTATTTGTGAATTATACCTCAGTAAAGCTGGACAAATGAACTGTATTTGCAACATGGTAGGAATATATGACATTGGACATTAATGCAAATGGAATTTTCAGTGCCATGGTGAAAATGTTATACCACTGAACAAAAAAAAAGTAGTGTGAAATGAAGTAAAATGTGAAAATCCGTAATAAATGCAGAAATATGAACTGCTTATCCAAAAGAGAAAAGTCTTTTGAGTTCCTCAAGAAGATTCTCTCTTTGGATGCTGGGCACGGTGGATGCCGGGCACCTGTATCCGAGCACTTTGGGAGGCTGAGGAAGATGGATCACTGGAGGCCAGGAGTTCAAGACCAGCCTGTCCAACATGGTGAAACCCCGTCTCTACTAAAAATACAACAATTAGCCGGGTGTGATGGCACGTACCTGTAATCCCAGCTACTCGGGAGGCTGAGGCACAAGAATTGCTTGAACCTGGGAGGCAGAGGTTGCAATGAGCCGAGATTGCGCCACTGGAGTCCAGCCTGGACCACAGAGTGAAACTCCGTCTCAAAAAAAAAAAAAAAGAAAGAAAGAAAGAAAAGAAGGTTCTCTCTTTGGGCACTCCTTTTCAACATATTCAGCATAAATGAATTAATGATACCATTTTTACTAGGTGAGTGTGTTTGGGCAAGTTGCTTCAGTGCTCATTCTCTTGGTTTCCTTTTTTTTTTTTTTTTTTTTTTGAGACAGGGTCTTTCTCTGTCACCTAAGCTGGAGTGCAGTGGAGTGAACATAGCTCACTGCAGCCTCCAACACCTAGCCTCAAGAGATCCTCCTGCTTCAGTCTCCCAAATAGCTGGGACTACTGGCATGTACCACCATGCCTGGCTAGTTTTTAATTTCTCTTTTTTTGTAAGCACAGGGTGTTGCTATGTTGCCCAGGATGGTCTTGAACTACTGGGCTCAAGTGATCCTCCCACCTCAGCCTCCCAAAGTTTTGGATTACAGGCATGAGCCATGGTACCTGGCTGTCTTTTGCTTTCCTTATCTGTAAAAACTGAGGATAATAACAGTACCCTTACAAAGTTGGTGGAAGAATGATATTAGTTAATACAAATGAAGTGCTAACAAAAAGAGCTTTGGAACACAGCAAGTACTTGTTAGGTATGGCTATTGTCATCAACACACTTTTCAAGGCAAACTTGTGGTTTCACCTATCACCTGAGATATATGACTTCTAAGTTCATCAGATCTTCTCTTTTGGTTTTTATTTTTAAATTAATTAAATATTATTATTCTTATTATTTGAGACAGAGTCTGCTCTGTCACCCAGGCTGGAGTGCACTGGCACGATCCCAGCTCACTGCAACCTCCACCTCCCACGTTCAAGCAATTCTGGTGCCTCAGCCATCCAAAGAAGCTGGGATTACAGGCGTGCACCACCATACCCAGTTAATTTTTGCATTTTTAGTAGAGATAGGGTTTCACCATGTTGGCCAGGCTGGTCTTGAACTCCTGGCCTCAAGCAATCCACCCATCTGGGCCTCCCAGTGTGCTGGGATTACAGGCGTGAGCCATCGTGCCTGGCCCTCTTTTCATTTTAGAGATAGGAATCTCATTCTCTTCCAGAGGCTGGAGTGCAAAGGCATGAACATAACTCATTGCAGTCTCCAACTCCTGGGCTAAAGGGATGTTCCCCCCTCTGCCTTTGGAGTAGCTGGGCCTCAGAACTGTGCCACAACTACTGGCTTCCATCAAGATCTCTGTCCTACCATTTCATCTTCCTACTAGGCTATCCCCACATGGATAGATAAATGGTACCTCAAGTGAAAGAAATCAACTACCTAAAATAGGATTTTCCACTCCAAACTAGATTTTCTTTACATGTCATTTCTGTTAATGTGGGCCACACACACTGGTAAGCTCAGAATCATCTTTTTCTTTTCTTTTATTCACATCCAATATGGTTGAAATAAAACAAAATGCTGTTTTTCCTTTTTTAGAAAGGCAATACTTGTTCATTATATCAAAATTTAGAAAATATGGAAAAACAAAAAGGATAAAAAATTATCCACAACCAAAATAGCCCAAATTTCCAGTTAAAAATATCAACGCATTTGATATTTGTCCACATAATTAAGACTGTAATGTTTACACAAATGTGAGCTTTTAAAATCTAAAAGGCTCTCACTATTAAAAATGTTTTGTTAAATTTTGTTTTAAAAGTAAGATTTTAATATCCAAATTCCCAAAATAGACATTTTTGAAGATTTGGAAAATACAGACGGCTGAAAATCTTTACATTATTACTGTTAAATTTTGGTATGTTCTGTTATTCTGCTAGTGAAATATATATAGATTTGGGGGGCTATTCCTTTTCCTTTTTTTTTTTTTTGAGACAAGTGTCTCACTCTGGTGCCCAGGATGGAATGCAGTGGCGCTATCACAGTTCATTGTAACCTGGAACTCTTGGGATCCTCCCGCCTCGACCTCCCAAAGTGCTGGGGCTACCGGCTTGAGCCACTGTGCCAGGCGAATGGCTGTTCCTATATACACAGTTGACCCTTGAATAACATGGGTTTGAACTGCCTGGGTCCACTTATAAGCTGACAGAAAATACAGTATTGGAGGGGCCTGCATATAGAGAGGTCTGACTTTTCCTCTAAGTGTTCCACCCGCAGGACTGACTGCGGGATTTGAGAATGCGCTTTGTTTTTTTTTTTTAGGAAGTCTTACTCTCGCCCAGGCTTGAGTGCAGTGGCGCGATCTCAGCTCACTGCAACCCTCGCCTCTCAGTTTCAAGCGATTCTCGTGCCTCAGCCTCCCGAGTAGCTGGGATTACAGGGGCCCACCTCCACGCCCGGGTAATTTTTTGTATTTTTAGTAGAGATGGGTTTTCGCCATGTTGGCCAGGCTGGTCTCCAACTCATGACCTCAGGTGATCCGCCCGCCTCGGCCTCCCAAAGTGTTGGGATTACAGGCGTGAGCCACGGCGCCCGGCGGGCAAGACACCCTCAGAGCACAGGGTGCTGCCAAGAGCCCGGCCGAGTGCAGCTCGAGCGCCGACGTCGCCAAGGATACACAGTGCTGACGCAGTACACAAGTGCGTCACAGTGGTCCTCCGCCGGCTACGTCAGTGGCTTTCAGGCGCTTTCCTGTTGGAATTGGCGACTGCTGCGGGGCTGAGCGCTGGTTTCACGCGTCTCGGGAGCCAGGTTGGCGGTGCGATGAGGCGCAGCAAGGCCTACGGGGAGCGGTACGTCGCCTCGGTGCAGGGCTCCGCCCCGTCGCCTGGAAAGGTGAGTGGATCTCGAAGAGACCGACGGCCTCGACCTGGCCGGGCGGCGGCCTCGACCTGGCCGGGCGGCGGCCTCGACCTGGCCGGGCGGCGGCCTCGATGGCTCAGGCGTCATGGCTCCCGACGGGCGCTGCTCCCTGGCGCGCTCTGTTGAGGCGCCGGCCTCGACCTGGCCGGGCGGCGGCGGCGGCCTCGACCTGGCCGGGCGGCGGCGGCGGCCTCGACCTGGCCGGGCGGCGGCGGCGGCCTCGACGTGGCCCGGCGGCGGCCTCGATGGCTCAGGCGTCATGGCTCCCGACGGGCGCTGCTCCCTGGCGCGCTCTGTTGAGGCGCCGGCCTCGACCTGGCCGGGCGGCGGCGGCGGCCTCGACCTGGCCGGGCGGCGGTGGCCTCGACGTGGCCCGGCGGCGGCCTCGATGGCTCAGGCGTCATGGCTCCTGACGGGCGCTGCTCCCTGGCGCGCTCTGTTGAGGCGCCGGCCGGCTGGCGCAGTCCTGTGGGCGGCGTGGCGCTTGCAAGCGCAGGAAGAGTCCTGGGGGGACCGCGGTGGGCGGGATACCTTTGGCGCCGGATCTTCCTCTTTCTCCCGGTTTGTTCCCGACGGTGCTCGCTCGTGGGCCCGCCCTGGCCCGGGCTTTCTGGCCCCATAGTACCCGCGCGGCCTAGTTCTCGGGGGCTTGGGCACCCGGGTGCTGTATCGGCGGGTTTCTTCCCATGTCCTGGACATTTACTTTATATGCTGCGGCGGAGGTCGTACCTCCTTGGCCTGGAGGAACCCAGTGGGGACTGACGCAGCTCCGGGTGAGCTTTGGCGGCTGTGTCGAGTGACAACGTAGGCATCTCAGCACGGACATTTGCAGTGGCCCGACGGCGCAAATGACAGGGGAAGTCCCCTTGTTTTGAGTATGAGGTGTTTGTCGCTGTCCCTTTATAAGGGTCCAACTCCACTCATACTCACCTCCCTCGCCCCCCCCCCACCCCGCCCAGAACACTTTGGTAGCTGCCTTTGCTTAAAAAAAAAAAAATTCTAAAGTTCTTACAAATCGTTAGTATGGCTTACAATTTTTAACCTTTTCCACAAATGTTTTTAGGGTATTTTTCCTCTTTACAGGTAAATAATGTGATCTATTTTGGATTCAATAAGACTTTAGTAATTGGATCTAAAGAGTGACGGAAGAAGCTATTAAAGGTGGATGTGCACAGAATCTTGAGTCAGTTTGCTTTGGCTTGAATAATCACAGCACTGTCGTTTATAAGCTGGGTATTTGGGGCCAGTTACACTTTTCATCCATAGATGGAGTTGTAACATTAATAGAATTTGATAGGATGATCCATTTTAAACATTTAGGGTATTGCTTGACACATAGCACTAAGTGTTAGCTACAAGTCACTGTTTTTATTGTTGATGTTAAAAGGATATTGGCGGGGCGCAGTGGCTCACGCCTGTAATCCCACCACTTTGGGAGGCCGAGGAGGGCGGATTGCCTGAGGTCAGGAGTTGGAGACCAACCTGGCTAACATGTCGAGACCTCGTCTCTACTAAAAATAGAAAAAAAGTTAGCCGGGCGTGGTGGTGCACACCTGTAGTCCCAGCTACCCGGGAGGCTGAGGCAGGAGAGTCGCTTGAACCCGGGAGGTGGAGGTTCCAGTGAGCCGAGGTCGCGCTACTGCACTCCAGCCTGGGCGACAGAGGGAGACTCCAAAAAAAAACAAAAAAAAACCAAAAAACGGAAACTCAACGGATGACCATGATTATAATAGTAGCATAATTGTGTCTCTTATCATAACTAAGCATACGTTATCTTATTTTGCGCTTCCAGCAACCCTGTGGATATTGAGACCTGTAGAGATTTAAGATACTTGTTCAGGGTGAAATAGGTAGTGCAGCAGAATTTTGGCAGTGGGTCTGATTTAGTTTCTCTTGGGAACAGTGGAGTAAGTTACAGTCTATTCCTCCAGAGAAGAAGGATAGATATCTACTTGTACATTGTAATTTCAAACTGCTAGCATAGTATAAATATGAATGTGATGATAGAGTCTAAAACAGACCTTAATTGAGGGTTCCTGTAACTCCTGAAATTAAAGACTTTAATTTTTGTGTTATTTTTTTTTTTTTAGGTGGGGTCTCACTCTGTCACCCAGCTGGATGCAGTGGCGCTATCTCGACTCACTGCAACTTCCGCCTCCCCAGCTCAAGCGATCCTCCCACCTCAGTCTCCCGAGTAGTTGGGACCACAGGTGTACCCACCACACCTGCTGTTTTGTTCTGTTTTGTTTTTATTTTTGGTAGAGACTGGGTTTCACCATGTTGCCCAGGCTGTTCTTGAACTCCTGGGCTCAAGTGATTTCCCCGCCTCCACTTCCCAAAGTGTTGGGATTATAGGCGTGAGCCACTGCACTGGCCATTATTTTATTTTTGAGACAAGGTCTCTTTCTGTCTCCCAGGCTGGAGTGCTGTGGCAGGATCGTGGCTCACTGCAGCGTTGACGTCCTGGGCTCAATCCATCCTCCCACCTTAGCCTCCTGGGTAGCTGAGACTACAGGCATGCCAGCTACAGGCATGCGCCACCATGCCCGGCTTTTTTCTTTAATGTAGAGACGGGGTCTTACCATGTTACCCAGGCTGGTCTCCAACTCCTGGGCTCAAGTGATCCTCTCGCCTTGGCCACAAGTGCTGAGATTACAGGTGTGAGCCACTCTGCTCAGCCTGATTTTTTTTTTTTTAAACAAGCTTAAAAAAAAAAAAAGCATGTTTAGAGCCTTTCTGAGATTCTTAGTGGGGATCTTGGCTTCCAAAAGATTAAAAACCACTGGTCTAGACAGAAGTTAGAATGTTCTTTCAACTACATAACGTCTCCATTAAATAAAGTGGAGTGGTAGCAACATTTTGAGGATTGGTTATTATGACCACCTCTCTTACACTTAGAGTCTTTTTTTTTTCCCCCAAATTTAAAGTCATTTACATTAGAACCTGGGGATTTCAGCGGAATATGGATTAACTAGTGAGTAACTTTGGAACATGTGAAGCTATTCTGTAAAGTTAGGTTTGAGTGAAATGACAAAACAGGGTGCTTTGGATAGAAGGTAAGGAATGGAGGGAGAAGAGGCAGTGGCTGTGAAGAATATAAAGAGGTTAATATTCTCCCCCAGTTTGGCAGAGACTGGCCATCTGTGAACTGCCCATGCTTTCTAGAATGTCTGAGTTTTGGAGTGTGATGATGCGTCTGTATATCATATCTTTCTAGTCTTCCATTGTGCTTTCATTTGTTAGTCTTCTCTTGTTTTGCCATTTTTGTACTCCCTCACATGTGCTTTTGCCCTTCTTAAAAATATTCTTCGTCTGTAATCCAAGCACTTTGGGAGGCAGAGAGACCAGCCTGACCAACATGGTGAAAATCCGTCTCTATTAAAAATACAAAAATGAGCCGGGCGTGGTGGCAGCGCCTGTAGTCCCACCTACTCGGTAGGCTGAGACAGGAGAATTGCTTGAACCCTGGAGGCAGAGGTTGTGGTGAGCAGAGATTGCGCCACTGCACTCCAGCCTGTGTGACAGAGCGAGACTCTGTCTCCAAAAAATAAAAAAATAAAAAAATATATAATTCTTTCTCTAGTTTTTCTTTTTCCAGATGGCTTCTGTTTAGTTTTTCTATGTTCTGTCAAGTTGGTTTCTTATTCTGCAGCTGATTCCTACTTCTCAAACTCTACTTGACAGCTCTTATTTTTATTTATTTGTTTTTTAGAATAGGGTCTTGCTGTGTTGTCCAGGCTGCCATCAAATTTTTGGGCATAAATGATCCTCCTACCTCTGTTGCCTGAGTACTTAGGACTACAGGCAGGCACCTTTGACAGCTGTTAGTTGTTTTTTCTGCCCTTTACATCTATACTTCATGCTTCTGAGTAACACACACATATACTTTTGTTATTTTGAATTCCCTTTCTCCCATTTTAGACATTTTGTTTTCTTTTTTTTTTTTGAGACAGAGTCTCGCTCTATGGCCTAGGCTGGAGTGCAGTGTCGCGATCTCGGCTCACTGCAAACTCTGCCTCCGGGGTTCACGCCATTCTCCTGCCCCAGCCTGTAGCTGGGACTACGGGCACCCGCCACAACACCCGGCTAATTTTTTAGTATTTTTAGTAGAGACGGGGTTTCACCGTGTTAGCCAGGATAGTCTCGATCTCCTGACCTCATGATCCGCCCGCCTCAGCCTCCCAAAGTGCCGGGATTACAGGCGTGAGCCACCGCGCCCGGCCCCACTTTAGACATTCTGTACTGGCTATTATGCTCCTCCAAAACTGTCCTCAGACACTTTGCTTTGCCCCTCATTGTTTCAGTACTGTTATTGGAGTTTTTGTTTAAATGAATATTTAACATTTATATAAATATAAGGTAAATATTTTGCATTTGAATTGCCCTTGTTGTGCAGTTTTGTTTTTCCTGGACTGAATAATTGCTTTATTTTTTGGTTTGCTTGTATGTTGTGTTACTACTTGGTTACTTAAACTCAGCAACTTAAACCCTCAAATGTGGTCAAACTGGTCACATAATCCGATCAATTTCAGCTTAAAACATTGATTGATTGATTGATTGATTGATTGTCTGTCTACCTGGAATACCCTTACTAACCGACTTCTCCAACCCAGATTGGTTTTTCTTCCTCTTTGCTACACAGCTGTGCTCTTGGGACTTCCCTTTATCACCAGTTTGAGAATTCCCTTCATCTTTTTTCTGAGTTAGACCCTTTGTTTCTTGTATCTCATGTCATCTTCATTTACTTTCTTTGTTTTGGTGTAGCATAGTTCACTTGCTTTGAGGAAAAGTGGATGAGAGGTTTTTTTGTTTGTTTTTGTTTTGGGACAGAGTCTTGCTCTGTTGCCCAGGCTGGAGTGCAGTGGCATGGTCTCAGCTCACCACAACCTCCGCCTCCCGGGTTCAAGTGATTCTCCTGCCTCAGCCTCCCGAGTAGCGGGATTACGGGTGTGCGCCACCATGCCCGGCTAATTTTTTCTATTTTTAGTAGAGATGGAATTTCACCATACTGTTCAGGCTGGTCTGGAAACTAATGGTATGTCTTTAAAACATCTTTACTTAATTTAGTTGATCATTTGGTTATCGAATTCTGAGTTTGAAATAATTTTTTTCGCAATTTTGAAAGCATTGCTCCATTTTCCAGAAGTTCTGTTGTTAGGAGTCTGATGAGAGTCTTGTTCTTGGTAACAAAGGTTTTCTGGAAGTGTCCTTTCAATTGGGAAACTCATTTCTTTCAGTTCTGTAGCGTTTCTTGTATTATTTCTTTGACCATTTCTTACCCTTTTTTTAATGATGTTTACCTGAAAGCTGGAGTTTCTCTAATTTTTCTCTTATTCTCCTCTTTTGTTTGTTCTGCCTTTTGAGAGATTTCCTTACCCTTATGTTCCAGGGGAAGAAGATTGGGGAATTCATGTTTCAGTATCTAGACTTTTCCTCATTGTCCTGTATAATCACGGCCTTCACCCTTGTTGGGACTCCACAGATTTGGAGCTGATCAGATCGGTTTGTTGAGAACAGCAGCTTTTTTGGAGGATTTTAGGGGGAGGGAGATTCATTTGACTGTGCAAGATGGGCGACAGAGCGAGACTCCGTTTGAATTAAAAAAAAAGAGAGAGAAATTTAGAACTGCATAATGAAAAAGTAGGCCACAAATGTTAAGTTTTGGACAATTACAATTACATCTCTATCTTACTGTGCAAGATAGCGATGATGTGGCATCTCTTAGGGTCTTACTGTTCCTGTTTTCAGCCCTGCATCAGTTCTTGATATTTGGCAGCTTAAGTGAATTCAGGTATTTGCTTATAGTGACATCTGCTGTCATGTAAAGAAGTACTGCTTGAATCAGATATTGTCCTGTTTACATAACGTGGGCTGTGCTCCTTCCTAGCTGTATATCTTTAAACAAGGCATTTGCCTGCTTGAGCTTCAGTTCCCTTGTAAAGTGAGGTTAGAGGCAAAAGATCATACAGAAGAATAATTTGTAAAGTTGTTTAATTATCTTAAGATTGTCTACTTTAATAACATAGTTGGAAGCAAAGAAGGTAATGGAATTATTTTTCTATTATGTTTTGGCATTGTACCTTGAATCTATTTCTTCATTTTGAAAAGGGGGAACTGGCCGGGCTCGGTGGCTGAGGCCTGTAATCCCAGCACCTTCGGAGGCGGAGGAAGTCAGATTACAAGGTCGAGAGAACGACACCATCTGGCCAACATGGTGAAACCCCATCTCTACTAAAAATACAAAAATTAGCTGGGCATGGTGGCGTGCGCCTGTAGTCCCAGCTTGTACCCGGGACGCAGAGGTTGCAGTGAGCTGAGATCGAGCCACCGCACTCCAGCCTGGCGACAGAGCAAGACTCCATCTCAAAAAAAAAAAGGAAGCGGGGAACAAGCCTTGTTCCTTTATGTGCTGTCCTGACTGTTGTGTATTATTTTTGTTAAGATTGCTATAGTTCTTTTTTTTTTGAGATGGAGTCTTGCTCTGTCGCCAGTGCTGGGATTGCAGGTGTTAGCCTGGCATTGAGCAACGTTTTGTAATTTAAGCATACAAGTCTCTCACCTCCTTGTTTACATTTATTCCCAGGCATTTTTTTCATTTAGATGCGATTGTAAATGGAATTGCTTTCTTAATTTCCTTTTCTGATTGTTCGTTGCTGGTACAGTAGTCCCTTCTTATCCACAGTATTGCCTTACGTGGTTTTACTTACCTGCGTCACCCGTGGTCCAAAAATATTGAATGGAAGATTATATAAATAAACATTTCATGAGTTTTAAATTGCAAACAGTTCTGAATAACATGATAAAAATCTCACAGCCTCCTGCTCCGTCCTACCCAGGACACGAATCATCCCTTTGTCCAATATATTCATGCTGTATGTGCTCCCCACCCGCTAGTTACATACTAGCCATCTCAGTTATCAGATCAGTTGTTGGAGTATTGCAGTGCTTGTGTTCAAGTAACCCTTATTTTATTTAAAATGGCACCAAAGAGCAAGAATAGCGATGCTGGCAGTTCACATATGCCAGAGAGAAGCCATATAGTGCTTCCTTTAAGTGAAGAGGTGAGTTTTTGACTTAGGAAAGAAAAAAGATCGTATACTGGGGTTGCTAAGATCTACGGTAAGAACAAATCTTTTGTCCATGAAATTGTGAAGAAGGAAAAAGAAATTTGTGCTAGTTTTGTTGTGACACCCCAAACTGCAAAAGTTACAGCCACAGTGTGTGATAAGTGCTTTGTTGAGATGGACAAGACATTAAATTTGTGGGTGGAGGACACAAACAGGAAACATGTTTCGATTGATGGCAACCTGGTTTGATACTGTTCATCGTTTTGGACATTCACTGGGGTCTTGGAATTTCAAAAATAAGATGTTTGAGTGGCTGTATACTCTTTATCACATGGATGGAACATACTCTGGTTGTATCAGCTTTTTTTTTTTTTTTTTTTTTTTTTTTTGAGATGGAATCATTCTGTTGCCCAGGCTGGAGTGCAGTGGTGCGGTCTTGGCCCACTGCTGCCTCCCGGGTTCAGGCGATTCTTTGCCTCAGCCTCCCAAGCAGCGGGGATTACAGGCGTGTGCCACCATGCCCAGCTAATTTTTGTATTTTTAGTAGAAAGGAGGTTTCTGCATGTTGGCCAGGCTGGTCTCGAACTCTTGGCTTCAAGTGATCCACCCGCCTCAGTCTCCGAAAGTGCTGGGATTACAGGTGTGAGCCACCGCACCCAGCCTGGTGTGCATCAGCATTTTGGACTTTGGAGTTTACGTAACCAAGGAGCCAGGCTGTGGACCTTGTTTATTACTTGAAGAATTCAATATTTATTTCTGCCTTTTTGACTCCTTGACTGTAAAATACTGATCTGATCTGTAGAGAGAACAGTACATGTACTATTAAGGCACAGGGAATCCTCAGTGCCTTAATAGATCGTAAGTACTTACTTATTCTTTCCCATAGAGGCTTACACATGGTAGGAGAAGAGATTTCTGGAATACCTTTCCTCCCCAAAGAAAGCTGGTTTCTTTTGTTTGTTAAGTGAGAGAGTGGTACCACAGGGTTTCCAAGATTTCCAAGGCTGATGAAAATTCTTAACTTCTGTTGTCTGCTTGTCTTGCTTTCTTGAATTTATTTTTTGTATGTTATGTATTTATTATTTAGAGACAGGATCTCCCTGTGTCACCCAGGCTGGAGTGCAGTGTCACAGTCATAACTCACGGCAGTGTCAACCTCCTGGGCTCAAGTGATTCTCCTTCCTTGGCCTCCTGAGTAGCTAGGAACACAGGCATGCTCCACTATGCCTGGCTATTTTTTTCCCCCTGGAGACAGGATCTTGTTGTGTTGCACAGGCTGGTTTCAAACTCTTGGCCTCAAAGCTAGCCTCCCACCTTGGTCTCTGAAAGTGCTAGAATTAAATAGAATTAAAGGTGTGACCAACTGCACCCAGCTTATTTATGATGACGATGATGATGATGTTTGGGAGATGGAGTCTCTGTCGCCCAGGCTGGAGTGCGATGGCACGATCTCAGCTGACTGCAACCTCTGGCTCACTGCAACCTCCACCTCCTGGGTTCAACTGATTCTCGTGCCTTAGCCTCCCGAGTAGCTGGGATTACAGGCACCCGCCATCATGCCTGGCTAATTTTTCTATTTTTGTAGAGACGGAGTTTCACCATGTTATAACGCCAGGCTGGTCTCAAACTCCTGACCTCAGGTGATCCGCCCACTTCGGCCTCCCAAAGTGCTGGGATTACAGGCATGAGCCGCTGCACCCAGCTCTATTTTTTGTTTTGTGATAGGAAATTATAAAACATGGAATTATGCATTTGTCAGGCTTTAAAAAAAACTTTTAAGTGAATGAAAATGGCATATTTGAACATAAACTTAGGGCAGATTTTTACTACTTTTGAAAAAATGTTGGAGAATATTTCTGTATGAAACGTAAAACAACTTTTAATTTTTTTTAGAAGTTGAGAGGATTCTATTTTGCAAAGCTGTATTATGAAGCTAAAGAATATGATCTTGCTAAAAAGTAAGTACAAACTGTAACATGTATTCTTTTTTTAAAATCAATGCCTTTTCTCATTTTCTTCTTTGAAATAGGTAAAAATATGTTCTTAGTAGTTCTTCCTAAGTGTATTCTGGAATAAGGGATTTATCACTCAGACTGATGCTAAGGACCAGCCTAGATTCCATTGAGATTGAAACCGTAATTAGTGTTTTCTGCATGCTGCTGCTTTATACCAAGGGCAAGAAATTGTTTGGCTTAAAACACTTTTTCTAAAAATTGTCTTCTGTTGGAGTAAAAGAGGACCATGCCTATATCTTCATTTGTTTTTGGTTAGATATCTGATACCTTAATCAGATGGAAAATAGCAATGAATAAAAAACTGTAATTGTAAGGCAGGAGAATAGCTTGTATAAAAGATCTTTAATTGACACAATATGTGATGCTCTAAGGCTCTATCCTAGGGATAAGAAGCTTGGTGATTCTGATTTCCTGACTGGGAGTGGATTAAAGCAGGAAATTAAGAGGGAGGCAGGGTTTTTTTTTTTTTTTTTTTTTTTTTAGGCAGTATCTGTCTCTCTTGCTCAGGCTGGAGTGCAGCAGCTGGCTCCATCTTTGCTCACTGTAACCTCTGCCTTCTGGGCTCAAGAGATCTTCCCACCTCAGCGCCCCAAGTAGCTGGGGATACAGATGAGCACCACCACACCTGGCTAAGGTTTGCATTTTTTGGTAGAGACAGGTGTCACTATGTTGCCCAGGCTAGTCTTGAACTTCTGAGCACAGCAGTCTGCCTGCCTCGGCCTCCCATACTGTTGGGACTACAGGTGTGTGTTACTGCTCCCAGCTGGGAGGCAGGCTTTTAAAGGCATCCAAAGGAAGATGGAAATGCTGGTAAGAAAGGAAAATGGTGGTACATAAATTATGTAACTAGCAGCACTGTGACTGTTAACTCTTGTACCTTTTTACTGTGAGACTTTAATCCCTTAGTTTGGGTCTGGCCTAATTTCTCTGATGGTAATACTGTCAAGGAACCTAGAGGATATTTACTTATTTTAGTTGTTACTTGATTTGAGAAATGGAAATTTCCTGTATTTGGTACTGTAATTAGTAATTTGTCTTCTGTTCGATTTTAGCTGGATATAGTACTGTTAGAAATTACTTTCTTGCTTAAAGGGTAGGTGTATTTCCCTTTGTTGTTTGGGAAATTGTTGCTGTTTAGTATTTTGCATTATGATAACTTTAAAAATGTTTACTATAATCACTTCTAATTTATTTGCAAAACTGTTAGTGCTTTATTAAAATGTGATCAGGAAGAAAAAGCAATTTATATGTTCATTTCTTATGCGTGGATAACACTGGAGAAAAATTTGGTAAATGTGACATTTAATGGTAAAACGAGTATGTGGTCAACTCTATGTACGTGTTTTTAAGTATTACCCATTTCTTTCTATGAATACTTCTGAGTTATCTGCATAAATAGTGGTAGTTTTGAGTAACAATATAAACGAGTTTAGTGGTTGCTTTGGTTTAAGATGTATTCTTCGGTTAGCATTTAAAAGTACAGTTCTAAGTTTAATTTACTTTTGTATTACTTTTGAAAAACAGATACGTATGTACTTACCTTAGTGTGCAAGAGAGGGATCCCAGAGCTCACAGATTTCTGGGTCTTCTTTATGAATTGGAAGAAAACACAGAGAAAGCCGTTGAATGTTACAGGGTAAGTTATAGGATTCAAATATAGCCTTTGCATAGCCAAACACATGATGCCCAGAGAAATTTATATAAGTAAGTCAAATATATTTTATGAATATCATAAAACAGGCATTGGTATCATAGTACAATTATGTGACACAGCTTGGAACAGATTTAGAATTGTTTAACACCTATAAATTGTAAGTCTAACATGGTCAGAAATGGTGTTCTTTTGTGTTCTTTTGCATTCAAATGACACAAATATAATTTTTATTTGATTCATTTCCAGAAAATTCCAAGACACTTTTATTTTAACACCTTTGAAGTAACATGTTTTCTCTAGAAGTAGAATTTTTTAAGGGTTGGAGTGATAATTTTTAACCTTTATATATAAGTATATAAGTATATATACTCCTACATACATACATACAATTTATTTACTAATCTTTAATTTCTTTTCTGATATTAGCGTTCACTGGAATTAAACCCACCACAAAAAGATCTTGTGTTGAAGATTGCAGAATTGCTTTGTAAAAATGATGTTACTGATGGAAGAGCAAAATACTGGGTTGAAAGGGCAGCGAAACTTTTCCCAGGAAGTCCTGCAATTTATAAACTAAAGGTAAACATACAAAACATAAAGGGAGAAAACTTAAGACATAACCATTTCTAATATTTGGAGTTTAAATTACTTTTCAATAGCAAACCTTAAGCCCAGGTGTTTGTGTTTCCTTTAACATTTTTCTTTTAAAAAGTGTATTAAAACCTTTCTGAGCATCTGCTGTCTTATTAGGCATTGTTATACTTTATAAGTGACATCTCATTTACCCTTCTGGAATAATTAATATTTTAGGGATTTTACAGTTTAGTAGCTGTAAACTAAGTAGAGCTAAGATTTACATTAAGTTCTGTCTGGTATACAATTTTTGCTTCATTAAGTGAAAATTACCTACAGGATGACAATTTAGGGATATTTTAAAGAAGAGTTTTCTAATAACTATGGTCTGAAAGTAGAAGGGATTGTATTTTGAGATAGTAAAGTTTTCAAGGAAAAGATAAAAGGTGGTTTCTCTAGTATATAAGATGTAATTACTAAAAATGGTAGGAAGTTCTTGCTAGTGTATTGACTGGTCCTGATATTCTTTATAGAGCAAAATATAGTTTACTAAGTAACTGTTCTGGAGAAAATCTACACAAATATGTTTGGCAAACATTTAAAATGTATATTGTAATATTTTATATATTAATGTATACTTTATTGTGTATGTACAATATAAAATTATAAATGTATATTTGCCTTTAGCCTCCTCCTACCCCCATTGTATATGTTTCTGATAGAAATTTAAAAAATTTTAATTTTGAAATAATTATAGATTTTTTTGCACAGGAAGTTGCAAAGATTGCACAGAAAGATCCTATATGCTACTTCATTTTTCCCCAATGCTTATACAGGTTGAGCATTTAAAATCTGAAATCCTAAATGCTCCAAAATCTGAAATTTTTTGAGCACTGACATGATGCTCAAAGAAATGCTCATTGGAAAATTTTGGATTTCAGATTTTCAGATTTGGGATGCTCTGCCTGCTAAGTATCCTGCAAATATTCCAAAGTCTGAAAAAATTCAAAATCTGAAATACTTCTGGTCTCAAGCATTTTGGATAGGGGATACTCAACCTGTTTAACCCGACCAAAGCACAATATCAAAATCAGGAATTTTGACATTGGTACAATGTGTATGTATAGTTTTCTTTCATTTTATCATGTGTAGATTCATACCACCACTACTGTCAAGATACAGAGCTACTCTATTACCACAGAGATCTTCCTCATGCTGCCCCTTTTGTAGTCATGCTATTTACTTCTCTTCACTATGCCTGACCTCTGGCAACCATTAATCTGTTCTCCATCTTTATACTTTGGTGATTTCAAAATGTTATGTAAATGTCATCATGAAATGTGTGACTTTTTTTTTTCTTTTTTCGTTGTTTTTGAGACGGAGTCTCGCTCTGTTGCCCAGGTTGGAGTTCACTGGCGCAATCTCGGCTCACTGCCACCTGTGCCTCCCAGGTTCAAGCAATTCTCCTGCCTCAGCCTTCCGGGTAGCTGGGACTACAGGCACATGTTACCGTGTCCCGCTTATTTTTGTATTTTTGCAGAAACGGGGTTTCACCATGTTGGCCTGGCTGGTCTCGAACTCCTGACCTCATGTGATCTGCCCACCCCAGCCTCCCAAAGTGCTAGGATTACAGGCGTGAGCCACCGCGCCCAGCCAAGCATGTGACCTTTTGAGGTTGGCTTGTTCAGTCAGCATAATACCATTTGTGATCCATATTAAGTTTTGTATATCCATAGTTGGTTCCTTTACTTCTGAGTAGCATTTCATGGTCCACAATTTAACCATTCACTTTTTTTATTTTTATTTTTTTGAGACAGAGTCTTGCTCTGTCGCCCATGCTGGAGTGCAGTGGTGCTATCTCGGCTCACTGCAACTTCTGCCTCCCGGGTTCTCAGGTGATCCACCCACTTTGGCCTCCCAAAGTGCTGGGATTACAGGTGTGAGCCACTGTGCCCAGCCTTAACCATTCACTTTTGAGGGGCATTTTGGTTATTTCTAGGTTTTGGCTGTTGTTCAACTGCTATGAACAATCATGTCCAGATTTTTGAAGCTGAAAAAGCATTGAAGATGCTTCCAAAGATAAATATTACTGATAAGTTTTTCTCCCCAGTAATAAGCAGCTGGATTTTAAATATTAGTCTAAAACATGAGGTCTAATTGTGCAGATTTCTTTACTCTCTTAGGTGTTATGCCTCAAACATAACTCCCATATTGGGCGTGGCAATCCAGTTAATCTGGTGTCAGTAGTGTTAAAGAACATATGTAATGGCAGGAGATTGTTTTCTTGCAGTGTAACAAGTAAGATACTTTGAAGCACTCTTTAAAGATTTTCTTTAATAACTTGAAGGCACTGTTAACACCTTTCCTGTATCAGATTTTTTTTTTTTTTGGAATTGAAATCCATGAGATTTATAATTGTCATGCAAAGTAATTCCATTTCTCCTAAAATTTAAGGCTTGCTAAGGTAAACAGTTTCTGACATTTGTTTAATGAATGAGAGTATTACTGTTGAGAAGGCTTTTTCTCTCAAGTATGAGATAGAACTTTTTAAAAGCACTCATAGTGGTTTTTTAAAAAATGTTTAACATAGAGTCAAAGACTAGGGCTTTTGCAATAGGGAGAGACCAGGGTATCATCCATCTCATCCAGAAGAGGAGAAATTGATAAAGGAGAGAGGGGAATGAAATACAGAGTAGTAATGGACGGCTTGGTCTTGAGAGCTGGGGAAAGACGAGTTTAAGTAGGTAAGGTAAAATGGAATTTATATGTGATAGCATCAGGTTTCTCAGTGAAGGATGAATCTAGGTTATAAGTTGAAAGTGAGGGTCAAAGGAAGGTATGGGGAAGTTGAGGAAATAGGAGGAGGTGTGAAGTGTCAGGGAGTGGAGAAAGTGAGTCTGTTAGTACTAAAATGGCATTTTGTTTTAGGCAGCACCAGTTTGATGGTTGAGATAATGCAAATGAAATCAGTTAGCTTGGGGTTATGATTTCCCAAATCTAAGCACACAGAAACCAGTTGGGAGGGTTCTGAGGAAAAGAGGGAATTAGTTGAAGGGATCTGTAAGCAAACAGTAATTATGGATATAAGGGATTATAGCATTTTTTGCCTGACAGAAGAAAGTGTGTGTATATGTGTTTACAGGTGCTTAAAACTTGATGATGTTATTGTCTTGAAGGGAACTTGTCATGTGGTGGAGAAGTATATTTCTGAAAGTAAGGGTACGTAGGCCCTCAGTGAGGTGGAAGAATAAGAAGGATGGTATGGTCGTTTCGGTGGTATGACCAAAATGCAGATTTTGAAGACCTGTGTCAGTGGCAAGTGGATGGTTGAGGTTGGAGTAGAGGATAACATGACTGGAGATGAGGTGATTAAGGAACTGAGTAGTCAGCCTGGGCAACACGGCAAGACCCCATCTCTACAGAACGTTAAAAAAAAATTAGCCGGGCATGGTGGTGCATGCCTATGGTCCTAGCTTCTTGAGAGGCTGATGGAAGAGCATCGCAAATGAGAAGCGAGTGGCCACAAACCCTACTTCCTCTCCTTGTATGTAAGTTCAGAGAGAAAAAGCCATCATGGTAGTGGGGGTTATCCTGAGATGATACTGTCTTCATTTAAGATCAGGAGGTGATGACAGTGCTTTGAGATGATGATGAAGGTAACAGAACAGTGGGAGGAGAGGGGATGTGGGATTGAGTCAGATTTAAGGAGATACAGAGCAGTTTGAGCATAAGGACCTTGTTGCTGAGGATTGACTGGGGAGGTCTAGGCTTCTGGTGGTGACTCAGATGGACAGGGATGTGTGGCAATAGTCCTGGTAGTCTCTGAAGAGAGTATGAGCTACTGCAGTAATCACAGATGCTTTTCTTCACATACAGTTCTTGAGGCTTAGTTTCTGGGTTGTAAGCAACTCTCAGAAGGGACGAATAAGGTATATAGGATGGTGTTTTTGGTGGCATCATCATAAAACTAGACATAGTGGAATGGTGCTTTTTGGGAGCATGACTTGTTTAAAATTGCACAAGTGTTACTCTAATAATTTTTCTTTTTCCCCTCTAAATAGGAACATCTTCTAGATTGTGAAGGTGAAGATGGATGGAATAAACTTTTTGACTGGATTCAGTCAGAACTTTATGTAAGACCTGATGACGTCCATATGAACATCCGGCTAGTGGAGTTGTATCGCTCAAATAAAAGATTGAAGGATGCTGTGGCCCGCTGCCATGAGGCAGAGAGGAACATAGCTTTGCGTTCAAGTTTAGAGTGGAATTCGTGTGTTGTACAGACCCTTAAGGTAGATAAAAGCTATTGGGTCTTTACATTTCTATGTAGGCAATTAGCATACATCTTTTTGTACTAAAGCAGCAGTGCCCCGCAGGACTTAAATTTCTTTTATTTAGGTAGAACAGTTATAAAATGAAATTTTTACCAGGATCAGTTAAATTTATAATGGGAAAGTTGGGGAGATAACTATGATAAATGTATATATTTTTGGTGTTTTCATTTATAAGGTTGATGTAAAAATCAATGTAGTTTCACAAACGTGGTTAGAGTGAGAAAAGGAATTTGTAGGCATAAAATGGTTAATTTCTTAACACTTGATTAAGTTTTGTAACTTACTATTCATTCCACAAAATAGGAATATCTGGAGTCTTTACAGTGTTTGGAGTCTGATAAAAGTGACTGGCGAGCAACCAATACAGACTTACTGCTGGCCTATGCTAATCTTATGCTTCTTACGCTTTCCACTAGAGATGTGCAGGAAAGTAGAGAATTACTGGAAAGGTGCGTTGACTTTGAGGAGAATGCTTTAGTATAAATTGTAGTTTTTCTTTTTGCAGTAAGTTCATTGCTCTAAATTTCTTTACTGCATCATTATTTCTATAATGTACCTAGGAGTTATAGTTAATACAGTGAACCACTAGGAGGCAATCTTATTTTTCTTCTTTTACGGGGAAGTTCTAATTGGTTTTATATGACTTTCCTTTTTAGAGAACTCTTATAGTTCAAGCTTGATTAAAATTAGCCTTATGGTTAAATACTCAGGTTTGTCATAGTCAAGCTTAAAATGAATGTTCTAACTGCTATTTCATATTTTATTTTTTATAATAGTATAATCTTGAGTGAAAATTAAGGTTCATCTGTCATCAGATGGCTAGGTTCACATGTACTAGTATAAGCACTTAGCATCACTGGTATTTCAGAAAATACTGTTTTAGCTAAGAAACAAAATAACTCAACTATGTGATTTACCTTTTTTCCTAAATTTTGATTTTGAAAACCAGTGTCTCCATTTTGAAAATAAATTCCATTGAACAAAAACATCACTTGGATTTGTATAAAAATGTTAGTTTAGAGCAGGGGTTGGTTAGAACTTGTGGGCCAAATATGGCCCCTGCCTAATTTTGTTAATATTTATTGGAATGCAACATGCCTCTGTTTATGTATTGTCTGTGGCTGCTTACATACTACAAGGTTGGAATTGAGTGGTTGCAGCAGAGATTGTATGCCTGTAAAGCCAGATTAGTAATCTCCTCCTTTTTGTAGAAAAAGTTTACTGATTGCTAGTTTAGGCTGTCCATTTGTTTGGAAGTTAATTTATTTCCCCATCTGGTATAAGGAAAGAAGTTCATTTCACTGAGTGCAGGGAGTAGGTAATTTTCTTGAAAAAGTACATAGTGTCCTAAATTGGTAGGGTAAGAGCAGTATCTAAAAGAACTAACATAACTTTAAGATTATTTTAGAAAACATGTAGGATGTTTTATTTTGTGTTCTTTGTATACTCAAATTTTTTGGTCACAAGTTCCTTTTACATTTTTCTTAAGGACATCAAAGATCTTTGTATGTGGGTTCCTTTTTTTCTTTCTTTCTTTCTTTTTTGTTTTGTTTTTTTTTTTTTTTTTGAGATGGAGTCTTGCTCTGTCACCAGGCTGGAGTGCAGTGGCATGACCTTGACTCACTGTAACCTCCGCCTCCCGGGTTCAGGCGATTCTCCTGCCTCAGCCTCCTGAGTAGCTGGGACCACAGGCGCACACCACCACGCCCAGCTAATTTTTGTATTTTTAGTAGAGACGGGGTTCAGGATGGTCTCAATCTCTCTTTTTTTTTTTTTGAGACTGAGTCTTGCTCTCGCCAGGTTGGCATGCAGTGGTGCAGTCTCGGCTCACTGCAACCTCTGCCTCCTGGGTTCAAGTGATTCTCTTGTCTCTGCCTCCTGAATAGGTGGGACTACAGGTGCCCGACACCACACCTGGCTAATTTTTTTTTTTTTTGAGACAGAGTCTCGCTCTGTCACCCAGCCTGGAGTAGAGTGGCGCAATCTCGGCTCACTGCAAGCTTCACAATTTCCTCTCAATGCTCTGAATAAGAGCTTATCCTCCTGCCTCAGGTTGTTCCCCACCAGGAAGCCCCAGGAGGGCCCTGAGGACAGCCCTTGGCCCTCAGAGGGGGAGGCTCAGGAGGGGAGATGACCATGGGGATGGAGTCACTCAGGGGAGAATCCGGACCATGAGGGGGTGACTGGGGGCCTGAGGGGAGGACCCTGAGGAAGATAAAAAGCTGGTGCCACCCTAGGCAGTTTCACAGTGTGGCTTAGGGTGGTGGGTGACAGATGGTTTGTCAGATCAGTTAATCAGGACTCATGGGCCCTTTGTTACCCCCCCTTGTGAACCTCCCAGGTTCACGCCATTCTTCTGCCTCAGCCTCCTGAGTAGCTGGGACTACAGGCGCCCACCACCACGCTCGGCTAATTTTTTTGTATTTTTAGTAGAGACGGAGTGTCACCCTGTTAGCCAGGATGGTCTCGATCTCCTGACCTCGTGATCTGCCCTCCTCGGCCTCCCAAAGTGTTGGGATTACAGGCGTGAGCCACCGCGCTCAGCCCACACCTGGCTAATTTTTGTATTTTTAGTAGAAACAGGGTTTCATCATGTTGGCCAGGATGGTCTCGATCTTTTTTTTTTTTTGAGACGGAGTCTCGCTCTGTTGCCCAGGCTGGAGTGCAGTGGTGCCATCTCGGCTCACTGCAAGCTCTGTCTCCAGGGTTCATGCCATTCTCCTGCCTCAGCCTCCCGAGTAGCTGGGCCTACAGGTGCCCGCCACCACACCCAGCTAATTTTTTGTATTTTTAGTAGAGATGGGGTTTCACTGTGTTAGCCAGGATGGTCTTGATATCCTGACCTTGTGATCCGCCTGCCTCAGCCTCCCAGAGTGCTGGGATTACAGGCATGAGCCACCGCGCCCGGCTGGTCTCGATCTCTTGACCTCTTGATCTGTCTACCTTGGCCTCCCAAAGTACTGGAAGGTCTCAATCTCTTGACGTCGTGATCCGCCTGCCTTGGCCTTCCAAAGTGCTGGGATTGCAGGTCTGAGCCACTGCACCTGGCCGTATGTGGGTTATTTCTGTCAGTGTTTATTACATTAGAAATTAAAACAAATAAAAAATGTAATCCATTAAAAATGTAATAAGCCCTATTGTGTGTTAATAATAATAGCTTTTTTTTTTTTTTTTTTTTTTTTTATTTGAGACGGAGTTTGCTCTTGTTGCCCAGGCTAGAGTGCAACAGTGTGATCTCGGATCACTGCAACCTCTGCTTCCCAGGTTCAAGCGATTCTCCTGCCTCAGCCTCCCAAGTAGCTGGAATTACAGGTGCCCACCACCACGCCTGGCTAATTTTTTGTATTTTTAGTAGAGATGGGGTTTCACCATGTTGGCTAGGCTGGTCTTGAACTCCTGACCTCAGGTGACCCACCCGCCTCAGCCTCCCAAAGTGCTGGAATTACATGTGTGAGCCACCGCGCAGGGCCAATAATAGCATTTTTTATGAAAAATAATTATTTTCCAACAGCAAAAAAGTAGTCAGAAAAGTGTCATTGTTTTTGCATTTTTGTAAATCTTTTTAATGTCTCGCTTAATAGAACATAGCTAGATTCTCATTTACTTCCTCTTTCAGTCTGTAAAACTATTACATGTCATGAAGCCTCTAGAAAACTCAGCTCAGCGGGTCGCGGTGGCTCAGGCCTGTAATCCCAGCACTTTGGGAGGCCGAGGCGGGTGGATCACGAAGTCAGGAGATCGAGACCATCCCAGCTAACAATGGTGAAACCTTGTCTCTACTAAAAATACAAAAAATTAGCCGGGCATGTTGGTACGCGCCTATATTCCCAGCTGCTCGGGAGGCTGAGGCAGAAGAATCGCTTGAACCTGGGAGTCAGAGGTTGCATTAAGCCAAGATTGTGCCACTGCACTCCAGCCTTGTGACAGAGTGAGATTCTGTCTCCAAAAACAAAAACAAAAAAACTCAGCTCTACATACATGAGAAAATGAGTATGTAATATATAAATTTTTTTTTGGTATTATTGTAAAAGTAATTTTAACTTCATGGATCCCCTGAAGGGGTTTTTGAGCACCCTCAGAGATCTTTAGACCTCATTTGCTCTGGTTGCGTTATTGTAAGCCACTTTAAAATCATGCTTCACGTTTAAGTGTTTGCTTTTTGCTTTTACTTTTCTTCCAAAGTGAGGATTTGGAGAAACATTAGGATTTAGAAGAACTAATTTAGAATATAGATTACAAATAATAGGCCAGGCATAGTGGCTCATGCCTGTAATCCCAGCACATTGGTAAGCTGAGGCGGGCGGATCGTGAGGTCAGGAGTTCGAGACCAGCCTGGCCAACATAGTAAAACCCTGTCTCTACTAAAAATATAAAAAAAGTTTAGCGGGGCATGGTGGCAGGTGCCTGTAATCCCAGCTACTCAGGAGGCTGAGTCAGGAGAATCACTTGAACCTGGGAGGTGGAGGTTGCAGTGAGCTTAGATTGTGCCATTACACTCCAGCCCAGGCGATAGTGAGAGACTCTGTCTCAAAAAAAAAAAAAAAAAAAAAAAAAAGACAATTTATTTAACGCTGTAATGATCTATATAGTAAAAAGAGCAATTGCTGTATTGATACTCAAATACCTGTCAGTTATTTACTTATAATTTGGAAATGGTATGTCTAATTTGAGAAATTACAACTGTTAATTAAATAATGAAATTATATGATCAGGAAGAAACTACAAAATAGTCTCCCAACTTTATCCTGGTTTATTTTGAAATGTGCACCTATAATCACTAATCTTATATTTATCCTGTGATTGGAGGGCTGGAAATAACTGGGAATAAGACATCATTTGAGAGGTTAAGCATGAAGTATAGGAAGTATGCAGGATAAAAATAAGCATTAGATGATTCATAATTTATAACATGGGGAATAAGAATTATTAGAAGTTGAATGTGGAAGATGAAGCTTGAAATAAAATTTTTATTTTGTTTTGAATTAAATGAACCATGATTATTCACAGTGCAGTAAGTGTGTATCATCTGTTTGATATTTTCATATTACAGTTTTGATAGTGCTCTTCAGTCTGCAAAATCTTCTTTGGGTGGAAATGATGAACTGTCAGCTACTTTCTTAGAAATGAAAGGACATTTCTACATGCATGCTGGTTCTCTGCTCTTGAAGATGGGTCAGCATGGTAATAATGTTCAATGGCAAGCTCTTTCTGAGCTGGCTGCATTGTGCTATGTCATAGCATTTCAGGTAAGTCTTCCACTTGTAGGAGCAATTGACATTTCACGGAGTCTTGATGTGTTTTAAATGAAGGTGTGCTCTGGTATGTAATGACAATATGTGAACAAACTGTGGAATTAAAATGAAATAGTCAATTTGATACAGTGGAAAATAACTAAGCATACACAATACTGGTGAGGCTGGTGAAACAGGGATGTTGAGTGCACTCTTGTCGAAAGCCTGCATTGCCATGATTTGTTTGTAGACAAATTTGAAGAGTTTGATCTTTTTACTCTGCCATTTTTGGGAACATGATAAAGATGTAATCTCGTATTATGGGTAAAGCTTGATTCAAAAAGGTGTGTTACTTGGACAAAATCCTAATAAGTAGATGTAGGGCAATGGCTTTATAGCCTATGATAGAAGAATATGATTGCAATTTAACATGTTAATTGAAACACATGTATATAACATTTATGGCTGTATTGTGTATATGTAACAGTATATCTATTAATCTTTGAAAACATAAAACCTTTTCTTATTTTTTATTTTTTTATTTTTTTTGAGACCAAGTCTCTCTCTGTTGCCAGGCTGGAGTGCAGTGGTGTGATCTCGGCTCACTGCAGCCTCCACCTCCTGGGTTCAAGTGATTCTCCTGCCTCAGCCTCCCGAGTAGCTGGGACTACAGGCCCGTGCTACCAAGCCCAGCTAATTTTTTGTATTTTTAATAGAGATGGGGTTTCACCATGTTGGCCAGGATGGTCGCAATCTCTTGACCTCGTGATCTACCTGCCTTGGTCTCCCAAAGTGCTGGGATTACAGGCCCGAGGCACTGTGCCTGGCGTGCCTGGCCTTTTTTTTTTTTTGAGACGGAGTCTCGCTCTGTCGCCCAGGCTGGAGTGCAGTGGCACGATCTCGGCTCACTGCAAGCTCCACCTCCTGAGTTCACACCATTTTCCTGCCTCAGCCTCCCGAGTAGCTGGAACTACAAGCGCCCACCACCATGCCTGGCTAATTTTTTTGTATTTTTAGTAGAGACGGGGTTTCACTGTGTTAGCCAGGATGGTCTCAATCTCCTGACCTAGTCATCCACCTGCCTCGGCCTCCCAAAGTGCTGGGATTTACAAGCGTGAGCCACCATTCCCGGACTTTTTTTTTTAATGAGCTTGCATAACTTTTGAAAGGAAAAGAAATAAGCAGTCTTCCAAAAAAAGCATTAAACCAGGCTTAGAAAAATGATTAATTTTAGAGAAGGATTTTTTGCTTGGGGAGGGAAAAAAAAGGATTCATTACTTTTAGAGAAGGCCCCTCCTTCTAATATAAATCTTTTTTTCTTTTTGAGACAGAGTTTTGCTCTTGTTGCCCAGGCTGGAGTGCAATGGCGCCATCTGGCTCACTGCAACCTCCGCCTCCCGGGTTCAAGCGATTGTCCTGCTTCAGCCTCCCGAGTAGCTGGGATTACAGGCACACGCTACCACGCCCATCTAATTTTGTATTTTCAGTAGAGATGAGGTTTCTCCATGTTGGTCAGGCTGGTCTTGAGCTCCTGAACTCAGGTGATCTGCGTGTCTCGGCCTCTCAAAGTGCTGGGATTACAGGCAGTGAGCCAGCATGCCCTGCCTAATATAAATCTTTTTATTTTTATTTGAGACGGAGTCTCGCTCTGTCACCAGGCTGGAGTGCAGTGGCGCAATCTCAGCTCACTGCAACCTGTGTCTCCTGGGTTCAAGTGATTCTCCTGCTTCAGCCTGTCACGTATCTGGGATTACAGGCACACACCACCATGCCTGGCTAATTTTTTGTATTTTTTAATAGAGATGGGGTTTCACCATGTTAGCCAGGATGGTCTCGATCTTCTGACCTCGTGATCCACCCGACTCGGCCTCTCAAAGTGCTGGGATTACAGGCATGAGCCATTGAGCCTGGCCTGTAAATCTTTTAAAAACACCGTTGATAGACAGTTCACATGTTAAATGCTAATATTGGCTCAGTAGAAACTTCTGTGTTCATAAGGAATGGATTAGTGAAAATTAATGGATTTAGTGAGGTTCACTAGGTAATACAAACATTAAAAGGTTCTTATAGAAATTCTCAAGTAACTGATAGTTCTTATTTTTATTTATTTTATTTTTTTTTGAGATGGAGTCTCACACTCTGTCGCCCAGGCTGGAGCACAGTGGCACGACCTCGGCTCACTGCAAGCTCCGCCTCCTGGGTTCACGCCATTCTCCTGCCTCAGCCTCCCGAGTAGCTGGGACTACAGGCACCCACCACCACGCCTGGCTAATTTTTTTGTATTTTCAGTAGAGATGGGGTTTCACCGTGTTAGCCAGGATGGTCTCGATCTCCTGACCTCATGATCCGCCCACCTTGGCCTCCCAAAGTGCTGGCATTACAGGTGTGAGCCACCGCGCCCTGCCAATAGTTCTTATTTTTAATGGAAACTTTAAAATTTATCTGTCTGTGTGTCTATTAGAGTCTTGCTGTGTCACCCAGGCTGGAGTGCAGTTGCGTAATCGTAGCTCACCGTAACATTGAACTGGGCTCGAGCTTCCCAGAGTGCTGGGATTATAGGTGTCAGCTACTGCGCACAGCCTAAAATTTTTCGATATGTAGTTTTGGGAGGCAGAGTCTCACTCTTGCTCTGGCTGGAGTGCAGTGGCATGATCATAGCTCACTGCATCCTCGAACTCCTGGGCTCAAGTGATCCTCTCCTGCTTCAGCCTCAGCTCAGTAGCTGGGACTACAGGTGCCTGCCACCATGCCTGGCTACATTGTTAAATTTTTTGTAAAGACAAGGTCTTGCTATGTTTCCCAGGCTGGTTGGTCTTGAACTCCTGGCTTCAAGTGATCCTTCTGCCTTGCCCTCCCAAAGTGCTGAGATTACAGGTATGAGCCACCACACCTGACTGTGAACTTTTAATCATAATAAGTTAGTTTCCCTCTTAATCCATTCACTCAGGTCTCCTTTCCTAGATGACAGCTACTGTTAGGAGTTTCTTGGGTGTTCAGAAATATTTTTTGCATATGCAAATGTGCAATACATTCTTTCTCTGCTTTTAAAAAATATTGTGCCTCAATGTGGGTGTGCTTTACCTATTGCCAGATGCCTTGCTTTTCTGAATGTTTCTTCATTGTTCCACTTCAGCACAGAGATACCTACCTCAGTCTTTATTAGCTACCACATATTTCTGTAGAATGAATATATAATAGAAACATCTTAGATGCTTGTATTTTATTTGATCAGTTTATTTTAAAGCTTAATGAACAAATGATTATAAGCATAAAATGTAGGTTATGTGCTGGCATTTGGGTATTTAAGAATTGGCTAACTTTTATGGCAAGATTTTCAGACTCTTAATCAGAGGAATACTGTGGTTCTAGTAAGTGCATCTGCATTGCAGCTAGGTAGTTAACAAAGTATCTTGAAACCTTTTAGTTAAGATGAGGAAATAGCCAGGCGTGGTGGCTCACACCTATAATCTTAGCACTTTGGGAGGCTGAGGCGGGCGGATCGCTTGAGGTCAGGAGTTTGAGACCATCCTGACCAACATGGTCAAACCCCATCTCTACTAAAAATACAAAAATTAGCCACGCATGGTGGCAGGTGCCTGTAGTCCCAGCTACTTGAGAGGCCGAGACAGGAGAATTGCTTGAAACCAGGAGGCGGAGATTGCAGTGAGCCGAGATCGTGCCACTGCAGCACTCCAGCCTGGCGACGGAGCGAGACTCCATCTCAAAAAAAAAAGAGGAAATAGTGAATTGAGATGATTTGATTGAGTGGATTCACAACTAATTAACTGGTCACAGATTCAACTGTTGAATAATTTTGTAAAAGAGGCCGGGTTTATGAATTGAGGTCAGTTTGAAAACAAAAAGAATGATGTCAACATTTTGTTTCTTACTTTGTGTGCTCTTTTCAACATATAGATGACAAACTTTGACATGATGTTTAGAAAACTTGTGAGTAAAAGGATAGGCGATATGAATATTTCTAAAATTCAAAATCAGAAGCTTTTAGGTTCATAAATCATATATTTTGAAAAATGAGCATGTTTGGAAAGAATTATATATACATGGTTTAAAATTCTGGCGGCTCTTAAGAATATGCTATGAAGACTCCTTTCTGTTCCCTAGTTATTTACTTTCTCCAGCCCCAAAGAAACTAATGTTATTGCTTTCTTGTGTGTTCTTCAGGAAATGTTTTATGCATCTCCAAGTAAACACACATATATCCCCTGTCTTTAAAAGAAGGAGGAAAACATTTGAACATTGCATTTACTTTATTTCCATTAACTGTATCTTGGAGATGTTTCCATGTCAGTATATATAAAGGGCATTCTCATTAGTTTGGATGCTTGCATATTATTCCATTGTATGGATGTACTGTAGTTTTGGAGTTTTTAAAACCAGGGTCCTAAAACCAGGACATTAGCTTGCTTTTACTTTTTTTTTTAATGCTACTTCAAGTAATTTAGCAATGATTAACTTGTGCCATGAATTCCTGAAAGAATTGCAGTATCAAAGTATATCTGTGCATTTATAATTTTTAGAGCTGTTGCCAAATATCTAACCCTAAAGAGGTTGTATCAAATTACATTTCCACCACCAATTAAGAAAGTGGTGATAGAATTAAAAGCCGATGCTCTAGTCACCCATATAGTTACTTTTGGCATGTTTCTAGTAAGTGGGCATTGCCTGTGACTGGACGTTTTCAGTGATGGGCATTCATTACTTTTCAAGATAGCCCAGTGCATCTTTAGGTGGTTTGGCTCTTGGTACTTCCTTATATAGAATAAAAATATTCTTCAAGCCTTCTACCTGTTGGTCTTGTTTCTTCTTTTGATGATTTCTTTTATAAAATAATTTTAATACCTGAAGGCAGCTGTCACGTCTTCCCTTCGCCATTCTATTCATCATGCTTTTTTTTTTTCCATAGGTTATTGCATTAGGATCTCTTTAATTTCCTGGTTGTCCCATTTATTCTAGTGCTATCCCCTGTTATCCATACTCTGAAAATGTGTTATCTACAATGTGGCATTTCCAAGTGTCATTTCACCTGTACTTTTTAAAGTAGGGTGTCATATCTACTCAAATAGGACAACATCTGCTGTTGTCCTATTTATTCAGGGCAGAAAAGTAATATAATTAAATTTTCCATTTCTCTGAATGTAACACGAATGTGCTTTTAGTAGAAACTAATTTCTCAGAGCTGCTCTGTGTATGCTTTTTTTTTTTTTTTCTTTTTTTGGAGATAGGGTCTCACTCTGTCACCCAAGCTGGAGCACAGTGGCATGATCATGGCTCACTGCAGCCTTGACCTCCTGGATTTAAGTGATCCTCCTGCCTCAGCCTCCTGAGTAGCTGGGACCACAGTTGTGTGCCACCACTCCTGGCTAATAAAAAAAACTTTTTTTAGAGATAGGGTCTCACCGTGTTGTTCAGGCTGGTCTTGAACTCTGGGCTCAAGTGATCCCCCCACCTCGGCCTCCCAAAGTGCTGGGATTACAGGTGTGAGCCAACATGTCTGGCCCCTCTTTTTTTTTTTTTTTGCGATGGAGTCTCGCTCTTTCACCCAGGCTGGAGTGCAATGGCGCAGTCTCGGCGCGCTACGACCTCTGCCTCCCAGGTTCAAGCTATCCTTGTGCCTCAGCCTCCCGTGTAGCCGGAATTAACAGGTGTGTGCCACCACGCCTGCCTCTTTGTTTTTTTTTTTATTATTTTTAGTAGAGACTGGGTTTCACCATGTTGGCCAGGCTGGTCTCGAACTCCTGACCTCAAGTGATCAGCCCACCTTGGCCTCCCAGAGTGTTGGGATTACAGGTGTGAGCCACCACGCCTGTACCTGGCCTATCTTTCATAGGTTATATAAATTCCTTGGTTCCCAGTTTTTGCAGTCTTTTCCAATTCAGTTTAATTAATGGTTAACTGTTTATTCATTATCAAAAAAAGTACAGTGTAATAGACAAGACCATGTTACTATTAGAAGTATGGGTATCATCAAATTAAGATTTTTGATTCTAAAATTATTAGGTTCCAAGACCAAAGATTAAATTAATAAAAGGTGAAGCTGGACAAAATCTGCTGGAAATGATGGCCTGTGACCGACTGAGCCAATCAGGTAATAGTAATATTAAACTAATTTAATTTAAAAAGAAAAAGGAATTTCTGTTAAGGCATATCTTATGATAAAATCTTCATCTGTCCAGGAGATAATTTGTCAAAATTATTTCTTTTTGCCGTATCAGTTAAGAGCAATAGGTATGGAAGAGATGCGAAGAAATAGCACATTCTTTAAAAAAAATGAATATTTGATATTGTTTGTTCCTATGTGGAGAGGATTTCTTAACTCTTTCTTCATCTGGCTGCTAGAGCCTCTAGCCTGAATATTTAGTCACTTCCTGAACTAAGTATAATTATTGATTTGCCAACCATTTAACACCAGCTGATTCTAAAAACACTGCTGTGGGGATATAAAGATGAAGAAGATACGGATCTGTCTTAAAGAGCTGAGAGCATAGTGAGGAAGATAGAAGATATATACTTACCTTATATTAGGCTCTTGGAATTTGTGGATTTTTTTCCCCCGTTTTTGGCTTGGGATGAATCCTAAAGGTCTGTTGCATATTACCTGTGATTTTGCTAAGATACAAACTTTAAGGTAGTTAGATGGCCATTGAATCAAGCAGTGAACTGAAGAAACATAATGCTTCCTATAAGGAGCAGTTTTGATATAAAATTGGATGAATTTTGTAAAGAGCAAGATGTAATATTAAATCAAAGTTATTATAAGCTTTGGTGTATAGTTAGGCTGTTGGCCAAAGCTCACATTGCTCTTTTATTCCATAGCCCACTTTTTTTGTGGGAGCTAGGCTTTCAGTCCTTAAAGTGACTTTCTACTTTTTTCCTTTTCTCTTTTCCTTCTACCCTTGCAGGGCTCTCATAAGTGCCTTTGCATGGTGTCACAGTTAGATGAAAATTGCCTGTATTTTTTTTTTATGTCTTTGATCTGGGCATCCCGAGGGTGCCTCTGTAAGTGTGCTGAGACACAACTGTGTAGTGGTAACCAAACCTAATTGCCCAGCAGAATTAACTCAAAGGAGGGTTTTTAAAAAAAGTTGAATTGAAATATAATTCATGTACCATACGCTTCACCCATTTAAAGTGTACAGTTCAGTGGCTTTTACTATGTTCATAGAGTATTACCACTGTCACCACAGTCAGTTTTAGAAGATTTTCATCACTCCATGAGGAATTTCTTACCTATTAGCAGTTACTCCCCATTTTACCCAAACCTCTCAGCCTTGGCAACCGCTAATCTGTCTCTGTAGGTTTGCCTCTTCTTTTTTTTTTTTTTTGAGACGGAGTCTCGCTCTGTCGCCCAGGCTGGAGTGCAGTGGCGGGATCTCGGCTCACTGCAAGCTCCGCCTCCCGGATTCACGCCATTCTCCTGCCTCAGCCTCCCAAGTAGCTGGGACTACAGGCGCCCGCCACTACGCCCGGCTAATTTTTTGTATTTTTAGTAGAGACGGGGTTTCACCGTTTTAGCCGGGATGGTCTCGATCTCCTGACCTCGTGATCTGCCCGCCTTGGCCTCCCAAAGTGCTGGGATTACAGGCGTGAGCCACCGCGCCCGGCCGGTTTGCCTCTTCTGAACATTTCACATAAATGGAATCATGTAGTATGTGGTCTTTTGTGACTGGCTTCTTTCATTTAGCAAGGTTTTCAAGGTTCATCTGTGTTATAGCATGTATCAGTATTTTATCCGAGGACTATGATTTTTTGATTGCTTACTGTAAACCTATGGAATAAAAATCTCTGGGAACAAGGCCTGGAAATAATTCTTTTTTTTTTTTTCCTGAGACAGTCTTACTCTGTCGCCCAGGCTGGAGTGCAGTGGCGTGATCTCGGCTCACTGCAAGCTCCGCCTCCCGGGTTCACGCCATTCTCCTCCCTCAGCCTCCCCAGTAGCTGGGACTACAGGCGCCCGCCACCAGGGCCGGCTAATTTTTTTTTTTTTTTTTTTTGTATTTTTAGTAGAGACGGAGTTTCACTGTGTTAGCCAGGATGGTCTTGATCTCCTGACCTCATTATCCACCCAGCTTGGCCTCCCAAAGTGCTGGGATTACAGGCATGAGCCACCGTGCCCAGCCGGAAATAATTCTTAAAAGCTGTTTAAAGGAGGATTCTGATCAGCCAGGTTCAGAAATCAGTGTATCAGATCAGAGAATAAGAGCTTGTCCCTGTTCTCCTATGGCCACTTAAATCCAGACCTTTTCATCTAAAATGCAAATATGTTTGGCATTTTTCATACACATTCCTGTCTTTTTTCCCCCTTCTGCTGTCTTATGTAGATACTGAGAATATTAAACCTGTACTCTTTTCATTTGCTACATAAGCACCCGTTTTGTTGTCCAGCTGTATTTTTTGGGTTGGAGGGTTAGGTCTGCAATAATCATGTTATTTCCCCTTTGGGTATACAAATGAGACAACGTGAGCAAATACAATCTGTATTTTTAAAGTGATGGAAATAACTTAAATTTTTTTTTCAGGGCATATGTTGCTAAACTTAAGTCGTGGCAAGCAAGATTTTTTAAAAGAGGTTGTTGAAACTTTTGCCAACAAAAGCGGGCAGTCTGTGTTATATAATGCTCTGTTTTCTAGTCAGTCATCTAAGGATACATCTTTTCTTGGTAGCGATGATATTGGAAACATTGATGTACAAGAACCAGAGCTTGAAGATTTGGCTAGATACGATGTTGGTAAGTTATATGTTTCAGAGGAAATGGTCTCCGTCTTAATTATTATAAATTGCCCATAATCTTATTACCCAGAAATAACGACTTAATATTTTCCTGTATTCCTTTTGTGTGTGGGTTGGGCTGGGGGGAGTTTGAATGTGGTGCTGTAGGGGTGGCATGTATTTTTTGTTGTTGTTGTTGTTTTTGAGACCAAGTTTTGCTCTTGTCGCCCATGCTGGAGTGCAGTGGTGCGATCTCGGCTCACTGTAACCTCTGCCTCCCGGGTTCAAGTAATTCTACTGCCTCAGTCTCCCAAGTAGCGGGATTACAAATGCCCACCACCACGCCCGGCTAATTTTTTGTATTTTTAGTAGAGACGGGGTTTCATCATGTTGGTCAGGCTGGTCTCAAACTCCTGACCTCAGGTGATCCACCTGCCTTGGCCTCCCAAAGTGCTGGGATTACAGGAGTGAGCCACCGCGACCAGCCTTGTTGTATTTTGAGACAGGGTCTCGCTGTGTCACCTGGGCTGGAGTGTAGTGGCGTGATCGTAGGTCACTGCTGCCTTGAACTTCTGGGCTCAAGGGATTCTCTTGCCTCAGCCTCCTGAGTAGCTGGTACCATAGGCACATGCCACTCGGCCCAGATAATTTTTTTTTTAATTGGTAGAGACAGGGTCTCCCTTTGTTGCCCAGGCTAGTCTCCAACTCCTAGGCTCAAGTGATCCTCCTGCCTAAGCCCCGCAAAGTGTTGGGATTAGGCCTGGCACAGTGGCTCATATCTGTAATCCCAGCACTTTGGGAGGCCGAGGCGGGCAGATCACCTGAGATCAGGAGTTCGAGACCATCCTGGCCAACATGGTGAAACCCCATCTCTACTAAAAATACAAAAATTATCCGGGGGTGGTGGCATGTGCCTGTAGTCCCTACTCAGGAGGCTGAGGCAGGAGAATCGCTCCAACCCGGGAGGTGGAGGTTGCAGTGAGCCAAGATCACACTGCTGCACTACAGCCTGGGCGACAGAGCGAGACTTCGTCTCAAAAACAAAAGTGTTGGAATTATAGGCATGAGCCACTGCATCTGACCATATTTTTCATCTAAATGGTTGTTTATGTATGATTTATCTTGCTTCCTTCATGAATTCTCTCCCATAGTCTCTGTATTAAAACTATAAATATCACTTTTATTGGCAATATAATCTTTTTTATGAAGTAGTCATAATTTGCTTGCAACTTTCTGTTATTGGGCATCCAAGTTTTCTCAACTTTTCCACTGTTAATAATCATACTCTGATAAAAACTTCAACAAAAAGTGTCTTCATTGCAAGTTATTTCCATAGAGATACCTAAAAACAGAATTACTGAGACAAAGGACATGAACATCTTTAAGTCTTGCAAATTGCCAAAATGACAGAAAGATTATACCTCTTCATGCTTCCAGAAGCGCATAACCTTTTCTTTTCTTTTCTTTTCTTTTTTTTGAGACAGAGTCTCGCTCCGTCACCCAGGCTGGAGCGCAGTGGTGCAATCTCGGCTCACTGCAACTTCCGCCTGCCAGGTTCAAGCAATTGTCTTGCCTCAGCCTCCCAAGTAGCTGGGACTATAGGCATGTGACACCATGCTCGGCTAATTTTTTGTATTTTTAGTAGAGACGGAGTTTCACCATGCTGGCCAGGCTGGTCTCGAACTCCTGACTGCACATAACCTTTTCAATATTGACTTTCTTGTAGAAAAACAGATTTCTTTACTGTACCGATGGATTAATATAGTGGTGTTCCATTGCTTTAATGACTTAAAGGAAAACCCATTGTTTTGGGGTTTCTTATTAGGTTAGGTGTTCTTTATTTGGCTTTTGTCAGTTGATTTTGGTTTATTGAGTTCTAGTCAGTGTCATTTTTTAAGATGGACTTAAACATTCTTCATCACTACTATTTTTATTAAAATTTCTAGAAATAATCAAGTGAGAATGCATTTAATAAGAACATGAGATTTTGCCTAACATAGAATTCCCTCCAGCTTTGATATAGAAAAGCAGTTATATAATTAAGATATATATAATGTGAATTGTTTATGTTGGCAAAACTAATGGCACAAAGAAAAATTTCAAACCCTTAAGCCAATTTTTTTATTTTATTTCAGGTGCTATTCAAGCACATAATGGTAGTCTTCAGCACCTTACTTGGCTTGGCTTACAGTGGAATTCATTGCCTGCTTTACCTGGAATCCGAAAATGGCTAAAACAGCTTTTCCATCATTTGCCCCAGGAAACCTCAAGGCTTGAAACAAATGCACCTGAATCAATATGTATTTTAGATCTTGAAGTAAGCAAAGATTTTAACAAATTAAATATTCTGAATTTTGTTTAATTTTTTTTTCTAACTTAACTTTTCCTTAAATAAAACAGGTATTTCTCCTTGGAGTAGTATATACCAGCCACTTACAATTAAAGGAGAAATGTAATTCTCACCACAGCTCCTATCAGCCGTTATGCCTGCCCCTTCCTGTGTGTAAACGGCTTTGTACAGAGAGACAAAAATCTTGGTGGGATGCGGTTTGTACTCTGATTCACAGAAAAGCAGTGTAAGTAGTAAAACAAAAATATTGCTTTCACTTAGTGCGTAGGTTTTACCGGGGATTTAATCCTCATGTGAAGATTTAATTTGTCATGTGACCCATTAACATATATGTATGTAAGCGCTGAACTGTGTATTTAGAAAACAATTTTAGTAAATTGAAGTATTTTTTAGACCTGGAAACTCAGCAGAATTGAGACTTGTAGTTCAGCATGAAATAAACACTCTAAGAGCCCAGGAAAAACATGGCCTTCAACCTGCTCTGCTTGTACATTGGGCAAAATGCCTTCAGAAAATGGTGAGTTTTAAAGTATAAGCATTTTTAAAGAACATTACCTTAATTTTTTAAAATCATGCACTTTTTATTGAAAGTTTTTTTGTTCAGAAAACAGCAGCTTGGTCATATTATGACAGATGTGTTTTTTATTGCTGCAAAATAGTTAATGTAGTTAAATATAAGCACTTAGAGGAGCAATGCCTGGCACACAGTGAATGTTACATATTAGCTGAGCTGTTACTGTTATTCCTTAATAATTAAGTTCTGATAATTATTCAGCCTGAAAATTAAAAAAAAAAATTAGCACAAGGCTTTGTAGGTAAGACCATTATAGATCTTTCTAAATATTTAAGGTTTGTTTTGTGTCACCATTAGGTGAAGATGGTCAGCCTTTTGAACAAACTGACACTACAGAAGAGGCAGGTTTCAGCTATCTAAAAATGGCAACTGTTAAAAAGTAGTTGGGATTGCTACATTAGGGTGGTATCATTAGAAGTGTTTAAAAGTTGAGTGTAGAGGCCGGGTGCGGTGGCTCACATCTGTAATCCCAGCACGTTAGGAGGCCGAGGCGGGCAGATCACAAGATCAGGAGATCGAGATCATTCCTGGCTAACACGGTGAAACCCCGTCTCTACTAAAAATACAAAAAAAAACTCTACTAAAACTACAAAATTAGCCAGACATGGTGGCAGGTGCCTGTAATCCCAGCTACTTGGGAAGCTGAGGCAGGAGAATTGCTTGAACCTGCACGGCAGAGGTTGCAGTGAGTTCACTGGTATTAAGGTGGTTTAGTTATTACAGTATTTGGAAGTTGAACAAATGACTATTGAGGTACCATTTGGTTTTGACTTGAAATTTTAGCCAGTTCTTACAACCTGTAAATGAACTTTAGATCTAATCATGCGTGTTCCTTAAAGTTGTGTGCTTTTAACTTTCTTTTTTAGGGCAGGGGTCTTAATTCTTCTTATGATCAACAAGAATACATAGGGAGAAGTGTTCATTATTGGAAGAAAGTTTTGCCATTGTTGAAGATAATAAAGAAGAACAGTATTCCTGAACCTATTGATCCTCTGTTTAAACATTTTCATAGTGTAGACATTCAGGTAACAGAGTTCCTTTATGAATTTATTGGAGATGGGAATTTCCAGTTTATAAACAAAGACGTGGAGCTATAAACTGCTTAAATTAATTGCCTTGTTATTTAACGGTAATCTTGTTTTCTAAATTCACTAGCTCTCACAGATAAGATATGACAGAGAAGAGTAATGAGATGTTTGTCTCTTAAGATCATATAAAATCTTTGGAAAATCATTTGGGTTTTATATTCTGAGTATAAACAATTTGACTAAAAACTATTCTGTGTGTTTAGGCATCAGAAATTGTTGAGTATGAAGAAGATGCACACATAACTTTTGCTATATTGGATGCAGTACATGGAAATATAGAAGATGCTGTGACTGCTTTTGAATCTATAAAAAGTGTTGTTTCTTATTGGAATCTTGCACTGGTAAGTAGATGCAGTACTTGAGCTAAAAGTTTTATTTATTTATTTATTATTTCTTTTAAAAGACGGGGTTTCTCTGTTGGCCAGGCTAGAGTGCAGTGGCACAATCTTGGCTCACTGCAACCTCTGCTTCCCAGGCTCAAGCGATTCTTGTGCCTCAGCTCCCGAGTAGCTGGGATTACAGGCATGAGCCACCATGCGTGGCCAAGCTGAAAGTTTTTTGTTTTAAAAAGCTAATGATTTCATAAAAGCACTATTTGTATAGATTTTTCACAGGAAAGCAGAAGACATTGAAAATGATGCCGTTTTTCCTGAAGAACAAGAAGAATGCAAAAATTATCTGAGAAAGACCAGGGACTACCTAATAAAGATTATAGATGACAGTGATTCAAATCTTTCAGTGGTCAAGAAAGTAAGTAGCAGGTTGTTGTATGTACGTTCTTACTGATAACCCACTGGTCAGTGTTTTTGCGTTGGTCTTATATTTTGGTAATTTCAAAAATACTCAGTAATATGTTGTTATTAATGCACAGAAGGGATGTGTGTGTCTAAATGCTTATATTTGCTTGCTTTGTCTTAGGTTTGGTGTGTCTTTTTAAACTTGGGAATCTAGGTGTTATCTTAGCAGTGTAATCAAAACAAATATTATAACCTCAGGACTAATTCTTAATGAACTTTGCTGAAATTGAAAGTTGTTGCTGACAACTTAAGAGCATTTCTTCTCATCCTCATCAGCCATTATGAACGCCCTTGTTTTCTTGCTGTCAGCTGTTTGAGATTGTCATGATGATGTTAAATTATGTTCAGTCTTCTGAGTGTTTTGTTGATTAATTTGTGTTACTACTCTTTTATTAGGATTTATGTTGTCTGGTGTATTGTAGCATCTGTATTTCTGTCACCATTGAAAATCAGTTAGAAAACATCAGTAACTTATTTTGTTCACTTGGAAAAGCTTTCCAAGTTAACATTCCTCTACAATTATCATGGTTAACAGAAGTAATAGAAAGAGCATGGACTTTAGAATCAGAAGATGTTAGATTGTACAACACTTTTCTGTGTTCATGAAGAAAAAAATAGAATAAAGACAAAAAAATAAAAATAATAATACAAAACAGCAGAAAAACAAAGAAAAAAGATAATTAAAAAACACTTTCACGTGTATTATTATTTAAAGTGTAAAGTGCTTATTAAAATGACAAAAATGTAAATAAGATAAAATATATCATTTTAGAGTTTTTACTTTTGGAATTTTTTGCAAATGAAAGCCCTTAATTAATGTCTTTTATTTTTAGTTGCCTGTGCCCCTGGAGTCTGTAAAAGAGATGCTTAAGTCAGTCATGCAGGAACTCGAAGACTATAGTGAAGGAGGTCCTCTCTATAAAAATGGTTCTTTGCGAAATGCAGATTCAGAAATAAAACATTCTACACCATCTCCTACCAAATATTCACTATCACCAAGTAAAAGTTACAAGGTAAACAGGAAAGAATGGAATCATTTCATTGTGAAATTGTTTCTAAGTGTTTTAAATGCTCTTTTGTTATTTTTATTTTTTTTTTTAGTATTCTCCCAAAACACCACCTCGATGGGCAGAAGATCAGAATTCTTTACGGAAAATGATTTGCCAAGAAGTAAAGGCCATTACGGTAAGTCACTTAATTTCTCTAGCTGTACTTTTTATTCCAAGATTCCTTCCCTGGCCACTCTCTCACTTTTTTTCTGAAGCTGGTCAGAATGTCCCCTTGCCATCCAAATAGTATGGCAAGGGGACATTTTGGTCTTTTTTTTTTTTTTTTTTTAAGGCAGGGTCTTGTTGTGCAGGCTGCAGTACAGTGGTATGATCACAGCTTACTGTGGCTTCGACCTCCTAGCTCAAGAGAGCCTCTTGGCTTAGCCTGCCACGAAGCCAGGACTACAGAGAGTCACACGCCACTAGGCCCAGCTAATTGTATTTTTTGTAGAGATGGGATTTTTCCATGTTGCCCAGGGTGGCCTTGAACTCCTGGCTCAAACAATCCTCCTGCTTCAGCCTCCCAAAGTGCTGGGATTGCAGGTGTGAGCCACTGTGCCCAGCCTACATACCTTGGTCTTGACCCTTTACCATATTTTGTTTTGTTTTGTTTTGAGATGGAGTCTCACTCTGTTGCCCAGTCTGGAGTGCAATGGTGCGATCTTGGCTCACTGCAACCTCCACCTCCCAGGTTCAAGCGACTCTCCTGCCTCAGCCTCCTGAGTAGCTGGGATTACAGGCACCCGCCACCAGGACCAGCTAATTTTTGTATTTTTAGTAGACACAGAGTTTCACCATGTTGGCCAGGCTGGTTTTGAACTTCTGACCTCAGGCGATCTGCCCACCTTGGCCTCCCAAAGTGCTGGGATTACAGGTGTAAACCACCACACCCAGCCCTTTACTATATTTTTGAAAGTACTTTATGTGTCTCTCTCCTCATCTTCCACAAAATTTGAGACCTTCAAAGGTAGAAACTGTTTTATTTAAAATATAAGAGTTCCTGACACAGAGAAGGTTCCCGAGTGATTGAACTGCTACAGTGTACTAATCATACTCTGGTCTATGAGTTCATTCTCAGATTAGCTGTGGATTACATGTGTTTCAAATGTATAGCTAGGAATTGAAAAGTGGTCTGAGCTTCAAAAAGTCTTGCTATATTTTAATACTTCCATATGAATTTGACTTAATTATGTAAGGAAATAGTTATGTATATATATCTTATTTTAACAATAGGGTTCAAAGGAGCTTGACTTTTTTGGAATTGGAAATAAAAGTAGGTTCTTTCATGTTTATCAGGCAAGAACTAAATTATACTGCTAAAGTTACATCAAGGATATGCTGATGTGTGGCGATTATTACAGTGTGATCAGCAGTATTTGCAAATTGAGAGAATACTATTTGGTGGGGAAGACATTTTTGAATTTGCACAAAAATCTTGAATGTTAATTCTGTGTAGTCATGGCCTATGACAATTACATACAATTTTGACTTAACATACAGGTTTCAGGCTCCCAACATTGTATTCTGTGGAAGTATAGTGGAGCACTAGTCCATGAGCTTGAAAAGCTTGGTACTAGTACTGACTCTGCCATTAATTAATGATCTTGGGCCAGTCACTTCCTTCGTGACTGGCTTCTTATCTTTAAAATGAGAGAATTATTGAAGCCAGTTCTCATTACACTGAATGTTAAAAATTACAGTTACAGCAGTGATTGCAAATTCAAAGCTCTGGTGCGGATACCAACAGTGACCATAAAGTTTTCTAGGTGATTCCACTAGTTTCTTATTTCTTGGATGTGTATGTGTAGCATCTGGACTAGGCACTGTAGATGGATGAGTGGGGGAAATTTTATTTAGCTTGAAAATTGAGATAGTTTTGGACCTCATGGTTAGGTCTTTCTGGGAAATTTTTATTTGAAACACTTGTAGAAAAAGAAAGCAGACATGCTAGATCTGTCCCTGACCTCACTTGTTAGAACTGGTCGGATTCCTGGGCTGATACAGAGAAGTTTGAAACTTTTCAAAATTTACCTGTTTTCTGATACCACTACAATTTCTTTGGAAAAAGAATTTCCTGTTAAGTGTCTGTTTTGTAAGGGGACATTTTGTAGGTTCTAGGGTTGGGTATGGTGCTGTCATTTAGTTTTCTTCAGCAGAGATCAGGTAGCCACATAGCTACACTAGATGGCATTGTATCTATCTGCCATCTTGTCAAGGCAGCAGAGTTGTGTTAAGAGAACATTTTTGGAGTCAGATGTGGTTCAAATTCCAGCTGTTATTCCCTGCATCCCTTTCTCTCATTTTAAGATAGGAGCTAATATTGTTTACCTAACAGTGTAGATAGTATAAAAATTAAGAGTTTAAGTGCATTGGACGTATTATTATATACATAATAAATTATCTGCAGCTACTGCTTTTTTCCCTTTCCTGGTGGAGCATTTGAACGTCACCTGGAGAATTAGTTGTATTTTGTTTCAGCATGGGGTTAAGTGAAAAGCTAATTTGGGGAGGTGATTTGGAATGTCAGGTAGTCCAGATTGCAGTATAGAAAGAACACACTGAAAGGATGGTCAGTGTAATGTTAGAGGACTGTGAAAGTTGGGGAAAGAAGTTTAGTTTGTAGGTACTTGTTTTTTTGAGCAGGGAATTGTCTTGGCTGGAGGTGAATGTCAGAAAGGTTAATGTAGGCAAGTGTAGAATGGAAATGAAGGTGTGATCATTTAGGAGGTTATTTGTTTAGGTGAGAGAGTTAATGAATTAGGTTTTGTATTAACGAATGAAAATGGGAGCAGATAAATTTTTAACAAATTAAGAATCATATTTTAAAATCAGCACCAGGTACCTAGAACTCATTGGCAAATAGAAACTTTCAAAAGATATAATCAGGTCCGGGCGTGGTGGGTCACACCTATAATCCCAGCACTTTGGGAGGCTGAGGTGTTGGATCACTTGAGGTCAGGAGTTCAAGACTAGCCTGGCAAACATGGTGAAACCCCATCTCTACTATTATACAAAAAATTAGCCGGGTGTGCTGGCTGACGCCTGTAATCCCAGCTACTCGGGAGGCTGAGGTGGGAGAATTGCTTGAGCCCAGGAGGTGGAGGTTGCGGTGAGCCAAGATTGTGCCATTGCACTCCAGCCTGGATGACAGATCGAGACACCATCTCAAAAAAGAAAAAAAGAAAAAATCAGTTATTTAAATTTAAAAGAGTAAGTTTCCCCAGCACTGTTTCTGGCATGATATAATTAAATGATTAAAATTATTTGATTTTTTTTTCTTCCAATAGAAACTAAATAGCAGTAAGTCAGCATCCCGTCATCGTTGGCCCACAGAGAATTATGGACCAGACTCGGTGCCTGATGGATATCAGGGGTCACAGACATTTCATGGGGCTCCACTAACAGGTGAGCTGGCAAGTGCATAATCGCATATTTTAGTAAAACTACTTTACTTCCCTCTTTTAAGTAGATAACGTGTGAAATCACCTTGTTTATATATGTTTGTTAATATACATGTCAACGTCTGTTTATATGTGACTTCAAAAGCTGTATTTGGTGTTACGGAGATTTTTATAATCCCAAGCAGAAAAAACGAGCCGTATGTGATCACGTGTATATAAAGGCTTAAAGAACACTTAATCCACACCTCAGATGAGCTGAGATGAGATTATTCCTTAAATTGAAAAATGTTATTGAATAGAGTTATGCACTAAGAAATGCTTAATTAAGAACCTACACCTCTGGGGAATTATTTTGATGATAATGATGAGAGGCAGGACGTTATATAGGAAATCTTACTTAATTTGAAATATTATGGTTATATAAAGAAAGAAAAGGAGTTTGGACCTGAATCATACAGGGTTTTTAAGTTCTGCTCTATCACTTACTATAATAGCTGTGTAAGTTAACCTGTCTGAAATGTGGAGATAATACTTGCCTTACATAATTACTATGAGCATTTGTGTATGTGCAGGTGGGCGTGGGTGTGTATCAGACATTTATTAGAGTATACAGTAAACAGTTAATGAACTAAGGTTACTAATAGTGTTTACTGTGGGTTGGCTATGTGCAAAAGTGCTTTGTGAATGTAATTTGATTTAATTACAGTAACTTAGAATGGCCGGTACCATTATTAATCCCTTTTTTATAAATAAGGAAATGGATAAAGAAAGGTTAGGTAACTTACTCATTATTATACAGCTAGTTATTGATAGAGCCGAGATTCACACTCCAGTGGTGTAACTCCAAAGCACTTGCCAGTATAATACATTGCTCCCAGGCAGCCAGAAATAAAAAAATTGTTCCTTTTACGTACGACAGACTTCTGAAATGGTAGTAGTAGTGCCCTTTTTTTTTTCTCTTTTTAGCCCAGGAAAGATTTAGAATAAAATCTAGTTTAGATGAGCACATTTGTGTGATGGTTCCTATAGTTAAGGCAACCCCACTAGCCTTTTGTGATAGTATCTTCTCAACACAAGCAAAATAACAGAAAATCTTTGTGAAGTCAAGCTTATTAAATGTCGTAAGTCATAGATAAGTATATGAAATGTCTAACGTTCAAACCTTGTTTTCTTAAAACCTTACACATCATATAGGTCCTTGTAAGAGGATAAACAAACCGGCTAGCCTTTCCTGGGGCTTTTTTAGTGACGTGTGCAGTCAGTTATTTGGTGCCTTGTGGGTCATGATTTCCATTTCTTCTGTGTACAGGCATAAAAGGTCTTCTGTTCTTATACAAGCATGTAAATCCAACATTCTCATTGTCTCATTTTATTCTTGCAATGACCCTGTGAAATGTGTAGAAGCAGCATATCCTCATTTTACAATTGAGAAACATGGAGACTCCAAATGGATTATTTACAGGTTCACAAAACAGCTTTGTGGCACTGAAAGGGCGAGAGCCAAGATCTCCTGATTTCTGTTCCTGTGTTCATAGATTCTTTTTCCTTAATAAAAGTAAACATATATCAAGATGGTCCTTGTTTTTTTAAAATAAGATGATTAAAATTAAAGATTAATGAGCTCATAGGAGATACTCAGAAGTACTGAACAGGGTGAAGAAAACTAAAAACTAACCACCTTATTAACATTTCTTATATTTGAGAGCATTTCCTTCTGGTTCTTTCTCTATACATATAGTATTTTTTATGAGATTGTTACCATGTTACTATGTTGTGTGTAGATGAGCTAGCCTGTTTTTTAAATGTTACTTTAGTTCTGAGCATTTTTAAACTTAAATGTTTTTTGAATATTAATGAGTTCATGGTGTCCCATCACATGGAAGTACTGTAAATTCTGTTCCTTTATTTATGTTGTTTCTGGTTTATGCCATTACAAATTCTAGGACACTGTCCTAGTTTTGTAGGGTATTCAAAATATTCAGTTTATGCTCTTACCACTAGTATCTGATAGTGCCATTTTCGCACTTTTGCTAATGCTGACTTACTAGTTTATAAAATCCTTTGCCAATTTGTAGGAACAAAAGTTATATCAATTTTTAAGTTTTTTTAATACTAGTCATGCTCAACAATTCATGCAAATGGCAGTTGGTAGTTTTGCCATCTTCAACGTGGGTACCTTCCAGTTGTTTGGTTTCTTGGTAAAACTCACACAAAACAGATGGAGAAGAGTTTTTGTATATCAACATGAATGTTAATGTGATTTTTTTAAAGCCAACGAACACATTTGTGTTCCTTGTGAGATCCTGTGCATGAATTTGTCAGGTAATTTTTTTGACTTGAACATTCTCATAATAGCTTCAATTTGCACAATGCAACCTTGTCATTTTGCAGATTTTCAAGGCTCACTTCAAAAACATGTTCCTTGAGGCCTATTAACATTTCTTTCCTAAATTGTCTATTCATATGGTGCTTTAAAAAATTAGATTACTTTTAGTATATTTATTAGAGCCTCACAGTTTAGAGTCAGTAGTCAATTAAAGTCCCTACTTAAACTTCAGACTAAGATTTTTTTTTTATTTAATATTTTATTTTTTCTTTTTGCTTTCATGCAGACAGACATTTTGCAAGACTTTAAGATTCTTGGGCCATTTCTGTCAGGTTGTTCTGTGTTCTGTGCCTGCTTCCTCCCCATAGTAATTTCAAAATAGTTATCCTCACCTCTGTAAGGTTTCCAAAATCAAACTTGGGCTTCTGGCTAGCCTTTTCTAGGTCTTGATTTTTCAGTGCTTTCCAGAGGCAATTGTTTGGAACCTCTTCGCACAGTTTCTGTTTCTTCTTCCATGTACAGGCATAAAAGGTCTTTTGGTTGTTTTCTGGTAAAACTATCATAAAACAGTTCAAGCAAATGACTATTGGTAGTTTTGTCATTAACATGGGTGCCTTCTAGTCGTTTTGTTTCCTGGTAAAACAGACCAAACAGAGGGAGCAGACAGTTTGTACATCTGTATGAGTGTTGATGTGCTTTTTATTTTAAGCCAGGGAACACATTTTATGTTATTTATGACATCCTTTCCATGAATTTGTCAGGTGATTTTTGAGCTGAACATTCTCAGTAATAGCTTTAGTTTACAAAATACAACCTAGTCTTTCTGCAGATTTTCTAGGCCCACTTCAAATGCATTGACCATCAGATGGCATCTTGGTTCCTTACGTCCTTTCTGTGACTGAATGTCCATAATTCCACATCATACTGATCTTTCTTAGAAAAGGCAACAGTTACTTTCTCCTTTATTCCTTTTTTAATGCTTGTGAGGTAGTTCTTGTTGATCACAGCGATGCTATTCTCTTATTCTTCATGTCATATTTAGCAATTTTTTTCTAGTTTGTCATTTGATAATCTTGATTGGTATATTTTGATGTACAGAAATTTAAAATTTATGTAGTTAAATCTTTCTTTAATTTCTATTGCTTTTGTATTTATAGCTCTTGCCTAGATAGTCTTAACTGTAGTATAGACTTTAACAGTGTTTTCTTTCTTTTCTTTTTTTTTTTTTTAGTTGCAACTACTGGCCCTTCAGTATATTATAGTCAGTCACCAGCATATAATTCCCAGTATCTTCTCAGACCAGCAGCTAATGTTACTCCCACAAAGGTAACAAAGGAATAATTTATACATTTATAATTATTTTCTTTTTAAATTGTTTAGGGTTCCTTCAAATAAATTCAAGAGAGCAGTTCACTATTAAAACTTTTATGTCCCTTAAAATGTAGATATTTTAAATTTATCTCCAAATACAGAAATTATCCTTCTTAGTCACCTTATTTTTGTGTTAATAAGTGTGAATATTTAGAATATTTTAAAAATGGGAGTGGTGGTGGTGGATCCTTCATCGTTCTGTTTTAACAGAAATAGAACTGTAATGCCCTTGCTGACCCACTATGTGGTAAGTACTTTCAGGCCTGATACAGCTATATATATAACAATTGATTGAAGACTCAATATTACAGTGGTAGTTGAATGTGACAGCTTTGAGGACAGAGTGTTGGGGTGCATTTAGACCCTTGTTCTTCTGCTTATTTTGACCACAGGCAAGTTTCTTAACCTCTCAATGCATCAGTTGCCTCATATGTGAAATGAGGGTAATAATAATACCTTAATTCATAGGGTTTTTGAGGATATTAAAATGAGATAATAATGTAAAGTGCTTAGAACAGTGCCCAGCTGACACATTAATAAATGCTCAATAAATGTTATCATCATCATCATCATCATTATTGTTAACATCATTTGATAAATTGTTTAGGAATGAAGAAGGTATTTATTTCATGACTATTTTGGGCATGTGGATCAAGAAAATTCACCTTCATTTATGTTTCAGGGTTCTTCTAATACAGAATTTAAGTCAACCAAAGAAGGATTTTCCATCGCTGTGTCTGCTGATGGATTTAAATTTGGCATTTCGGAACCAGGAAATCAAGAAAAGAAAAGTGAAAAGCCTCTTGAAAATGATACTGGCTTCCAGGCTCAGGATATTAGTGGCCAGAAGAATGGCCGTGGTGTGATTTTTGGCCAAACAAGTAGCACTTTTACATTTGCAGATGTTGCAAAATCAACTTCAGGAGAAGGATTTCAGTTTGGCAAAAAAGACCCCAATTTCAAGGGATTTTCAGGTGCTGGAGAAAAATTATTCTCATCACAATGCGGTAAAATGGCCAATAAAGCAAACACTTCCGGTGACTTTGAGAAAGATGATGATGCCTGTAAGACTGAGGACAGCGATGACATCCATTTTGAACCAGTAGTTCAAATGCCTGAAAAAGTAGAACTTGTAACAGGAGAAGAAGGTGAAAAAGTTCTGTATTCACAGGGGGTAAAACTATTTAGATTTGATGCTGAGATAAGTCAGTGGAAAGAAAGGGGCTTGGGGAACTTAAAAATTCTCAAAAATGAGGTCAATGGCAAACCAAGAATGCTGATGCGAAGAGACCAAGTACTAAAAGTGTGTGCTAATCATTGGATAACAACTACAATGAACCTGAAGCCCCTCTCTGGATCAGATAGAGCATGGATGTGGTTAGCCAGTGATTTCTCTGATGGTGATGCCAAACTAGAGCGGTTGGCAGCACAATTTAAAACACCAGAGCTGGCTGAAGAATTCAAGCAGAAATTTGAGGAATGCCAGCGGCTTCTGTTAGACATACCACTTCAAACTCCCCATAAACTTGTAGATACTGGCAGAGCTGCCAAGCTAATACAGAGAGCTGAAGAAATGAAGAGTGGACTGAAAGATTTCAAAACGTTTTTGACAAATGATCAAACAAAAGTCACTGAGGAAGAAAATAAGGGTTCAGGTACAGGTGCAGCCGGTGCCTCAGACACAACAATAAAACCCAATCCTGAAAACACTGGGCCCACATTAGAATGGGATAACTATGATTTAAGGGAAGATGCTTTGGATGATAATGTTAGTAGTAGCTCAGTACATGATTCTCCGTTGGCAAGTAGCCCTGTGAGAAAAAATATTTTCCGCTTTGATGAGTCAACAACAGGATTTAACTTCAGTTTTAAATCTGCTTTGAGTCTATCTAAGTCTCCTGCCAAGTTGAATCAGAGTGGGACTTCAGTTGGCACTGATGAAGAATCTGATGTTACTCAAGAAGAAGAGAGAGATGGACAGTACTTTGAACCTGTTGTTCCTTTACCTGATCTAGTTGAAGTATCCAGTGGTGAGGAAAATGAACAAGTTGTTTTTAGTCACAGGGCAGAACTCTACAGATATGATAAAGATGTTGGTCAATGGAAAGAAAGGGGCATTGGTGATATAAAGATTTTACAGAATTATGATAATAAGCAAGTTCGTATAGTGATGAGAAGGGACCAAGTATTAAAACTTTGTGCCAATCACAGAATAACTCCAGACATGAGTTTGCAAAATATGAAAGGGACAGAAAGAGTATGGGTGTGGACTGCATGTGATTTTGCAGATGGAGAAAGAAAAGTAGAGCATTTAGCTGTTCGTTTTAAACTACAGGATGTTGCAGACTCATTTAAGAAAATTTTTGATGAAGCAAAAACAGCCCAGGAAAAAGATTCTTTGATAACACCTCATGTTTCTCGGTCAAGCACTCCCAGAGAGTCACCATGTGGCAAAATTGCTGTAGCTGTATTAGAAGAAACCACAAGAGAGAGGACAGATGTTATTCAGGGTGATGATGTAGCAGATGCAGCTTCAGAAGTTGAAGTGTCTAGCACATCTGAAACAACAACAAAAGCAGTGGTTTCTCCTCCAAAGTTTGTATTTGGTTCAGAGTCTGTTAAAAGAATTTTTAGTAGTGAAAAATCAAACCCATTTGCATTTGGCAACAGTTCTGCCACTGGGTCTTTGTTTGGATTTAGTTTTAATGCACCTTTGAAAAGTAACGATAGTGAAACTAGTTCAGTAGCCCAGAGTGGATCTGAAAGCAAAGTGGAACCTAAAAAATGTGAACTGTCAAAGAACTCTGATATCGAACAGTCTTCAGATAGCAAAGTCAAAAATCTCTCTGCTTCCTTTCCAATGGAAGAATCTTCAATCAACTACACATTTAAAACACCAGAAAAGGGTAGGTACTTTGTTGTTAAAGTTAAGCACAATTTTTCTTTCTTTTAATGTTTAGCTTGATGCAGACTCTTTGTGGGATACTAATGTTGGGATATAAACGATGCTTTGTGAACACCCCCAAAATATTTGAGCAATTTTTTTTCTCCCTTAATAAGTTCACGGTGAGGTTTCAAAGAGCAAGAGAACTTAGTTAAAGACATTTCAGTAACTGGAAGATACTTCTATCATGCTAGGGCAGAGCAAAAGAACTTGGTACAGTGTATGGACTCATGCTTGAATCATGCGCATTAACGTGAGTCTTTTTTTAAAGTGTTCATTTTCATTTGTTCTGTTTCTTTTGTCACTCAGAAAACATGATATTGAGGCTGGGCACGGTGGCTCACTCCTAGAATGCCAGCACTTTGGGAGGTTGAGGTGGGCAGATCACTTGAGCTCAGGAGTTCGAGACCAGCCTGGCCAACGTGGTGAAACCCTGTTTCTACTGAAAATACAAAAATGAGCCGGGCGTGGTGGTGCGTGCCTATAATTAGCAGCTACTCAGGAGGTTGAGGCAGGTGGATCGCTTGAGCACAGGAGATGGAGGTAGCAGTGAGCTGAAGTCATGCCACTGCACTCCAGCCTGACTGAGTGAGACTTTGTCTCCAAAAAAAAAAAAAAAAAACAAAAAAACAAAAAAAACCATGATATTGAGATGTTCTCATTTTATGTGTTGTATGTCAGTCTTGCTCATGTATTAAATGAGCAAAGAATGAAACTACAGGGATAAATGAATATGTAAGACAGTCAGATTGGTGGTATAAATTGAGGGATTCTGGCTTTTTATGTTTTAAAAGCATATTCATTTTGTTTCCTAAAATGTTAAAAAATGAAATATTCTTTATTTTCTAGGATTTAATTTTAGCCTTTTTAAATCTAATCCCATGGCCTTTTGGACTAGCACCCCTTCCTCACAGCCTGAGAGCAAAGGTATAGAACTAGCATTCTCAGTATGAGATAACAGCAGTTTTTAGCAGCTGGTAGCCCTTAGGAAAGTATTAATAACTGTGGCTGTATGAAATGAAGTACTTACCACTACAACATGAATGTTAAAGAATGCCAGTTTAAGCAAAGTACCTTTTGACTGGTGGCATGACACCCTTGTTGGTTTGTTTTTTAAAATGTACTGGGATGCTGATTTGTAATGTACTTCATTGCTCTGCTATTTCAGGTCTGCTCAGTGAAGACCTATGTTTTATCTAATGTTTATCTTTAGCCACTAACGTCTGCCAGTATTCACATGTAGTGGCAACGGCATGTATACAGTATGGAAGAGTGTCCCTGTAGGGCTGTTCTTTTGTGCATGGTTTAGAAAAATGTTGTATTTGAAAATGGACCCCATTTTTAACAGCCAGCATTCTACAGCTTGCATATTATATATGTTGCACAGATCATTTTTAGAAGTGTGGCTACTAGAGTGGAACAAGAAGTGGGATCTGTTGAAGGCCTTCAAGAACAGGTTAGGGAAGTGAAACCTCACCCTTAGTGACCAGTAACACATCTTAGCCATGCCAAACAAGTACAATGATAAAATAACAATCTCTGATTTTTTTTTGAGTATACCAGTTTTATTACCAGCTAAGGTAGCTCTTAATCTTTTATTTTAAAGATACGGTCTTTGAGAAATGTGAAAAGTGTTAACTTAAAAGTGGATGTATACTTGCGTACAGTTTCTGTGAGCTCTAGGTTAGGAATCCCTGACCTAAGAACGAATGTGCCTATACACTACTGTAGAACATAGAGCCTTATTCTGTTTTGAATCTGATAATGTCATTGTCCCAAGGGACCTTAGAAATGAAGACTTTAGACATGAGTAAACTGAGGCCAAGAGAGGCTATCTGATTTACCCAAGAGGTCTTTACTGAGTAATAGCAGAAGTGGAACAAGAATCTGTATCTTACGGTGTACTGTTATTTCTCCTAGCTAGGAAATGATACTAGGTTTTCGTTTATAATGAAGGAGAGGGACAAATTTAACATTGTAAAAGGAAGGGCACTGGTTCTGCAGAGCAGTGTCATCCAATAGAAATAAAATATAACCTGTGTATGTAATTTAAAATTGTCATTTGGTGCAATGGCTTGTGCCTATAATCCCAGTTACTTGGGAGGCTGAGGCAGAGGGATCACTTGAGCCCACAAGTTCCAGGCTTCAGTGAACTATGATCACATCACTGCACTCCAGCTCTGGGTGACAAAGCAAGACCGCATCTCAAATAAATACATAAATAAATAAATTTTCTAGTAGCCATATTAAAAAGAATAAAAAGAAACAGTTAAAAAGGGAAACAGATGAAAGTAACTTTATCGATAGATTTGATTTAACTCATTATGTCCAAAATATCATTTTAACTTCTAATTAATATAAAAATTAATGATATTTTACATTATTGTTTTTCACCAAGTCTTCAAAATCCAGTGTGTGTGTTTACACTTACTGTTAGCATGTCTTGATTTGGACTAGCCACCTTGTGAGGTTTTAATAGAATGTGGCTAGGCTACCATATTGGACACCATAGCTCTCAGAATGTTTCCCTGTCACCAGTTGGTATACATGGCATGCTTCATAACTGGCTTACTTTATTAAACTCCTTTAGCCAGAAGTTGTTCTTTACATTAATAGATCAGAACAGGTTGCATATAGAAGTTTTTTCTGTTTCTAATTTTTTGCCCTTTGCATTGATGGTGGCTGGGGATGGGTTGTTTTCAGCCATATGAATGGTCTTAGATTTTATAGTGTTAGCTACCCATAGAGTAACAGTTTTTATTTAATTTTATCTAGTATCATGCTTGAACACAGGCAAACTAGATGCAACTCTAGTCACCTTCCATTCTTGGCAATTGTTAACTTTCCTTACAGGAACTAATCACAGTTGGCTTTGGATTAGTTTCATATGTATACTAATACTTGCTTATGTTTTAAGATTTTTTTCAATTGCTGCAAATGCATGGATATTTTGGTAAACTATTGTATGCTAAGTATAGTTAGGCAACACTTTAAAATTTTTAACCTTTTTAAATTCTAGAAATTTGTAGTAATTCTTTTCAATGACTATTAAGTAAACACAAGATTTTTTTGTTTTCTTTCGTTTTAAATAGATTCTGTGTTCACTTAGGGTTTTTGGTAGAAAACTAAATCAGGATGCTAATTCTAATTCATGATTATCGTACATCTCTGCATCAAAGTATATGTGTTTTTTATCAGTATGCTGTTTTAACCTATAGATAGGTTCCATGGTTTTTATTTTCAGGTAGAGTATTAACGTCAATACTTAATACCTTATCTTTGTCAATTTTTTTGACTGGTGTTACAGCAAAAGAGAAGAAAAAACCTGAAGATTCTCCCTCAGATAGTCTCGGTCTCCTGACCTCGTGATCCACCCGCCTCGGCCTCCCAAAGTGCTGGGATTACAGGCATGAGCCACTGCGCCTGGCTGACACATGTCTTAATTCTGGTATTCACCAGATTTGTTTCGTGTTCTCCGTTGTTAGTCATCAAATTTGTCTACTTTTTAAATAGAAACATTAGCTAGAGCAAGGAACTTAGAAACACTCAAGCAGCACTGAATGTGTAGAATTGCATAACCAATATAGCTTCTTTGCTTTCATATTTACAATTAGTTGGAGTTTTAGTTCAGCCGTACCCAGTATCTTCCATTCTGCTTCCAGGAAGAAATGGAAAAATGTCAGCCATGATGATGCAGTATTTTAGTAGCAAGTTGATGGTGTTTTGGTTTCCCATGGGAAATATTGTCACTGGAGCATTAGCAGCTATCGGTCACTTATTAGGGTAAAAAAGCAACTTCAGAAGAATTTAACATATGCCAAAGAATCAACAAAGGAAGTAATCAGCCAGGGCAAAGGTCGCACAAGAGATTGTAATCTAGCAATCAGCAGTGGAATAAGCAGTCAGCTTACCAGAAACCCAGGAAAATGCTTTAGAAAGGGCAGTCAGGACTAAGGCAATTTAATGAAATGCAAAATAAATGAAATCTGAAGTTTAAAAATCTAGATTACAATTCTGGTTTCTAACTCAGTTATGAGACCTTGGGCAAAGTCATTAAATTTCTCTGAACTTCAGATTTTTGGGAGTCAATAAACCAATACATGTCAAAGGGCCCGATAAACTTTACAGTTTAGACCAGGCGTGGTGTCTCACCCCTGCAATCTCAGCACTTTGGGAGGCCAAGGCGGGTGGATCACATGAGGCCAGGAGTTTGAGACCAGTCTGAACAACATGGTGAAATCCCATCTCTATTAAAAGTACAAAAATTATCTGGGCGGGATGGCATGCACCTGGAAGTCCCAGCTACTTGTGGGGCTGAGGTGGGAGGATGGCTTGAGCCTGGGAGGCAGAGGTTGCTGTGAGCCAAGATCGTGCCACTGCACTCCAACCTGTGTGACAGAGTGAGACCCTGTTTCAGAAAAAATATAGTTTATCAGCAAACAGGAAAGTCTTGCTAGGCAACGTAATTGATTAGTTCTGTGCCCTGGATTCTGGGCTCTTAACTGTATGAGCACTGTAGGTGTGAGCAGCAACAATTAAGAAGCTGCAGAGGTAAAGGTATAAGGGCAGTGATTGAGGATGTCTACCAAGCAGATTTCGGCAAGTGTGTTTCAAGAAGTATGCCGCAATCTGAAATACCTAATCCTGAAAAATTGCTAGAATCTAGTCTTTTAATTTTGGCCAGTATTTAGCAGTAGTTTGGCCCTCTACTCTAAATTAATAAAAAATAAGTAGTACTATATTATGAGCTGTGTTATCTAACAGTTTATCTTAGCTAGTAGCAATTAATTTATAGCTGCTATTAAAATGACTAACGTAGTTAAAAGTTTGATGACTAAGTTTTTTTTTGTTTGTTTGTTTGTTTTTTTGAGCTGGAGTCTCGCTCTGTCGCCAGGCTGGAGTGCAGTGGCATGATCTTGGCTCACTGCAACCTCCGCCTCCTGGCTTCCAGCAATTCTCTGCCTCAGCCTCCCCAGCAGCTGGGATTACAGGCACCTGCCACCGTGCCTGGCTAATTTTTGTATTTTTAGTAGAGATAGGGTTTCACCATCTTGGCCAGGCTGGTCTTGAACTTGCTGACCTCGTGATCCACCCACCTTAGCCTCCCAAACTGCTAGGATTACAGATTTGAGCCACCACGCCTGGCCTTGATGACTAAATTTTAGGAAATGTTTTAGCAATTCTTCATACACCTTTCACTTATAGTTACTTAATTCCTCTACTCTTATCATTTGATATTTTCATTTTATTGTGTATCTCTGTAAGGCCGAATCAATAGATTTTGAACAATCTCACACTTAACCTTTAAAAAAAATCTAATAGGCCCAGTTTCCTCTCAGCAATCTTTGAAGAACCTTCGAGAAAGGAGAAACACAGACCTCCCGCTTCTAGACATGCACACTGTAACCCGGGAAGAGGGAGAAGGCATGGAGACAACTGATTACGGAGTCTGTGTCTTCCGCCAGCACATACACACAGTCTTTAGAGCAGCTGCTTAATTCTCCCGAAACTAAACTTGGTCTGTTACTCTGTCTAAATATGTTCTTCTTCTTTAATTTCACTGTCTTATTTAATTACTATTACACTAAGGTACATATGCTTTTTTGGGCTGCTCCAATAAAATTTCTTTCAATATTCCACTACCTGTTTGTATTAGGGTTCTCTAGAGGGACAGAGCTAATTGGATGGTTGGATGGATGGATGAGATGGATGGATGGATGCTTATTAAGTATTACCTTACACGATCACTAGGCCATCTGCAGACTGAGGAGCAACGAGAGCCAGTCCAAGTTCCAAAACTGAAGAACTAGGAGTCTGATGTTCAAGGGCAGGAAGCATCCAGCACAGGAGAAAGATGTAGGTTGGGAGGCTAGGCCAGTCTCGCCTTTTCAGGTTTTTCTGCCTGCTTTATATTCGCTGGCAGCTGATTAGATGGCACCTACCAGGTTAAGGGTGGGTCTGCCTTCCCCAGCCCACTGACTCAAATGTTAATCTCCTTTGGCAACACCCTCACAGACAACACTCAGGATTAATACTTTGCATCCTTTAATCCAATCAAGTTGACACCCAGTATTAACCATCACACTGTCCAAATGGAAAAATTATTAAACAAATCTTTTTTAAAATAAAATGCTAGCTCTTGCCCTAGGCTTGAACCATAAATAAGTGGTGGGAAGTTTATAGTCACAAATAGGTGGTGGGTATTAGAAAGCAGGATAAACTATCCTCTCACCCTTCCAAGAAACTGACAGTTTCAGTTTATTCCTCTTGATGAAGTAATGCTAAATTTTTGTAGTGATGTTTTGGTATATTTTATTACCTGTAATTAATATTACTGTTCAAAATTTAGGGGGAATCTGTCATCTTCCTGAAACTTCAGAATCACCTGGAGTAAGGGTCATTTGTATTCATGGTCACTGACCACATGGGGTAGAAACTGCAAGTCATGGTTCCTTCAGGCAAAGTTAATAGTGGTGACACGGAGGCATCATGATAGAGCAGCAGACTCCAGAAGCCAATTTGACTTTGTGATTTCTGAAAAAATTACCTGTCAACTGTGAGCCTGTTTCATTGTCTGTAAAGTTTGAATAATGATACCTACCCCGCCTGATAGAAGATTCTTATGAGGGAACATGATACGTGACCAGTAAATGTTAATGCTTTCCTTATACGTGAAATGACATAAAATCTTGGAATATTAATAGATGGGAAGAAGATGTGTAATAAAACTGTCTATAAACACAATTCTGACAAATTTCAGAACTGGGACTCATAGGGCTTGTATTCAGTTAGATTACATGCTTTACAACAGAGATACTGTTTTATTTGTGTCACCTACAACATATAATCTGTTGATTGAGGTATGTTGAATAGATGAATGGCAAAGAAAGCAGACCTATAAAATATCACATAGTAAGATATTTATATTTAGATTTTTCTTATTTAGAATCTTCATCTGTAATGTATGATTTTGAAAATTAATTCTTGGAACAACATGTTGCAGAGCCTCCATTATGGCATGCTGAATTTACCAAAGAAGAATTGGTTCAGAAGCTCAGTTCCACCACAAAAAGTGCAGATCAGTTAAACGGCCTGCTTCGGGAAACAGAGGCAACCAGTGCAGTCCTTATGGAGCAAATTAAGGTGAGATCAGAAACCTGGCCACTGTGAAAACCGCCAGTTTGGTTTTCTGGACCCTCCATACACATGCACCCAAGTTTAAAAATTCACATTGCAGATGCATCTATAACGTCTTGATCTTTATATTAGATTATTAGATTCCTGATGGTGAGAAATAAATATTGCCTTTTTTTTTTTTTTTTTTTTTTTTTTTTGAGACAGTCTTGCTCTGTCACCCAGGCTGGAGTGCAGTGGCACGATCTCGGCTCACTGCAAGCTCCACCTCCCAGGTTCACGCCATTCTCCTGCCTCAGCCTCCCGAGTAGCTGGGACTACAGGTGCCCGCCAACATGCCTGGCTAATTTCTTTGTATTTTTAGTAGAGACAGGGTTTACCATGTTAGCCAGGATGGTCTCGATCTCCTGACCTCGTGATCCACCTGCCTTGGCCTCCCAAAGTGTGGGTATTACAGGCAAGAGCCACCGCATCCAGCCAAAATACTTCTTTTACACCTATTACATAAAGATTATTTCTTAATTCCTACTTTTCCTAAGAAACCGTAATAGATTTAGAAACTAGAGAGATGTTCACAAATCATTGTTCACATATGCTTAAATAAAAAATGGGTGTGAGTCTTTGAATTCTAAAGATAACCAGTGAATTTAAATTATTCAACTGATATTTATAGTACTGAACTACTAAACAGTTTTCAGGTGGAGATGGCAAAGTGGCATGGGAAGTTTTTCCTGTTTAAAGTAGACACCAGAAACATCTAGGAATGTTGCAGAACAGTTGAGGATTACTCAAATGAGGTATTTCCACCCTGGCTCACTGATAAATCACCCCTCAGAATATAGTCATACTGCTTATTGAGGAGTTCTTATGACCCAGGCCCTGGGCTCTACATACATTATTTAATCTCATCACTGGTTGAGAGAAAAATTGAAGCTGGTAAATGGTGGAACAAAATTCAAACTCATAGCTGTCTGAAAAGTACATGCTTTTCCCCTGTACTTTGCTGTTCCTAGTAGATCTGTCCTGCCACTGTGCAAGGCCACTAGCTATCCTTGTCAGATTATTTTAAAGCCGAATTCAGTTATTTTCAGTAAATTGTATATATCATGACATTCCACCATTAAATACTTCAGTATGCATCTCTATAAAATAGCATTTTCCCACTAATAAAAACATTATCATAGCTAACAAATCACTAACTAGCCCAGTAAACCTAAATGACTTATTTAAATGTTATATTTTCTTTTTTTTTTTTTTTTGAGATAGTCTTGCTCTGTCACCAGGTTTGGAGTGCAGTGGTGCAATCTCAGCTCACTGCAATCTCCGCCTCCCAGGTTCAAGCGATTCCCCTGCCTCAGCCTCCCGAGTAGCTGGGACTGCAGGCACGCACCACCATGCCCGGCTAATTTTTTTTATTTTACTAGAGACACGGTTTCACCATGTTGGCCAGGACGGTCTGAATCTCCTGACCTCATGATCTGCCTGCCTCAGCCTCCCAAAGTGTTGGGATTACAGGCATGAGCCACCACGCCTGGCCAAATGTTATATTTTCATAAATTTATACTCTCTTCATGATTTCTTTGTCTTCTTTATTGTCACTTTTTTAAATGGTCCTAGGTTTGAGGACAAAGTTCGCTAACTTTCTTGCCTAACCTAAAATGAAAATATACTAAAAGCTATGGCTTGGTTTCAACCTGGAAATCTTCCTCAAAGACTTGAACATGATACTACCTTTTTTATATCGTTCTTTGCCTCATTTCTCTGATAGTGTTTTACATTGTCTTATATTCCTGAATTTTCACTGTGTCTGAACTTTTTAAGTGCCGTTCACTGTGGACGTCTTAACTGCCTGGGACTTCAGGAACAGCGTAGGGGCAGGGGGTTAGTGGAGGCTACCGATGTTCCCCTCAGCCCATTTTCAGAGCCCCATGCCATACTGGCTTAGTTTCTATCAAAAGTAGAAGGCAGAGGGAACATCTTGGTACCAACCCATGGCTCCAGTTAGTTGCTCCTCATGGAGACGTTCCATCAGTTCCCCAGCTTTCAACTCCATTTCCATGATACCCTGTGCTTCTGAGACAAGAACTCCAGTATTTACACAGGATGCATCCTCTCCTCTTGTCAGTGATACTTGGTAAGCTGCTGGACTGACTCATTTCCACCTCTTCATCTGTTTCTCGTGAGAATGTCTTGACGTTATCTCATCTACTTTTTCTCCTCTTGTATTAGCTTGTTGCTTTTCTACTTCACCCCTCTTCCTTCCAACCCCAAATAGCTTAGGACAATGGAGTCATATAGCCCAACACTTGGTTCATATGCAGCAATCCACTTTCTAGGCAAATGCAGCTTTGAAACTATCTCATAGTTGGAGTTCCGGTTTTCATGTCAAATGGATTTTATACGGTGATGTCATAAACTCCTTTGAAATGCTTCACATGCAGCTGCTGTAGTTAACTGAATTCCTTCCTTTATTGCCATATGGAGGGAAGGGGGAAATTTGGGGGGAAGAGAAGAAAAATACATGAGTTCAGTCTGCCATATTTAATCAGAAGCTCCTAAAGCCCATTTTTAACTCATTTCTCTAACACCAGCTTCTCAAAAGTGAAATAAGAAGATTGGAAAGGAATCAAGAGGAGTCTGCAGCTAACGTGGAACACTTGAAGAACGTCTTGCTGCAGTTCATTTTCTTGAAGCCAGGTAGTGAGAGAGAGAGCCTTCTTCCTGTTATAAATACGATGTTGCAGCTCAGCCCTGAAGAAAAGGGAAAACTTGCTGCGGTTGCTCAAGGTGGGTAAAAGGAGAGTCTCAGAACTTCTGACTTCTAACTTAAACTAAACAGCCTGGTGGTTGAGAAGTTGTCTGTATGTGTAACTTTTCAATTTTGCTCATTTGAATTGGGTCTGTCATATGAGTAGGCCGTGACTAGATTTGAAAAGCTGACTTTTTAACATCTTGAGGCAACTGTAGTACATTTATATAATTTTAACATTCAGCAAAATACAATAAGTGCTTAGCTTGATCTTCTAGCTCTTTGAAAATTGGATTTTTATCCTGGTGTTGAGTTCTGGTGTTCAGCTGAACGTGGTTTTGTTTTAAATTCTACTTTTTAAAAAACATTTATTAGCTTGTTCCTTTTCTACTTCACCCCTCTTCCTTCCTCCAACCCCAAATAGCCTAAGACAATGGAGTCATATAGCCCAACACTTGGTCTATATACAGCAGTCCACTTTCTAGGCAAATGCAGTTTTAAAACTGTGCCATAGGCCAGGCACTGGTGGTTCATGCCTATAATCCCACCACTTTGGGAGGCCGAGGCAGGCGGATCACAAGATCAAGATACTGAGACTATCCTGGCCAACATGGTGAAATCTCGTCTCTACTAAAAATACAAAAATTAGCTGGACGTGGTGGCATGTGCCTGTAGTCCCAGCTACTCAGGAGGCTGAGGCAGGAGAGTCGCTTGAACTCACGAGGTGGAGGTTGCAGTGATCTGTCACGCCACTGTACTCCAGCCTGACGGCAGAGCGAGACTCCCATCTCAAAAAAAAAAAAAAAAAAAAAAAAAAAAAAAAAAAAAAAAAAAAAAAAAAAAACTATGATGTAGTTAGAGTTGGTTTCCATGTCAGATGGATTTAATACTGTGATGTCATTAACTTCTTTGAAATGCTTCATATACAACTGCTATAGTTAACTGAATTCAAGCTGCATCTTAAGAATTATGGTTTCATTTTTGTTTTAGTTTTAAATTACTTTTATTTTTGACATTTACAAGCACAAGGAAGACGCTATAATCTCTCTTGAGTTGTCACCCATCTCTAACGGTTTTCAACTCATGGACAATCTTTTGGCGTAAATAGGGGAGAGTTAGAGACTTAAATCCCACACATCATTTCTTTCCCCAGTGAATAATTCAATGTTTATTGGATTTCTCTGTCACCTATACCTAGTTTATGTTCATTTTGCCTGTGTTATTGTGAATGTCTTTTTATAGTATCCTAAATAGGGCTCATATATTGCATTTGGTTGATGTTCCTTAAGCTTTATTTTGTTGTTGTGTTTTTGTTTGTTTGAGACGTAGTGTTGCTCTGTCACCCTGGCTGGAGTGCAGTGGTCCGATCATGGCTCACTGCAACCTCCGCCTCCCGGATTCAAGCGATTCTCCTGCGTCAGCCTCCCAAGTAGCTGGGACTACAGATGCACGCCAGCTAATTTTTCTATTTTTAGTAGAGACGAGGTTTCACCATGTTGGCCAGGATGGTCTCAATCTCCTGACCTTGTCATCTGCCCGCCTTGGCCTCCCAAAGTGCTGGGATTACAGGTGTGAGCCACCACGCCCGGCCATTTTGTTTTTTTTATCTATAACAATTACATATATAAATATATTTTTAATGTGCCACTTATTAATTGAAGAAAGTGGTCATTTATGCTATAGCAGTCCTATATTTGGTTTTTAATCATTACAGGGTAACACTGAGCTTGTTCTAATTGCCTATAAATAGGAAGATCCAGGTGCAATTGGGTGGGATGGTGGACAAAAATACACCATAGATGGTATTGTGTGCTTTCTAAGACATCAGGAGGCCCAGAATGTCCAGACATCTTACTTTTGACTGATTGACCTTATCTAGTTGGTGCTCTTTAACATGTTCCCCATCCCCTGTAAATCCTAATAACTAAACTGATAAGAGTCATCCTCAAAATTGAGCAGGCATCTGAATCATCTGGTATACTTACTAAAATTCCAATTGCTGGTCCCCAATTTCTGACCCAAGATTCTGCATTTTTAGCAATTCGTTGCTGATACTTCTGGTCTGGGGCCCATACCTTGAGAATCCCTGGTCTAGAGGCCTGATAAGATTCAGGCTTAATTTTTTTTACAGACATACTTCATAAGTAGTATTGATAGTTTCTTTGAATCTGGTTTTTAATAATCTTTCTAATGATGAAGGAGGAATGTTCTCAATACTGACAGTAATCTCAGTTCTTCAAACTATAGGATAGGTTTCTATAGCCACAATAGTATTTTTGTCACAAGGGCCCAAATAAGAATACATCATGTATATTTTTAGTAGTTATTCAAATTACAGGTTCACTGTCTTTAATTTATTCTAACAAAAGTAAACCTAATTTTATAGTTATAAAAAAGAAGAAATCTACTTCTAGTCACCTAAGAGTAAAACTGCCCCTATAAAAAACAAGACAGAAATCTCAAAATTATAACTAATTTTATAGTTATAAAATTAACCAGGACTTTAAGAATGTTTGCATTTTAAAATTAAAGTTTTCAATACAACAATGATATTATCTCAAAATACTCAGCATGTCTAACAGGTCTCTTTTAAAAGCTCAGCATGTTTAATGTAGACGTTGCTAACGTCCAGGTGGCTCCTATAAGTTAAGGGTCCATTGATTTAGAAGTTCTAAAAGAGACTAACCTAAGGGATACCAAGAACAGATATTTTTAAAGAATTTCATAGAGGAGATACACATTAGAAACCCAGAACTCTAAGATGTGCATTTGGTAAGTCCTGTAAACAGACAGGAAAACACATTTAAATTAGTTTGCCCTTTAAAGATTATTTCCTACTTGTCTCTTATCAATGTGAGTACATAAAAGAGACCTTATTACAATTAAAAACTGATGGTTTAGCAGCAGATTTAGATACCTTACATTTTCTCTTTAAGAGAGAGAATGTAAGGCCTGGCACGGTGGCTCACACCTGTAATCCAGCACTTTGGGAGGCTGAGGAGGGTAGATCACCTGAGGTCAGGAGTTCGAGACCAGCCTGGCCAACATGGTGAAACCCCGTCTCTACTCAGAATACAAAAATTAGCTGGGCGTGGTGGTGCATGCCTGTAATCCCAGCTACTTGGGAGGCTGAGGTAGGAGAACTGCTTGAACCCAGGAGGCAGAGGTTGCAGTGAGCCAAGATGGTGCCATTGCACTCCAGCCCGAGCAACAAGAGCAAAACTCTTATCTCAAAAAAAAAAAAAAAAAAAAAAAAATGTAAACTACAAGATAGTTCAAAAGAAATTACACAGAATTCAGCATGGGAGAAACAAAAAACAAGAGTGGGAAAAGACATCAAACATGTTTTTACTAATCGAAGTTCTAAAAGGAGAGACAAGAATACAGCACAGATAATATATGAAGAGAATGGCTGGAAATCTTTCAGAACTGTTGAAGGATATCTATCCACAGATTCAAAAACCCAATAAAATCTCAAGCAATATTAAAAAAAAAAGAAGAAATCTACTTCTAGTCACATAAGAGTAAAACTGCCCCTAAAAAAGACAGAGAGAAATCTCAAAAGCAGCCAGAGAAAGAAGACACATTGCCTCACAATAGACTTCTCAACAGCATTGGTGTAATACTATCTCATGTACTAAAAGAAATAACTGCCAACCTTTTATATTTTCCAAGATCTCTTCTGGAAAACAAAAACTTTAAGAATCTGCCTTCACTGAAAATTCTTAATGATGTACTTCAAGCAAAAAGAAAATTTCCTAGGTAAAAGTTCTAAGATGCCAGAAAGAAAGACATGCAAAGGAAACTTACCACCATATTACAGATATGGACTGTCAGTCTGACTGGTCACACTAGGGGCATTTGGTTACCAAGGCCTTGAAAATAATAACCAACACTGCATACATGAGGGATGCCAGAAGAAAGGTCTGAGAGCCACTCTTCCTGGCACTGAAGGAAACAGGGCCCATCAGAGCAAACAAGTACCTTTTACCTCTCTCCTTGGAAGCAAATGTTTATAATCTCTGGTTTTGTGTAAAGTTTATAACAGTATTTTTCATTCAGGTTGCTACCTATTAGTGGATGGTGAAATTAATTTGGTGGATCACATTCAGAATATTTTTTTAAAATCAAAAGAATACAAGCTGGGGTCAGTGACTCACAGCTGTAAGCCCAAAAGTTTGGGAAGACCAGGCAGGAGGATTGCTTGAGAACAGGAGTTCAGAATCAGCGTGGGCAACATGGCGAGACCCTATGTCTACAAAAATTTTAAAATATACCAGATCTGGTGGCATGTGCCCATAGTCCTAGCTACTCGGGAGGCTAAGGCAGCAGGATTCTTTGTTATAAGGAGTTTGAGGCTGCAGTCAAACTTCTGGTCGAAATCCTGGTCATGCCACTGCATTTCAGCCTGGGCAACAGAGTAAAACCCCATCTTTAAAAAAAAAATTAAGAAATAAAAATAATATGTGAAACATTAGAATATGTTGAATCTAGTAAGGATAAGCAATTATTTCTTGAAACTCTACATATATACATGAGTGTTGGTAAATACCTGACTGTATCATCAGCTCTAGATATAAAATGTTTATGATGTTGGCTGTGAGTTAATGAGGAATAGTTTTCCTTTCTGTGGGTTTGGGTGTATTTGGGAAACATTAGCTAAGGGGGTAAAGTAGGTTACCCAACTCTGAAAAGCAGCATCAAAATCTTTATAATAAACACATACTAGGGGCCCAACTTAAATTTCAAGCAGATGTCATGAGCTGCTCAGAGTAGCATGTTACAACTCTGCGTTATAAGGTAAAATGACACATTGCCTCACAATAGCCTGCCAGATCTGAGAACACAGCAAAATTTTTATTTTGTCAAAAATCTCATATTCAGCTTACACCATTCATTTCAGGTGAACATACAACAGTGCATTTCAGTTTAGGGAAATGTTTACAGTCATCTGGTTCTCTTTATTCCTGGGAACAAGGTTACCTCACTTGGAACACATAACCAGTGCCAAGTTGTCCATCCCTAAGCAATATTGCTTCCTTCTACTTTCTAGAAGTTCTTCAGATTGTGGAAGAGAAACTTTTCAGAGTTCTTTGCCCTCATTCCCTCCTCCAGAAATTCATGCCTTTGTATAATCTCTTCCCCCTGAGAGCCAGTAGGCTAACCTAATGAGTTATTTTTAACCAGTAGAATACAGCAAAAATGATAGATTACAAGAGATTGTGGCTTCTATCTTGCTAGCGGACTCTCTCTGTCTTCTCTGCTTGCACACTTTGTTGAAGCAAGCTACCATCCCAGAGGCAAGGAACACAGGCCATCAGTTTAGCAGCCTTGAGGAACTAAATTCTTCCAACTACCACATAAGTTTGGAAGTAGATTCTTCTCCAGTCCAGCCTTCAGATGAGACCCCAGCCATGCCAACATCTTGATTGCAGCCCTGTGAGAGACCTTGAAATAGAACCATTTCTGATCTCCTGACCCACAGAAACTGTGAAATAAATATGTGTTAAGGTACTAAGTTTGTAGTAATTTGTTACACAGCAGATTGTAAATAACACGTAGATAAAACCAGACAGAACAGAAAAATAAAATGGCTTTAAACCTAGAAAGTTTCCCCATGTAAAATTTTGAAAATGCTACTCTGCCTAAGGTCAAACCGTCATACATATATACGTATGAAAACACAGAAAGGTGTCTGGAAGGGTAATACCAAATTAAATCTTTATCCAAGAGGAATGAAAACCAGTATTCACACAAAAACCTATGCACAAACCTTGTGAATATATTAAAAACCAGTGACTTATGCACTTTAAAAAGGTGAATTATGTGGTATATGAATTATATCTCCAAAACATTTAATTAAAAACCTGTACACAATTATTCATAGAAACTTTCTTTAAAATTGCTAAAAACGAGGAAGATCTCAGTTATCCTTCAACTGGCAAATGAATAAACAAACTGGTACAGCCATGCAATTGAATACTGCTCAGCAATAAAAAAGAATGCACTGCCAGTACAGCAACATGGATAATTCTCAAATGCATTATGCCAGTTGACAGAGGTCAGACTCAAAATACTATGTACAGTGTGATTCTACTTATATGACACTGAAAAAAGCAGTACTATAAGGACAGAAAACAGGTTAGTGGTTGCCAAGGAGTGGGAGAAGCAGCCAGGGAGAACTTTGAGGAGGTAAAAATGTGCCAGGCCTTGGTCGGTGGTGGTACATAACTGTGCATTTGTCAAGACTCAGTGCTATACGCTGAAAAGGGCAGGTTTTACTATAAGTTGTACCTCAATAAACATGATTTTTAAATGATTAAAACTTTGGTTTTTGTTTGTTTTGGTTCAGTTTTAAGGTTTACCATAAATCTATTGGTTTTAGATTCTAAGTTGTATATAAGCTTCTGTTTTAAAAGAACTTTTTTAAAAATCCTCTTATCATCAACAATATTTAGTTGTGCTGGAAATTTTATTTTGGAATTGTTTAATAGAGAAAGACAATAAATAATGTTCAAGAACAGACATTGATTCATAACATCAAAGTATATTGTGAGAAGATGGTATTTCAGAATAGAGGAAGAATTTCTTATGTGCTGGTAAGATTGTAGATAATCATTTCTGCATAATTTTCATAGCTGGATTGCTTTAATAAAGCCACTTAAAGGTTAAGTTCTAGATTGCTTCATGTTGCTTATCAATGTTTTAAAGCTAAAATAGAAAATTAGCTGTTAAGTTGGCTCAACCGGAAATTCAGTATATCCTTTAAAAAGAGAAATTTAGTAAGCAGTGTGTCTAAAGAATGACATATGGTTGGGTACAGTGGCTCGTGACTGTAATCCCAACACTGTGAGGCTGAAGTGGGAGGATCACTTAAGCCCAGGAATTTGAGACCAGCCTGGAAAACAGCCCAGCCCAGCCCATGCCTGGCTAATTTTTTTTTTTTTTTTTGGATTTTAGTAGAGACAAGGTTTCACCATGTTGCCCAGCTGGTCTTGAACTCCTGAGTGCAGGCAATCCACCCACCTCACCCTCCCAAAGTGCTAGGATTACAGGTATTTGGTTTTTTGTTTGGTTTTCAAGCAACCTTTCTCAATTTTGCTATGCTCACTCTTTCTTCACATGTTGGTACTGGCTAGATACAGATTTTGCTTTCCTATTGGAGACTCTTTTGAGAGCTGGCTATTCCCTCTTGCTCCTTTTCTTTTTTCTCTTCCCTACTTTCAAGTTTCTTGCTCTTTTTCTTACCCCATAAGTTACCAGAAATTCATACCCCCTTGAGAGGGCTTTTTCTTTGAACTTCAGTCTTTAGTTTCATCAACTTTTCTAAGGAAATTGATCTGTTAATGAAAGTTGGCTTGCTTGACTTCAGAATATCTGTATTATTCAATGATGTGTTTTTCTGGTTGCTTTGTTTGAGCATAGTGTAAATATCACCCATTGCATAGCTATGGCAGTGACATAAATCTAGCAGCGTAAGATCGAGAAAAGCTAGAAGTCCCACCACAGATTGTATTTCAGTGAAAGGGATTCATTTTAACTGCTTATAAAACTAAAGAAAACTTATAAACATGGAAAACAATTATTAAACCCACCATATGCTCATACTGATATTAAATGGTGTGCCAGATTCTAGAAAGAGTTACCTTTTGGTAAGAGCACTGCTTGTTAACTATGGTTGGTTGCTTTAGATGTCTAGTGTGTACACAAAAGCATGAATTTTATTCCTTATAACCAAAGTAGAAACCTACTCTGAGCAATTTGACAAAAGGTTTACATTATTTATTTTAGTGTAGTTTAAGATTACAGTAAGATGCAATTCCCAAAGAGTGAAATATAAGGCTGGGCATGGTGGATCACGCCTGTAATCCTAACACTTTGGGAGGCTGAGGCAGGTGCATCACCTGAGATCAGGAGTTCGAGACCAGCCTGGCCAACATGACGAAACCCCATCTCTACTAAAAATACAACAATTAGCCAGATGTGGTGGTGCCCACCTGTAATCCCAGCTACTAGGGAGGCTGAGGCAGGAGAATCCCTTGAACCTGGGGGGGTGGAGGCTGGAGTGAGCTGAGATCATGCCATTGCACTCCAGCCTGGGCACACTCTCAAAAAAAAAAAAAGTGCAATATAACTTTTCACAAAATATGGAACTGTGGTAGTCTAGAACAATGTCTCAATATACCTCCTACACGAAGTATAATAGTAAATATCTGTATTTGGTGGCATAATATGCTCTTAGTATAAACCAAAAACACATGCTGAGCATTGGACATTGTCCAATGTTTAATTCATATGATTCATTCTGAGTTTCTGACTGAGATCATTCTTTCAGACTGTGTATTTCTCCTGGGATCCATAAAATATGCAGCCCTAACATGATTTCATTTTTGTTTCCTTTCCTGGAAAAGGAGAAATCATTCAGATCAGCTTTCATATTGCCTTATAGACGATGACTTCAAAATAGTTTTAAAGGGACTCCTTTGTTCTAGAACTGCTCTAACACAGTAGCCACTAGCCACATGTGGCTATTGAAAGATTGAAATGTGGTTATTCCAAATCAGGATGTACAGTAAATATAAAATACACACCAGATTTCAAAGGCTTACATGAAAAAAGTAATGTGAAATATCTCACTAGTAGTTTTTATAGTGATTACATGTTGAAATTTTAACATTGTGAACATATTAGTTTAAATAAAATGTATTGTGAAAATTAATTTCATGTTTCTATTTACTTTTGATAAAAGTACTACTAGAGGCTGGGTGTGGTGGCTCACTCCTGTAATCCCAGCACTTTGGGAGGCTGAGGTGGGAGGATCACGAGGTCAGGAGACCGAGACCATCCTGGCTAACACGGTGAAACCCCGTCTCTACTAAAAACACAAAAAATTAGCCAGGCGTGTTGGCAGGCGCCTGTAGTCCCAGCTACTAGGGAGGCTGAGGCAGGAGAATGGCGCGAACCCGGGAGGCGGAGCTTGCAGTGAGCTGAGATCGTGCCACTGCACTCCAGCCTGGGCTTCAGAGCGAGACTCCGTCTCAGAAAAAAAAACACTACTAGCACATTTTTAAATTACTTGTAGTGATCTCATTTGTAACACATTACATTTCAATCGTATACTGCTTTTCTAAAGAGTCACTGCTAAGCCCTGAAATTAACTCCAAATACCTCCCTGGGATACAGTGCCAAGGAAGGGGCTTCCTTGAACTTCAACCTCTAAAAGTAAGCAAGAATTGAGAAATATCTTCTGCTTTGAAAAATATTCACTCCCCAACGCTAATACATCAATTACATATTATTTGGGGGCTAACTAAGCTCCTATTTTAAAATGTAAACTGAAGAAATCAGGCCAGAGTCATTCCCATCTTAGTGCCAATCATATAATCAGATAATTAGATTGCTCTTTCCCTAAAGCCTGTTTAGTTTTTTTGTTTGCTGGTTTTGTTGTTGTTGGGTTTTTTAATTTGTTTTTGTTGTTGTTGTTGTTGTTGTTGTTTTGAGATGGATACTCACTGTGTCACCCAGGCTAGAGTGCAGCGGCATGATCTCTGCTCAGTGCAACCTCCAACTCCTGGGTTCAAGCGATTCTCCTGCCTCAGCCTCCTGAGTAGCTGGGACTGTAGGTGCATGCCACCACGCCCGTCTAATTTTTTTGTTTTTTGGTTTTTTTGTTTGTTTTGAGACAGTCTCGCTGTTTCCCAGGCTGGAGTGCAGTGGCACGATCTCGGCTCACTGCAACCTCCACTTCCGAGGTTCAAGCGATTCTCCTGCCTCAGCCTCCCAAGTAGCTGGGACTACAGGTGCATGGCATTATGCCTGGCTAATTTTTTGTATTTTTAGCAGAGATGGGGTTTCGCCATGTTGGCAAAACTGGTCTCAAACTTCTGGCCTCAGGTGATCCAGCCGTCTCAGATCAAAGTGCTGGGATTACAGGCATGAGCCACCACTCACAGCTCGCTAAGGCCTTTTGCCAAGACAAATTAGCTCTTAGAGAACCACAGGATTCCTTTTGTAATGTATTACAAACTAAAGTCTTACCTACTCTTGAAGAGTAGAAAACATGGAAAAGTTCTATGTTAGCCCTTAGAATAATTAAAAATTCATAAGCTCTGAAATAAAGACAGGTAATAAAATCATTGCGTATGACAAAACAAAAGTTTAAATTGGCGTTTGTAAACTCTGCATGAAAGCCAGGTTTCTCACTACTAGAAAAAAAGTTATAAATAAACCAAGGAGAATTCCAGAATGAATCCTGTGGTGCCAAATATATGTTAACTACAAGGAATAACAGTGACCTTACACTGGAAACACCTTAACCATGGGCCAAGGTTAAAGATATAACAGCATTCTCACACCCCTTGCATAGCTACCCCCAATGTTAACATAACTGTTAACAAATTATCAAAACTAAGAAATTCGTCTTGGTATAGTATCACTAACTAAACTCCAGACCTCAGTCAGGTTTTCCCAGTCTTTCCTTCAGTGTCCTTCCTCTGTTTCAGGATTCAATCCATGATCCTTGACACTTGGTACTTTGTCAGATGTCCCGCTGTATGGGTTTGTTTGATGTTTTCCCATGATTAGGGATAGACACTGCAAGACTCAGAGCTACTTTACAAAGAAGCCTCTAGGGAGCTCCCCAGAGAAGACAGGGGAGACAACACAAGGACACTAGAGGAAATTTTAGCCTCTGACATCCATGACTATATAGCAAAGAGTAAACAAAGCCTAACTCCTAGCCAGAGAAACACAAAATCTCATACTAAAGCCTTATTTAACTCAGTTCGTTTCACCCAGTACATCATATACAGCCTCAAACAAAAAATTACAAAGCATACTAAAAGACAAGAAACCCCACAGTTTGAAGAGACAGAGCAAGCATCAGAACCAGACTCAGATATGAAAGAAATATCGGAAGTATCCAACCAGGAATTTAAAATAACTAAGATTAACATGCTAGGGGCTCTAATGTAAAAATGGCATAACATGCAAGAACAGATGGGTAATGTAAGCAAAGAGATAAAAACACTAAGAAGAAATAAAGATGAAATACTAGAAATAAAAAACACCATAACAGAAATGAAGAATGCCTTTGATGGGTTCATCAAAAGAATGGATATGGCCAATGAAAGAATCAGTGAGCTCAAAGAGATGTCAATAGATACTTCAAAAGCTGACACACAATGAGAGAAAAGAATGAAAAAGAAAAAACAGAACAAGAGTCAAGAACTGTGAGACAATTACAAAAGGTGGAACATGGAGACTTTTTGGAAATACCAGAAAGAGAAGAAAAAGAGAAAGAAAGCCAGGCATGGTGGCTTACGCCTATAATGCCAGCAATTTGGGAGGCCGAGGCGGGCAGATCGCAAGGTCAGGAGATCGAGACCATCCTGGCTAACACGGTGAAACCCTGTCTCTACTAAAAATACAAAAAATTAGCGGGGCGTGGTGGCAGGCGCCTGTAGTCCCAGCTACTCGGGAGACTGAGGCAGGAGAATGGCATGAACCTGGGAGGAGGAGCTTGCAGTGAGCTGAGATCGTGCCACTGCACTCCAGCCTGGGCAACAGAGCAAGACTCTGTCTCAAAAAAAAAAAAAAAAAAGAGAAAGAAACAGAAGAAACATTTGAAGCAACAGTGACTGAAAATTCCCCCAAATTCATGATAGATAAAGCTATGGTCTGAATGTTTGTGTCTCCTCAAAAGTTATATTGAAACTTAATCCTCAATGTGATAGTACTGAGGTGGGGCTTTTGGGAGTCAATCAGGTTACGAGGGCTCTACCCTCAGGACAGAGATTAGTGCACTTATGAAAGAAGCCCCAGGGAATTAGCTAGCCCCTGACACCATGTGAGGACAAAGCCAGAATGTGTCATCTATGAGGAAGCAGGGCCTCACCAGACACTGCTAGTGCCTTGGTCTTGGACATCACAGCCCCTAGAACGGTGAGAAATAAATTTCTGTTGTTTATAAACTCTCCAGTTTATGATATTTTTGTCACAGCAGCCCAAATGAACTAAGGTAGACATAAAGGAACAGATCCAGGAAGCTCAAAATACATCATTTCAATAATGATCTTTAAAACTTTGTTTGAAATTATACTGATCATTCCGCTGACTGCTGAATGACCTGGCACCGTCTCAGGGTTTTAGTCTGGAGTTTTTGTTTATGCTCATGGCCTCACGGAGAACAATATTCACCTGAAGTGACGGCGCTTCTCTTTTTATGTTGTTGAGAAGCATGATTGGCTCTTTTTTTGCAAAATTATTCACAAACTTAAACTTTGATTCAGAATTATTGAAGTAACATGGTGAGGCAGAGTAATATGTGACTTAAATTTTATGGAGTACTAAGGAAAACGGGCAGACTTAATATAAAAGTGGTGCATTGGTGGTGCTTAAGGGCAAATACCGATAACATGGTGTACAAATAAAGGATCCCGATGATTCAAACAGGTGGAAGTGATGGGAGAACTGAGTTGTCACACAGTACCATATCCACACTGTCACACAAATCTCACCTTTATTTATTCCCTTTTGCACTAACGTAGCCAGAAATGTGAAACGATGACAGTTTTTTCAGTAGGTATTTTTTTTTTTTAGTTTTTATCATTGACCTTTGAGGTGCACTATTAAATTGCTCAGTCCATTAAAATAACGGATTGCTGATTTAAAAACTGGTTCCTTGCTTAGCTTCAGCAAAACAGCAAAGTCTACCACATTAAATGTATATTGTTTATTTGATTTTTATTGACTTTGTTGTCTTATTTTAACTACTTAATTGCAAATCTGTCTTGGGGTTAACACTGTGTAAGAGTTTTAAGCATAAGAAGTCTGTACTTAGAGTTTAGATGTAGTTTTATATTTGTACATGTTGATGTAACATTTTAATAATAATAATTCAGGTCTGCTGGGCATGGTGGCTCATGCCTGTAATCCCAGCACTTTGGGAGGCTGAGGCGGGCGGCTCACCTGAGGTCGAGAGTTCAAGACCAGCCTGACCAACATGGAGAAACCCTGTCTCTACTAAAAATGTAAAATTAGCCAGGCATGGTGGCACATGCATGTAATTCCAGCTACTTGGGAGGCTGAGGTAGGAGAATCGCTTGAACCCGGAGGCGGAGGTTGTGGTGAGCTGAGATCGCACCATTGCACTCTAGCCTGGGCAATGAGAGCAAAATTCTGTCTCAGAAAAAAAAAAAAAATCAGGTTAATTCTGGGATCTGAGCAAAGTTTTGCTCCTTTCCGAGAGGTGAACACGTTACGCAATTATTAATAATATCCCTGTGGGAAGGGGCTTTACAACAAATTATTTTACAGGTGAAGGGCAGAAATGAAAACATTTTCTAGAGCCACTCCTGCCCTTCACACTCAGGAATGTCGCAGTAGTCATCTCTCTGTTCTGGATCAGTAGTATAGCACCAGGGCCCCTGCGCATCGTTGTCTGGATTCCTCCAGTCCCTCTGAGGGGTGTGTAGCAGGTGAGAATCTGGGGAGGATGGAAGAGAAGCACTTAGACTATATTCTAAAAATCAGCTTGCTATTAGCAAGGCAGAAGGAGATGCTCTCGATTCCCATCTGAGATTGTCATCCAAATGCATTTCAGCTGGGTGCTGCAGCATTTGTGTGGTCAGATTTTCAATTTCTCTATTGATAGGCTGCTTCTGGCACAGTAGCTAATATTACCATTGCTACTGTGACAGCCAAGTCTTAGACAGAGAGCCAAAATATTTTTATTGCACAGTCAGGAGAAATATAAAGGCCTCAAAAGCCTGCCATGGTCTTAATTCATTCCAAACACCTGCTTTTGTCAGTTGCCCTTTTCTCTGTAAAAATTTTCGTAGTTAACACCATTTTGTCCATGTGAACTATGTGCCAGGAATTCCACTAACATCTTTCCACACATTCTCTCTTTTAGTCCTAATAAAAAAAACCATTTGAGGAAGGTGTTATTATCCCTGTTTTACAGATGAGAAGACTGAGTGGCAACGTAAAACAAAACAAAACAAAACTTGCCTAAGCATAAATAGCTATGAAGAAGCAGATCAAGAAGTCAAAGTTGATCTGTCTGATTCCAAAGTCCTGGTTTTCTCTGAAATGCAGCTTGAATTATTGGGGATGGAGGAGGGATTTAAACTTATTTTCAGTTCTAGAGATGAGTTGCTGTATAGAGACAACCATTTAGATGACAATCACAAGACTTACAGTCTAGAAAGGCAGGTTTTATTTCTGGTTCTTCTGTGAACCTATTTGGGTAACCCCCACCCCCCAAGACCTCAGTTCCCTCATGAAGATGAGCCTAGACTACCTCATAAAAATGGCCCAGAGTGTCTCCATGGCCCCCGATAGTCTCTGACTTCGCCATTTGGTTGAATCAGTTTTCATTAACTCACGGGGAATATTTGATCTGCTCATCTCATAGGGATATAGCAAAGGCAATTTGTTGAGTGTTGGGGGAATGGATAAAGGTGAGTAACACTAAGTTCCTATTTGATAAGTGTCATTACTGAGAACTTAAGGCCACCTAACACCAAACTGGGAAAAGCACAAAAAAATGCACTAAAATAAATAATAGGCAAGTTGTGACATTTGAATTTCACGTATCTTCATTTTCATTTTTATATTTTATTTACTATTTTGCTCCACAATTTGAGTCAAACATGTGATGAGAGTTCTAACTTGATATGTTTACTTCAGTCCCAAACATAGTCATCTTTGGTCTTTTCTCAGATTTGGCCTAAAACTCGTAGTTTCATTGATTTTTTTTTTTAACTAGGCATTCTTCTATGTTCTAGGTCTTCAAGAAACCTCCATACCCAAGAAAAAATAGAAAGCAACCATGTTCTACTATGGTGCCAAAAATAGTTGAACATCGACATCAAAAAGATTCTTTCTGTCTGCTTATTCACATATTCTGGTTTGAATTAAAAGTGATGAAATTATCCTAAATACAGTTGGCCCTCTGTATCCATGGGTTCCACATCCACAAATTCAACCAACTGTGGATGGAAAAGACTTGAAAAAGATGAGAGAAAATAACAATATGACAATAAAACATAATACAAATAAAAACAATACAGTATAACAACGATTACATAGCATTTACATTATATTAGGGATTGCACAAGAGAAGGTATGTAGGTTATATGCAAATACTGCACCATTTTACATAAGGGACTTGAGAAGCATGGATTTTGGTAGCCACAGGGGTCCTGGAACCAATCCCTCACAGACACAGACGGACACTTTACAGTAGATGAACACAAAGATGAAAGGAAAAGTCTGACCTAGGTTTGCGGGGAGAAGTGGAACTCCATTTTTGACAGGTGATGCCATTTTTTGTTTTGGACATCGTCCCTCTGTAGTTCTTTCCATTCCCAGTCTTGCACTCTGAAAGATACACTGAAGGAAAGTCCACACAGTGGTCAAAGTCTTTCACAAGACACCACGTGAAGGTCTGCACAGCACAGTCACATTGAGAAAAAGATCTCATGCACCAGACCCCCTGTTTCTGCTTTCTAAAAGATCATCTTTTGCACCTGCAAAAAGGCTGCAGTAAACTGGGCCATTCCATACTTTGATTCATGTATTCAAATGCTACTTATGAGCTCTCTGTGTATTGAGCCCCACCAGGATGCTGGGGACACACGGGGCACAGTGCAGCCAGAGGCTTGGCCATCATAGAGCTCACATTCTAGTGGAATCAGACAGGGGGGTTACAGGAAATATTCAAGTAAACAATATAAAATGAGATCACTTGATGATACATGGATACATGTTACATACATGATGAGACAGAGTAAGAGAATGGGGAAAGGGTTTTTAGATGGGGGAATGGCAGGCTTTTCCGAGGCTGAAAGAGATCCAACCCACTTCTATTTCTTCAGGCTCCCAGTGATATGAAAAAGTGCCAAACAGGACTATAAAATTGTGGTCTACTGTAAATGGTTTGCAGTAAAAGTTCTCAACCAGCTTCCACTCAACCAACTCACCAGTTAGACAATGGGCCCTCTCCTGTGTTTAAAACAGTCCGGTGCCCACCTGGGTCCACATGCAGCTGGCAGGTGTTTGCTAGTGTGCCCACCCATGTCTGTTCCCCCCACGTGAGTTATGTGCTTACAACGAGTCGTTTCTTTGCATTTTCCAACTTTCTTACATTTATATTTAATTAAAGATGATCTAAACTGAGAAATGAATGTGAAAAGAAACAAAGCTCTTTTTTGTTTGGTTTTTAACTAAATTAAATGTTTTTAACAAGTTGAAACGTGAATCATTTAAAAAATTGCTATCAGATCCACAGAGGGCAATCCACTCATATAGTTGACTATAAAGCTTGAGGAGGAATTCATAAAAATCTAAAGGTTTTACACATGCAGATTGATTAATAAATGTCGAGATATGGTCCACTTCAAAAATAAGGAAAGTAATTATTGTAGATGTTGCACTAGAGCATAGTTTATGCAGGAAATGCACCAGAGACCTTCTACTGGTGACCCCATATTCGAAGAAAAAAAGCCTCTGCTCTACATCAAGAGGTGTCAAGTACACTTGTGTTTTCAATGAAAATATAAAATGTTTAAGGTATATTTGCACCATCATTTAAGGTTACCCACTTTAGCCATTTTTAAATTCACTGATCAATCACATGGGGAGTACTCCTAACGTACCTACAGCAAACTAATGCTTTTAACCCAATACTACGTATTATGATTGCCAGTACATCTTCATTGGGACATAGTATTACAGTAGACATAAGACACTCATCAAAGTGTAAACTCAAGGTACTTTGTGAAAGGGAGGTCTAGGGGTCAAGGAAGATTTGCAAAGGAGGTGATGATTGAGCTGACACCTAGGCGATAAGAAGGAGCTGGCACAGCAGGACAAAGGTGAAGAGGGTCCCAGGCAGGAGGGCGTGTGCTTGGGGTGGTGAAGGAACAGAAGTAAGGCCAGAAACTTTGTAGAAAAGTTTAGCAAGCCAAGCAAACAGCAGCCGGGGGTTACGTAAATAATGCCGGGCCCTGGCACATTTGGGAAGTCTTTGGGTCTTATTTTAAGGGCACTAGGAAGGGCTTTAAACAGGGAAGTTATATTTCTTCGAGATCAGGTGTACAGCTACAAGTAGCCCCAACCAGTGGTGATAGGGTCTTGGACTCGGTGAAGGCAGTGTGGCTGGTGGCAAGTGGCAGAAGTAAACGTGATCTAACACTGACTGTTCCTGGCAAAACCCTGGCAGGTAAGTTAGCAGCAGGTCAATATCCCACAGCAACTGTATGTACCCACCGGAGTTTATATAACCTTTTGCTCCCTTCTGTCACTTTGAAAACAAGCAAACTAAGCCTTCAAACTTCACACTTCAAACTCAACCTACAGTCATTCCCATGTTCCTTCTGGTTAACAATTTACAAATGACATATTTAAATGTTAGCATTTTGTAGAGAGAATCAGGAGAATCAGGGTTTTTTGTTTTTGTTTTTAAATCTGGTACAATTAGGTCATCCTATTTAGTTTACCGTTTGCTTGCTACTTGTAAGAACTAATAACTTTACCAGATAAAGTTTAGATTTCATCTGTACTTTAATCTCAAGAATTCGAGATAAATAGTGGTAAGGAAGAAAGTACAATGCGTACAGCTAATGAAACCCAGGAAGATGAGTCAATGCATAGAAATAATTCCAACCCAAATAAATACTATTTAAAATGCTACTTGGAGTTTTGCCGTGATACTAGACACAATATGGCAAATCATCCTCAAGAATACAAGAACTAAGGTGTTTCCAGTCCTCTTTAACACCTGTGATGCAGGATATTTGGAGAGCTAAATTGTTATTATTAACAGTCTTAATACCTGGCCACCAACACAGTAGAGGAAACAGTTTTTAAAGTGTCATACATCTCTTCAAATATTCATACGCTTAATGAAACATTCGCACATCTAAAAAGGCATGCAATTTCTATTGAAATCCTGTGTGCCTCTTATTCTAAGCAGTGGGACTATTGACCCACATTTTAAAATAAACTATAGAAAAGGAACTGTAACTTTTACACATTTTTAAAAGACAACATATCAGAAATCTGAGAAAAATATAGACCATGTCCCCCAAAATGTGAAAAATTTAAGAGTAAAAAATAAGATTTGTGTCCCAATCTAAATGTTTCTGAGGATTAAAACACCTCAGTATTTCTGTTTTACAAGGCTTCGTCCAGATGTTAGGGCCCAAGGACCATGGTCACCCTGCAGAATAAGAAGCCAAGACCAAAAGGAATGCTTAGACTTCCCATCTCCTTGTTAAATATAAAATAATATTTTAAAAATCTTATTTTCAGGGTCATAGAGGTAGAAGTGATTTTGTAAATCTAATCCTTTCATTTTTTGAACAAAAAAAAATTAAATCTAGGAGGTGAAGTAATATACTCAAGCTGACATGGTTAGTTAGTAATCAAATCCTGTCCTAACTCAGAATTCAATTTTACAACACCATAGCACCTTCCTCCTCTGGTCTCATAAATTAAAGATAGAATAGAGAAAGAGGAAGAGTGGGAGGATGGGGAGGACAGTAGGAGGAGGAGGAAGAAAATGTACTCACTTTACTTTTCAAATAAAACTGCATCTCTCATCCTAATGATTATGGAGGACTTCCTGTTTTCAGCCATTATCACACATTGTTGCTCTTTACTGTGATATTGGAATGCCCTGCAGAACGAAGCAGGAAATCCAATAAGTATTTTTCTTTATTTAAAGAAAACAAATGTTTATTAATAAATGAGAAATGCTAAAGATCATTGACTATCTTGAGGGACCAGAGAGCTCAGAATTGCTGCCTCTTTCAGTTATTTGGGCATGGCATTGATGAAGTACTGAACAAAATACACCAACGTGGCAGTAAATCTTATCTGCCCTTACCTTCCCTCCCTCATAATTTTCTCTTTCTTTCTGTTTCAACTGTTTTACTTCTTCTTCACTCATCTTCTTAATTTTTGTTTTTGGGTCAGAAAGAAGCAACTCTGGTTGCTTTGAACCCATTCCCCAAGATAGTCCATCTCCATGACCTCCCAACTCTGATCAGTTCCCCTGAACCTCTGTCCCACATTCCACCCCACCCTGGCCCCTGACCCCTCCCATCTCCATCCCGTGGTCCTGCTATGGGTGCTCAGTCTGGCATCCATAGCTACTTTCCCAGGCTCATCACCTACACAAAGTCTCTGCTTTAGTCAACTTGATCTCTTAATGGTCCCCCTCAGAAAGTGCAGGGCCGCATCTTCCCCTGCCTTCCTGGTGCTTTTCAAGAGCTCTCTCAACTCCAAACCCAGCTCGGTTCCCACCTCCTCCCTGAGCCTTCTCTAGCTGCCTCAACCTTAGGCACTGTTCTTTCTTCTGGATCTGGGTAGAACATGCATTGATTATGCCTGTAGCTCACTTAGGCTGTCTTTTTTTTTTTTAACATTATATCCAGTCACCTTAAATACTGAAGGGCAGGCACTGGATCTTGTAGCTATAAGTCATTGCTCAGATCTATCTAGGACACTTTCATTCATATGATCCTCAACAAACATTTACTGATGATGATGTTAAAAACTGGAGCTCAGAACAATAACTGCTAATGTTTATGTCCGGTGTAAAAACAAATAACTTCCTTTTAGGGTATTTTTCTAATGAAGACTCCAGTAAACCTTAACAAGAAGCTGTTAGTATGGCTTCACATGCTATGAGCAAATATAGTTCCAAACTCTGGCTCCATAAATTTCTCTTTCCTCTTAAATCGTTAATAAATTTGTGAGTAAATTACTTGCCATCTGAATTACAGATTTCTGGGTAGGTGCAACGACGATGAAAATACCTGCAGGTGAATTCTTTGTCCTCTTCACATTTTGCTGCACATTCTTCTCTGCTTCCTGCCCCCAGCTGCTTCTTAGTGACACTGAACAGTGAAGGCCCCTGGGTATTCACATAGTCATCCAGGGGCTCTCCTTGACCTAGAGGTGGGAGATCCAAGTGGAATAAATGGTCAGTAAATCAATGCCAATGTCTAATTGTCATGACTTCCTTTTAATCTATTTGGTTAGCATTAACCAAATAAAACTTGCTGTTTACTGGAAGTAGAATGGGTAGCTATGAATCAAAATGTTTAGTTAAGAACACACAGTTGGGCATGTGGACATAAATAAAGATGGCAACTAAAGACACTGGGGACTACCAGAGAAGGGAGAGAGGGAGCGAGGCAAGGGCTGAAAAACTACCTATTTAGTAGGTATTTAGCTCACTACCTGGGTGATGGGAATCATTTGTACCCCAAAGCTCAGTGTCACGCAATTTAGTGATGTAACAAACCTGCACATGTACCCCTGACTCTAAAAGTTGAAATTATAAAACAAAGAAAAACAGTTTCATTAACAGATTGCAAGATAGTAAAAGATTAACTGGATTGATAAACAGGTTAGAACTATGGAACCACTACTATGTTACCATATTAGTGGATATAAATCCTTAAACAAGAACAAATTTTATGTTTGCTATCAATTGTGCCATGTCATGAGAGAAGAGTAAGGCACCATCAGTGGCAGTTGTGTTACCAAGATTGATGTTGATTTGTTCATCCCTGGGTAGAAATGGAACTTGGAGGCCATTGTTTGATTTCCTACAATATGCGCTTTGGTTCTGACACTGTCACTTGAACTGGTGGGAAGCATCCTCTGAATGGTCCCTCCTTGAGGCACATAAATTTTGGTGCATAGATGATGGTGGAAATAAACAAGAACTGAACTAAATTATGTTGCCACCTTGGACAAAAATTGGGCAAAACACTGGAGGGTAAGAAGCTCCCCAACAAAGAAGGCCATTTTTGTACTGGGCTGATGACAGTCACACAACACTACTAACTGGGGAGAAATCAGTTTTTCCAAGGTGTTGACAGGTATCTGGATTTCGGAGGAAATTGTAAAAAAGCAGAACCTGGGACAAATACTGGTCTTGGTTTTTCTTTGAGATCAAATCTGAGACAACGAATCTGTCCGAAAGCTGCTTTCTGCCTGGTCGTGGCAGAGGGTGGCCAAGGGGGCCTCAGCTGTGCTCCCACCACAAGGCTACAGGGTGTTCCCTTGTCCTGAGGCTCTTCCGGACATCTGGCTGAGCTTTGGTAGGTCTATTCCAAGCCTGGAGATGCCAGCTCCATCCTTCGCACAGAATGCTAGTGATTTTCACAGGGGTAAGAGGCCAAAAGAGGCTAATAAAATGAAGATAGCCAAGCTCCATGGAATTAGACAACAGGACAACCTTGACCACTTTGAGGGGCGTGGTGGGGGCTGCAGGCAGAGGGAGTGGGTTATAGAGTGACGAGGAGAGCAGTGGAGGCGGCAGCGGGAGACAAGCCTGGCTCTGAAGACAGCGAGCCCTCCAGGGAAGATGCGGTCAGGGGAGGTTCTGAAAGATGACACACTGCAGAGCACACTGGTTTGTATGCTGATGACAAATATCCAGTAGGAAGGCAAATGAACAGATTCTCATTCTCAGAAAGGCCCGTCCTGACCTCCTGAGGGTACACAGAGCACAGGGAGGAGGATGCACGCTCATCAATTCATGCAAAGTCCTCGGCCAAAGTCCCCCTGCTCCCCACCTCTGGGACTTCGTCCTTCCTCAATTTAAGACATTCCGGGCTGGAAAAATGGATTATTGAGCAGGAGTTGGCTGATGCATTCTAAACCTAATCCACTAAAAAGCACTTGAGAGATGTATCAAAAGATCACAAAGAAATAGATGCTTTAGGCCCATATCCATGTCTTTACCCCGCACTTTCTGCCAACTTGAACTCTCATTTCCAAGAAGAGTTGTGTTTTGGTTAATTCTATAGCTCGCAGTGTGACTTCAAAACACACAATAAATCCACAAAGTGTGTCCTACGGTGAGTTCAGTTAAACTTTCTGAAGAGTTTTTTTGAAGTATAGCAGAGCAGGCTACAATTGATATTCAAAAAAAGAAAACTTCCATTTATTTCCCCCTTCAATTAAGTTCTCTGTGTCATGTTATTATACTTCATAGCACATCGCTGCTGAGATCCCCTCCCCAGCTCCTGTCCCTAGGAAATATCCCAAAACAGAATCAAACTGTTTTCTTTTTAATTTGAAATAATTTTCCCCCATTTTTTTTTTCTCTTATTCACCTCTAGGACTCATATGGCAATAGGATTTGATAGGGCTTATTTGCTGGCAAGGAAACATCAAATCTTTTAGTGGAAAAATACATTTATATTATAGGCAAAATGCAGATGTATATTGCTACTGATGCAAATGTATTTTATTAATGGTGTGAGAATTTCTTCCTCACTGTGGTGTGTGAATGTGTATGCATATTTGCATGTGTAAAAGACTTAATTTGTGAAATGGAAGATGTTTCTCCACTTCCCACTAAGCATGGCTGTAAAAGAAACTTTTTCCTCTCCCCGGGCATTGCAGCACACTGGAAAGATGATACATCCACAGAAAGCCTGGCTTTCCAAAAGAGCTTATGAGAGAATGTTCCCCCCAGGTTGGTTAAAACATTGGTAATCCTGTGGCGGAGAAGTTTGTTCTAGCCTTTGGGTGTAGCCCACTGAATAAGTTCACAGTGATCTATGTCATAGTTTCCATGCATTGAAATATAATATTCACACCCCCAACATACACCAATTTCTTACAAAAATTTCTTTAATTTTCTCCTGCTCTGTATTTTGTTTGATAGCTCCTTGAATGGCTTCCACTAAATTCAAATGTATTTGACTCTAAAGTGCAACTTGTAAAATTTTATCTGGTAATTTATAGATTGAATTTCAAGTATACATTATTTACAGGAAGAACTACTAGCAAATCGTATGATTCCGTTCGTATGAAATGTTCAAAATGGCAAAGATATAAATACAGAAAGTAGATTAGTGGTTGCCAGAAGCTGCAGATCGGGGGTAACAGCTAAGGAGAGTGGAGTGCGTTTTTGGGGGTATGAATAGTTTTAAAATTTATTCTGATGGTGGCTGCACAACTCTCAATATATTGAAATCCATTGGATTGTATGCCTAAATGGGTGAATTCTATACATTAATTATATCTCAATAAAGCTTTTTTTTAAAAAAAGAAAAAGAAAAAGAACTACTAGGACATGTTTAGAATATTATTTCAAAGGCTTAAACAAAGCTGAAAAGTGAGAAGAGCCCTAGATTCCTTCTGGGAAACCTGGCTTAAATCCAGTTTTCTTTATTTCCCAGATTTGAGAATTTGGTCACTGAGCAAATAACATGATTTTCCTAAGTCTAGATTTCTTTGTTTATAAAATGAGGGTGAATATGCTACCCTACCTATACCGCGAGCTAAATAAGCTAGTATTTGTAAAGGACACACACTCACACTCACATTCACACACAGGTATGTATGTATGTGTAAAAATGTAGCGACCTAACCCAAGCACTAAGTGAGTATTTGTTGAATCACTGTCTGCACACAGCATCTGGCAAATGGATGCGTGTGATTTTTCCGGGGATTAGAGGCAAACGTATACTGATGGAAAGCCTTCCTCAGGCCATAACAAAGGGAGAAATGCTGAATCCCTGACGCTGCCACCACCATGAACTGGTGAGAGAACAGAATATATTCAAAGAGAAATTTCATTGTTTTAACTTGCAAGTGAGGGGAGCATGACACCGTAAGAGAGATTATATAAATTAGTCAAACTGAGAACCAGGCGAAGAGCTTAGCCGTCCTTTGCATAGTTAGCTACATTGGCTCTTTTTCAATTAGACTGGCCATTATGTGGGTGCACTCATTTAGATTTGAAAAACCACCCATTATTTTCTCTGCGCATTCATTCCAGCACGCTGACAATCTTCACAGGAAAACTAAACTTATTTCTTGAAGAATTCCTCAATCTTATACAAGATTTTCAACTGGGAGTTTCATGAATCAAAAATTAAATGAATTGCACATAAAGCCATGGCATATGTATTTGTACTGCATTGTGGGAGAAAAAATAATTATTATAATTTAAAAAAACTATGTCTTACCTGATTTCAGAAATAAAAGAAGTAGAAGAACCACTTCCTTATGTTCCATTTTGGGACTGGCCAGCAGTGCCCAGAAAGTGTGTCCCAATCCCAGGATGTTGTTGACTTACATGAGAGTAAACGCATCCACAGACCAGATAGTCAAATTAAGTTAATGATTCTCTCAGACACCCACGCCACTGGCTCAGCAGGGTTCAAACACGACCTTGAATAAAGGGTCCTTACAAAATGATTGAGGGTGGAATCTGCAATAGATGCTGGGAAGTGGTGAAAGCAATCTCCCCCCTCAGCTGCTCCATGCTGCCTTCATGTCTCCTTACTCCTTCCCTCACCTTTGTACTTTATCTCTCACAATTAGTCTTATTTCCTCCCCTCTTCTTTTATTCCCTTTCTTTTGGAGAAAATGAAATCAGAAAAGTATCTCACATTTGCTGGAACCTTCCATGACGAGACCCTCTGCCAAGCGCTGCACGTCCATAGCCTCCCTCAAGCTTCCCAACAGGCAGTGCTGTTCTCATTCCTGCTGTACGAGGGATGGGGCTGAGGCCTTCCCCAAGGTTGTGTCGCTACCCAGGGGTGCAGCTGATAGACAAAACCCTTTCAGGTCCTGGATGACAAACTTAAGTTAGGTGTAAATGTTAATATCTCCACATCCTACACCAAATGACATAGAAATTACGACATAAGTGAAAGTATCTTATTATCTTCAAAATTTCTTTATTCCCAGTGAACTCACATGTTTTCTGTAATTATAAATTATAAGACATCAATCTTTCCCCCAAATGAACGTATGGCATATTATTATATTCTCATTCTCATGAAATAAAGCAAGACTGGTAGCACTAAGTGGAAAGCGTCTATCTCAATTTTAAATGTTGAATCTGTACTTTTCCCTGGCTTAAGTCTAGAGCAACCAGGTAGTATATATGTTGTAAAACTTCTATTTTAGTGTTCAAAGATATTTAGCAATAAATCAATTGACCTCTCTATTTTAGATGTGAAATAAGGACCAGAAAGCATTGTTCCTCTTTCCAGGCAGTGAAATTCCTGCCTATTCATTAACTGGCAAAAGAGTAGAGGTGGGAGCCCAATGGTCTTGGGTGGAACGTCCTGTGGAATTCCCTGGGATTGAGGAATCATGCAGAACCCTCAAGAAGAAACCACACTGGGCAACAAGAGGGTGGCCCCATGTGAGGAACAGGGGGACCGAATCGCATTTCCTGATTTCCTATTCTAGCCTCACTCTCTTCTCTCCTCAAATTCTTACCACTCCCTTTATCCTCTCTGACTCACCTCGTGGCCCAGTTCATTAAAGGGGACAGAAGGTGGAGGCAAATTGAGAAACCAGCAGTGGGCAGACGTTTTATTTTTAATGTGAAATGTCTCTTAGGGGGCTTATGTTGATGTGCTTGAGAAAGTACTTTGGGGGAAAAAAAAACTAACTCTACTAATATATAATGCTTCCAGCATGTATTTATTTCCACTTAAAATATTATTGTAGCAGTTCCTCTTGGATAAGGCATCTTGGGAATGATGTTATCAGAAATTCTACATCCACATAATTTTCTTTTCCTGTTTTTTTGGTTTTGACTTGGGTAGTGTTGGTATAGCTTTTGCCCACCTTTCCCCTGGTAGGTGTTAGATGCATTAAATTCTACAAATGCGATTTTATAAATTAGTTGCCCTCCTAATGGCCTCCTGGCTGTACATTCTTCCCTACCTTCATAATCCATCAGCATCGTGAAAGCACAGAGGGACATTGAGCAGAGTTCTGTGCTGGCGCCACCGCACTCTGTAGCCTGTAAGAGAGCAGCAAAGAGGAATGAGTTGCTCAGGTATAGACAGGGGTGGATGCATAGAGACTTCCACTGTGGCACGGCCCTTCATGTCCAGGGTAGGCATGAAGCAATGGACTATTCCAGATTGTGCATAGGAAACCACACTGCACTCTTAGACGGATTTTTGCTCTAAAGACAACTAATTCAAAATAAGGTGCTTTCTACCTGAAATAATGGCATGAACTGAGAAAAGAGATATAGAGAGAGATCTCTGTGTACTACGATCAGGTTGCACATATTCTGAGATTTATGTATTCTTATTTAGTTCAATTCCTTATTTACTGACCACTTACTGTGTACAATATTGTATTAGATTCTTTTAGGATTACAGTTGACCCTTGAACAACTTGGGGGCTTGGCACACTGACCGTACACAGTAGAAAATCCAGGTATAATTCTGATTCCCCCAAACTTAACTACTGATAGCCTGCTGTTGACCAGCAACAGTTAATAACATGTATTTTGTATGCTATATGTATTATATACTGTATTCTTACAATAAAGTAAGCTAGAGAAAAGGAAACGTTTCTAAGGAGAAAATACATCTATGGTACTGTTATGTATTTATCCATACAGTAAGTTTACACCGCCTGTTTACAAGATGAATCATCTGTCTGAAATGGAAGCAACCCCAGCTACAGACCTCAGTCTCTGTTACATATCAAGCAAATCAAGTTTTTCTTGTAATGTCAAATGTCATGACTTTTCTCTGCTTCTTGGGAGCACTTCCAGCATCACTAGTGCCACTTCATGTGGATCCCATGGTGTTATTCAAGGTTTACAGTACAGCACGAAACAGGACGAAAAATACATGTGAACAGGGAGAGGGCACTTTTTACTGGGATGCGCAATTCACTGGGGATGACCTGCTCATGATGGAATGTTGAGTATCACAGAACGTTTTAAGTGGATACTTGCAACACCTGAGCTCATTGCAACAGCAACAGGAGGAGGCTATGAACTTATTACCGTACTGTGGTATGCACTACGGTTAAATTTATGCAGTTACAATTTAATACTGCATCTTGATGTTTGTATACACTTCTCTCAACTGAGAATAGCACCATATACGATCTGTGAGTGTGTACATAAGTTTTACTAAATTTTAACTTTTGCAATAGTTTTGTTATATTTTATGGTAGTAAATAATAAAATAGACTAGGTATCTACATACATTTTATGCATTCATGACATACTTAACTTTTTCTATTTTTGTTGATATTTCTAGCTGCATGGTTTGTCTTTGAGTTTTTTCAAATTGTTGCAAAACTCCAAAACATTTTCTAACACATTTATTGAAAAAAATCTGTGTGTAACAGTTCAGACGTGTGTTGTTCAATGATCAACTATATGTCTAAAGAGTACAAATCAGTCTGTAACCTTCCCCAGCCTCTCCATGCTAAAGGAACTACAGGAAACTTTCGCACTCAAGATGTGTGGAGATTCTGCTGCTGCACTTGTAGCAGGCATAAGAACGTTCAAATAGGCCGGGCGCGGTGGCTAATGCCCGTAATCCCAGCATTTTGGGAGGCCAAGACGGGTGGATCACGAGGTCAGGAGTTCGAGACCAGCCTGGCCAGCATGGTGAAACCCCATCTCTACTAAAAATACAAAAAATTAGCCGGGCATGGTGGCATGCTCCTGTAGTCCCAGATACTGGGGAGGCTGAGGCAGGAGAATTGCTTGAACCCAGCAGGCAGAGGTTGCAGTGAGCCGAGATCGTGCCATTGCACTCCAGCCTGGGTGAGAGAGCAAGACTCTGTCTCAAAAAAAAAAAAAAAAAAAAAGAACATTCAAATAAGATTGGAGACAAATTGAATTTCCTTAGCTCTGCCCAGCATAAGGCCTGCAATCAAGATCCACTCAGGTCCTCTTATGAAGGAATAGACGTCTCTTCCAGCATTAAAATGGTAAATTCCTTGCAAGTATTTACAAAGAAAGTTATAAACACCAGGAAACATCAACCTCACCAGGAGGTGAGGTAGAGTTCACCCTTCCATCTCACCTGAAGTGGAAAATGCAGCCAAGTCACAACTTCCTAGGTGATGCACGTCCATGCAAGCTGGACTGCATTGCTGGCCTGACATTTGCACCTGGCAGCTCCTCGCCACCCCCTCTTTCCACCTTCCTTGAGCCCAGGCTCTGCTGCCCGGGAACTGCCATTCTAGGACAGCTCATTTCATCAAGATGAACTTCTCTGAATAGCCCTAAGAGGACAGTATCATTTCCAACTGGAAATAGCAAGAACTTAATTAATCTACTAAGGATTCATATAAAGCATCCCTCTGTCGTGGTAAGGGTCCTCGGCAAGTTTATCTGTGCCCTCGATGCCAATGTGCAGGTTGTTTTTACTGCTGTTTTAGTGTATTAGAGCATATCAGCGAGGAGACTTCTACTAATTAACCTGGAGGTGGCTCTTCTTTCTTTAGTTGCTCTTTTCCACATGTTAGCCTTTGTTCATCAGTCCCCAGGACCATGCAATGAGGTGCTTATCAGCCCTCATGTCCCGTAAAGAGATAGCAGGCTATCTCTCAAGTTAGCACAGTGGTTAAAACGTAATCCACTAGGGGGCATTTTCCTTTCCTTTCTTTCTTTCTTTCTTTTTTTTTTTTTGGAAACAGAGGCTGGCTCTGTCACCCAGGCTGGAGTGCGGTGGTACAAACACAGCTCACTGTAGCCTTAACCTCCTGGATTCAAGCGATTCTCCCACCTCAGACTCCAGAGTAGCTGGGACCACAGGTGCACGCCACCATGCACAGCTATTTTTTTTTTTTTTTTTGTATTTTCTGTAGGGACAGGGTTTTGCCATGTTACCCAGGCTGGTCTTGAACTCCTGGGCTCATGAGATCCTCCTATCTCAGTCTCCAGAAGTGCTGGGATTACAAATATGAGGCACTTTGCCTGGCACTAGGAGACACTTTCTCAGTGAGACCTAACTCATTTGGGGCTCAGTGAGGTGATATTTTCTTAATTGAGTTGTGCTTGAAAAAATCTAGATATCTATTCATCTTTGAAAAAATTAATTTTCATTGGCTGTCTCCTCATCATTAATAAGCATGGCTGTGTTACATGCTTAAGACAAATATTAGCAGAGAAGAAGAAAGTCAGACCCGGATAACTTAGCAGCCTGCACTGAGGTGGCACCAGGACTCCCCAGAGGAGAGACGAGGGTCCTTCTGCTCTGAGGTCCAGACTCACCATGGATAAAACAGAGTTGCACCAAATCATCCTTCCCATCTCTCACATTGATTGTTCTCTAAGCTCATTCAGAGAAAAAAAAAATCTTATCTCACAGTATGTCAGGGAGATAAGTCATGTAGAAAAACCTTAAAATATTTTCAGGAAAGCAAATGAGTGCACAAAAAACCTGGTGAAATCTGAGCAAGGTCTGCAGACTAGTTTCTGATATTGTGCCAATGGCAACTTTCCAGTTGTAATCATGAACTATAGTTATGTAAGATACTGCCTGAGGGAGGCGGGGCCATAGGCACAAGGATCTCTCAGTACTATATTTGTAACTTGTTGTGTTTATACTTATTTCAAAACAAAAATTATATGTATATATTTATATATGTATACATGTTATGTTTGCAACACATGTGCCTATATTTGGATACATGTGTCTATTTTAGGAGGACCTAGGATGATGTAACTGCTTTCATACTAGTTAAGAGAATTCCCAAATTTCAGGGAAAGTCTAAAGTTATAGAGTTCCTAACTCAGGGTGCAGAACTCGGACTTTGGCTGATTCTCGTGAGCTCCTGGGATGAGTGGGTGGGACAGAGAGGCTTCTCCACCACCACACTCCTTCCCTGGCTGGAGACCAGATGGTTAAGGACTGATGGGTGCCAGAGAGCAGCAGCCCTCCATGTGGGTCCAGAACCCAGAGGCTGGAGTAGTTCATGCCTGCTCCTGCCTCCCAGGTATTCAAGGGAAACCCACCATCTCCACACACCAGCAAAACACCAGCAAAACAGAGGCCCCAAGTAATGACTTCTCCTTTCTCATCTTATCTTGCCACCTGACCAGCTCCTGGGCTCCTCAATCCAAAGTTGGGGAAGAGAGAAGGGAATGTCAGTGGAAACCACTTTTGCTATAAACTCTCATCCTTCAGATGTTCTTTCAGTGGGTACAGTGTTTAGTGCTGTGCTAGGTGCTGGGGAATCAAGAGTAAATAAGAGGCCATCTTTGCCCTCAGGGAGTTTTTGGTCTCATGGGTTTGGGGCAATGCAGGTCTGTAAACTGGAATTGTAAAAGTGAAGTGGCCCAGGTCCCATTTGTTGTAGTGGTGCACAGAGAGACAGTCTTGAGAGGTGAGGAGACATTTCCCAGAGGAAGTAACATCCAAGTTGAGACTTAGAAGACAGCTGGAAGGATGAGAAAGGAGAATAATTCTGTGGAGTCCTAATTAGGCAAAAGGAATCAGGCTGGTGACACTGAGGAAAAAAGAAAGAGAAAGCAGATAAGCTGTAAGTTTGCCTTTCTTCATGGTCCAGGACCATAGCCCTCCTGCACAAATAGCTCACAATCTTCCTGTGCCCAGCTACCATCAGGCCCTCAGCTGATGGAAAAATGCAGGTTATCCCACTGCAACCTTGGTGTTATCAGTACTGCACAAAGCTCTCTTCAGCACGCAGCAAAAGCAACATCCTATAAAACCCCCAGCAAGCCTTTGTCTCTTGGCATTCAGTTCCTCTCTTGCTGGCCTGCCTGTTGCTGCCTTGCAACATATTTTCATACTTTCTTCAATAAATCTGCCTTTATCTACAACTGTCTTGGTAAATTCTTCTTACTGCCCATGGTATACTGGCCTCAGATAGTTGCTTCACCTGCTACACATTCTTTAAGCAGAAGAAATATATGTGCAGGGTCCCAGAGGCAGGAGGAGCAGACAGATGAGAGGAATTTGGCTAACATGGGGAAATGGTCCAATTGCGCAGGCTTCTCACTCTGTTTCAAGAAGTTTAGACTTCAGCCAAAGAAAGGCAGGGACTACTGTTACTGAAGGCTTTTAAAATCCAAGGGTGGCTTGATCCCTCTGATTGCAGCACAGTGAGGAGGTCATAGGAGGTGAGAGATGAGAGGGGGTGAAAGAAGGCAGTGGAGAAAGAGAAAAAAGAATGGATTAGGGGGATGTTGAGAAAGTAGAATTGACATGATTTTGTGACTCATTGAATGTGGGGAATGAAATCAAGTATGCTGCCTGAATTTCTGGCTTGGACATCTGGTGGACAGTGGATCATTCATTAAGAAGGAATGCATAGGAGGGAATAAGATGAAATTGGCTGGGGACAATGTTATGTTTAGGAACTTGAGAAAACCCAAGTGGAAATTTCCAGAAGGGAGTTGAATATTCTGGTTTAGAACAGGAGTTGGCAAACTATAGCCCATGAAGCAGGCTTATTTTTATAAATCAAGTTTTATTGGAACATGGCCACACCCATTCTTTTACTATTTTCTGTGGCTATATTTGCACCACCTTAGCAGAGTTGAGCAGATGTGACAGAGACAGTACAATGACCAGCAAGCCGATAAAATATTTGTTATCATCGCTTTACAGAAAAAGTTTGCCAATTCCTGGTGTAGAGCCTAGGAAAGAGGTCTGAGCTGGAGATGTGGAATCAGCAGTTGTCAGCAGATAGGTGGGACTGAAGCAATGGGGGTGGACAAGCTTGCTCAGAGAGAAAAAAATAAGCCCTAGGATAAAGCCCTCAACAACACAAGGACCCAGAAGAAGAGAATTCTGTAGAGATGACTGAGAACAGTTAGCCAGAGGGGAAAATTGACAGTGTGAGTCCAGAGAAGCCAGCAAAAGTGAAAATTGTAAAAAGGTGGGAGTGGTCATGGGTACCAAAGACTTGTGAGAAATCAAGTGAGATGTATCCTGTGTATGCCAGAAGGTAAGAGCAAATGAGGCCAACATAACCTTAATAATACCAATCTCAATGGCCCAGACTCCAGCAAAGTCTACTCTAGCTACCGCTACCACTAAACATATGTAAAACTCAGTAAAATAGCAATTTTAATTAAACAAATTCCTGACCTATCTCTGTAATACTCCTTTCCCAACATTTTTGCCTGCATATTCTTTGATTGCCTCTTCAATAATGTTGTAATATCATAGTCTATGAGAGAAGAGAATAATAAACTATTTTGGCTCTAGTATTTTATTATTGATAGATTTAAATTTTTCTTCTGGCTTCATAGCTCAGGATCGATAATGGAAGATAAGTTTTCAGGATTCTTGGCACACTTAGGAAAATCTTTATCAAACTATTTTTATGTATGAACTGTAAGATTTGGAATAATTCCCAGATGGGATGAGCTACACTCTTTTCTAGCTTTGTACATTTCTATTTTTCTTATTCAACTTTTATTTTAAGTTCAGGGATAAAAGTGCAGGGTTGTTACATAGGTAAACATGTGTCATGGGGGTTTGTTGTGCAGATTATTTCATCACCCAGGTATTAAGCCTAGTACTCATTAGTTATTTTTCCTGATGCTGTCTCTCTTCCCATCCTCCAACCCTGATGGGCCCCAGTGTGTGTTGTTCCCCTCGATGTGTCCATGTGTTCTCATCATTTAGCTCCCACTTATAAGTGAGAACATGCGATATTTGGTTTTCTGTTCTTGTGTTAGTTTGCTGAGAATAATGGCCTCCAGCTCCATCCATGTTCCTGCAAATGCACATGTCATGTGACACAATCGTGATGTAATCTATGGTCTTGCATATTTACATTACACCACCAGGTAAATCAGCACGAGGGAGGTGAAGACTATTCTGAATCTGTTTTACACAGGGACAGCTAGCAATAAAATACACAGAAATGACTCCATACCACATAAATAAATCCCATGGAACCCAAACTCAATGACTCAATTCTTCTTTTGCTGGATCCTCAAAATGCCCACATCCACTCCACCACCACCCAACATGAGGGCAGAAAGAGATCAGAATTTTAGCCAATTACAGCTAAAATGTCTGCTTTTGTCAAAAGCAAATGACCAAATGGATACATTGCCAGGGCCCCTCCAGAGCCTCAGAAAGGGCCTGCTGAAGTTGCCTTTTGCTATGGGATGAATCAAACCAAAACACAGTGGCTTAAAATAAGATGAATTATTTTATTTCTGAATTCTGAAGGTCTGCTGGGCTTGGCCAGGTGATTCTCATTCTTGTGGTCTCTTATGAGGTCAGTGGTGGCTAGGGCTGAAACCATCTCAAAGCCTTCCTCACTCACATCTCATGGGTGATCCCAGCTGTTGCTGGAACCTCATCTGGGACTATCGGCCAAAACACTCAGAACTTCTCCATGTGTCTGGGCTTCCTAGAAGACACTGTTCAAGTAGAGGGCAAGACAATCAAGAATCTCAAGCTCTATTTCAAAACATTTCTTCCCACTCCACTACTGCTCTATATATTTTTCACAATACTTTATACCTTCTAACGTAATAGTTATTATAGAGGTACACGTATGTCTTACTATAACATAAACTCCATGAGGGAAGATATTTTTAGTTTTGCTCAATGAAATATCCCCAGTGCCAAGGAAGCACTGCCCTACACATTCATCCAAATAGTAAAATAATAAATATCTATTTTTAAACACTTTGTTAATTCTGCACACATTTACTTTTTCTAAAGGGAGAAATGTGGAACACTGAAAAGCTCCTTGAATCTTAGAATTTGTTTTTAATTAATAGACTTAATACATGGCATAACATGTTGTACTCAACTTACTCTTCATGCAACGTGTAAGCATAAATGCCAAAGATCTTACTTTCAAGCATCAGCATTAATATAGCAAGTTAGGAAGGTAGACGGTTTGGTAATTACAAAAGCTCTTGAAGTAGGCAAAAACCATTGTTTTACATGGTAGCCAAGATCACACTAATGATAAGTATTTCTGGCTTAACCAGTCCTCACAGCAATATGCTAAATTAATGAAAACAAACATGGGCATTGTTTGGGTGTTACTGACATCAACTACAAAACAGAAATGAACAGAAATTGAAAACTATATTGTCAAATACAATTAAAATAGCCAAATACATTTCTAGGTAAAATCTTTATAACTTCAAATACTGCCAGTTTTCTTTCAAAAACTTACAGTACTTGAAAGAACGAAAATCAGCTTAATCCAGCACAGGGGAAAGAAACACATGAGATAACTGAATTTTACAACCAAGGTCAGAGAGGATATCACACTATCACCGTGGGAGGAAGGGTGAGTGGGTAGAAATACCTGTTATTGGTTTTTAAGTAGATCATAGCCAAAGCTAGAGTAGCACCTGGACAAGTCACATCCACATTTATGGTATCTCCTTCCTATTGAAAGAAGAGTTTATGCATGTAAAAGAGTTCTAAATTTTTATAAAATTCCTCTGATAAGTATGCTTAAAATTAACATATTTACCAATGTCAGGATGAACACTAGTATTTTCCAATTAACTTCCCAGCTTCCAGACTTTTGATCTATTACTTTGCTGTGTACTTACTTTGATTTGATAACTTGGTGATTTATGTTTCTCCCTATGCATTCCTGTTTGAAAGCGCCTATGTCCTCCAACCATGTACTGATAGAGCTGCTCAGGCACATTGAGATCAGACATACCTATCAAATTGCTGCCGTGCTGGAAAAGACAATAACAGACGAGTGAAAAGAAATTTTATGGAGGAAGATCCATAACACATACCCATAACAAATATAAAAATGAACTAACTTCAAAGCAGGTTATTTCGGGTTTTGTTTTTTTTATTTCCAACTTAAAGCAAACATTAATCATGAGTTAATAAATATTAATAATTCTCATAAAAGTTTTAATACATGAATGTTCAACTTTAAGTACTGTCTTAAAATACATAAGAGCTTTAGAGTTAGTTACATTTAACAATAAAGAAAAATATTAGTTATATAATTGAAACCTGAACTGTAAATATCTGAATACTTTCATTATTGTACTTAAGAACTTTTCCAACAATAACTATGATAATAATAGTAATTTATTAAATGCATGCTCTGTGTCAGGCACTATTCTGTGTGTTTAACATGAATGAACAGCCATATCAAATAGCTACTATTAAAACCCTATTTTATAAATAAGGAAAGTGTGGCAAAGAGGGATTAAGCCCAAGGTTATACAGCTATTATAGTAAGTTGCAGGGCTATATATAAAACACGGCCATCTGGTTCAACAATCCATGAAGCTGATTAAGCAATAGACAATAATGTAGTTAAATGACTTGACTCACTAGTTAGGACCAGAATTCAAGTTGCAATTCCCTGTGTGATTCCTTTCTTTTTTTTTTGAGACGGAGTCTCGCCTTCTTGCCCAGGCTGGAGTGCAGTGGCACGATCTCGACTCTCTGCAAGCTCCGCCTCCTGGGTTCACACCATTCTCCTGCCTCAGCCTCCCGAGTAGCTGGAACTACAAGCGCCCACCACCATGCCTGGCTAATTTTTTTTGTATTTTTAGTAGAGACGGGGTTTCACCGTGTTAGACAGGATGGTCTGGATCTCCTGACCTCGTGATCCGCCCATCTCGGCCTCCCAAAGTGCTGGGATTACAGGCATGAGCCACCACACCCAGCTGATTATTTTCCATTATACCACCAGCCTCTTTAGCTCACGTGCCAATGTGAATTCAAGGCCCTAATAGATGGTCAACCACGAGGTGGATTTTCAGAACACACATGAGAAAAAATTCCTTCCACTACAACTTTTTTTTTTAAGATGGAGTCTCACTCTTGTTGCCCAGGCTGGAGTGCAATGGTGTGATCTTGATTCATCACAACCTCTGCCTCCTGGGTTCAAGCGATTGTCCTGCCTCAGCCTCCCGAGTAGCTGGGATTACAGGCATGCGCCACCACACCTGGCTAATTCTGTATTTTTAGTAGAGATGGGGTTTCTCCATGTTGGTCAGGTTGGTCTCGAACCCCTGATCTCAGGTGATCCGATCACCTTGCCTTATAACTTTCTTTATATCATTTAGTTTGACCATAAGAATGTATTGGTGGTTTTTCAAGGGGAACCACATTTCAAGTGAAACAATCATTTAATGAAACATTTCTGGTAATTCTGTACACATCTCTTGGATGGAGTTAAAGATGGGTCAATCTGATACTGCATTTTGTCACAAGGAAGATGCTACTGGGACAACATTCTGGGATACACAGTGAACATCACTATGGCAAAAGGGGGTTAGGGTTTGTTTCAAGCAGCTACTATAGACTCTTAAGGCTCCTGATCATATACATTTTCACTATTCTCTGTTTTCAGTCATAGTGGGCTGTCACTTATTCATTCTATGTCTTGAACACTTTAAAAAAAAAACTTTATTCCCTTTAGTTTGTTCATGAACACTGTAAGCTGGAGGAAAAGAAATCTTAAAGTCTCACTCTTGACCACAGTTTCTCTCAATTTGCAAATCTGGTACCTTGAAAAATATCCAAAAAGACAAGAGAGCTGGGCAGAAGATTAAGTCGTAGTAAGGGACAATATTCAGGTTTAGGTGTCAACGTTATTTGTCTCAACATGTAGATGTCCTAACTGAAGCATGGGAAGGCATAGGCTATGCTTACCCCCAAGCAGACCATGCCCAGGGCCAAGCCAGCAGCTAAGGAGTATGACTTTCTGTCAGTGCAGTATTCCATTTCAGGACCAGGAGGCCGTCCTGTAAAAACAAAAGCAACACAGTTCAAACTAGCTTCTCAAAATCTCATCTCATAAAAATCTTAGAGTTAACTTTCTAGCAAGTTGCACTGGAGATACGAATGGGATATAACTATTCAGAAAGTTATGACACTATAATAAATGATGTCCACAACTGTAGGTTTACCTACCAAAAAAAAAGGGCCCAAAATAGTTCTTTTTAAATTGCCAATTTAAGTCTTTATAAGCAATGATATTCAAATACTGTGAAACTTTGAGTCTTATCAAAAAAATTACCAAGTAGTAGAAAAAAATTTTAAAGGAAAAAAGGTAAGAGTATTCAAAAAAAAGTTTTATTATTTTTTTTAAAACATCTCGGCCAGGTGTGCTGGCTCATGCCTGTAATCCCAGCACTTTGGGAGGCTGAGGCAGGTGGATCACTTGAGGTCAGGAGTTGGAGACCAGATGGCCAACATGGTGAAACCCTGTCTCTACTAAAAATACAAAAATTAGCCAGGGTGGCAGGTGCCTGTAATCCCAGCTACTCGGGAGGCTGAGGCAGGAGAATCGCTTGAACCTGGGAGGCGGAGGTTGCAGTGAGCCAAAATCAGGTCACTGCACTCCAGCCTGGGCGACAGAGTGAGACACCATCTCAGCAACAACAACAACAAAATATCTTACATTTTGTTTTCATTACTTTCAAATCCACACATCACATGTGGTGAAACATGTTCGAATGATGATAATGAATAAGGAGGTCACTTACTTACGTTGTTAAGCTGTTAAATACTATGTTTAGACATTTATTTCGAGTGTATATAATAATGAGCCCTACTATGGTAGAATTTCTGTGTACTGATCCTAGAAGTCTGACTGGATACAAAATTCACACTTTTAAAAGCACCCTATAACTCTAACACTACCTTGTTGAAAACGACAAAATGTACTATGTATTAAAACCCTTCCCTCTGAAAAAATGTTCACATTCCTGAAATTTTATCCCTATAGGAAAAAAATGCAATTTAAAAAAAAAGAAAAAAGGCTGGGCGTGGTGGCCCTTGCCTGTAATCCCAGCACTTTGGGAGGCCAAGGCAGGTGGATCACTTGAGGTCAACGAGTTCGAGACCAGCCTGTCTGACATGGAGAAATCCCATCTCTACTAAAACTACAAAAATTAGCCAGGCATGCTGACAGACACCTGTAATCCCAGCTACTTGGTAGGCTGAGGCAGGAGAATTGCTTGAACCTGGGAGGCAGAGGCTGCAGTGAACCGAGATCGCGCCACTCCGCTCCAGCCTGGGTGACAGAGCGAGACTCTGTCTCTAAATAAATAAATAAATAATAAAAATTAAAGAAAAAATCACACACAAAGGTAATCAGTGTAATGTTTATACATAACAACAAAGGATTATTAGAAACAATCTAAAAGGTTCTAAAAGTTAAAAAAAGGCATTTTACAGACCATCAACTCAATGAATATTATACAAAATGTGTTTTAAAACCCATTTATAACAATGATCTATAAAAACAATTTTTAGGCTGGGCACGGTGGCTCACGCCTGCAATCCCAGCACTTTGGGAGGCTGAGACAGGCGGATCACAAGGTCAGGAGATCCAGACTATCCTGGCTAACACCATGAAACCCTGTCTCTACTAAAAATACACAATAATTAGCCAGGCGTAGTGGCGGGCGCCTGTAGTCCCAGCTACTCGGAAGGCTGAGGCAGGAGAATGGCGTGAACCCGGGAGGCGGAGCTTGCAATGAGCCAAGATTGCACCACTATACTCCAGGCTGGGCAACAGAGCAAGACTCTCTCAAAAAAAAAAAAAATTTTTTTTAATGTACATTCTGACAGTAATTATATAAAAAGGCATATACATATGAATTAAAGATGAAATCTTCTATATACAGTGTGAAAGAGGTATGCCGCAGCTGTGAGACTGTGCAATGACACCATTAGACATCATCATGATATAGCCAAAGAAGGGTAGACTACTTTGCAGATGAACATGCTTTAACAACCAGTGTTGAATATTTTCAGAATAAGCGTTTTTCAGATCTCTGACTTATGCTACCATGTATTGTGATAGCCAAAACATTTCAACTTTGGGAATAATTTCATTTATCATTATAGTAGACTAAATTATGGGTCCCAATCTTCACTGGTTCTCTCCTAGGTTTCTATCAACACCACGAGAGAAACACACCCTCCAGCCTGGGTCCCAGAATGAGGCAGGTGAGGCAGAACGGCAGCAGAACAGCCGGCTACACATCTACAGCCTAAAGCAGAGCTGCCTGGGCCAATGCTATGCCTGTATGTATGTAGCATCACTGTGGCAATAGCTATCTGATACAATGATACTAAAGAATAATACATCTTTAACAATATATTCACAAATCCATATAGAAAAGATCTTGAATAGGACATATAAGTATGTAACTAAATTGTTGAGCATATTAATAATGCCAATAGCATTTCCATTTGGCAGAAAAAGATGACAACACATTAAGATTTCCAAAAAGTTTGGACCCAATAAAAAACAGAGACAATGTTCACTAAAGTGAGTGTGTGGACCTTACCATTTCCAGGTTCATCACCAACATACCCACCAGCATGTAAAGGAGGAAAGCAGGAGTCCATTACTTGACTTCTATTGGAAGTGCTGTTATCCAACACAGTAAACACTGTGATGTGTTTAGTTTAGTGTCTCTCAGGGACCAAAACAATCTACTCTGAGTTTTAAGTGCAGGCCACTGCTAGACACTGCTGGTAAAGCCGGATAAACAGCATACTCATAGCTGATTAAAACCACAGGTACCTCATTAAATGTGACCACTGGAATTCAGTAATGAGCTAGCAAATAAACATGGAGGTTAATAACCTGCAGTTACATTAGCCTTGGATAACATTACTTAGAGTTTTGTTGTTTTTTTTAATTAGTACTAGATCATTCTTTGCTCACAAAAGCTACCATTGTCTTTCCTTAATTTTTATAATTTTACTATTTAATTGGGTTAATGTGGAGTGGAGAGTACATGCCTATGAAGATTCAGCACTATTAATCCCATACCTATCTCAGCCAACAGGACTTCTGCAGTATGTCTGTGAGCTGTCCCTTGATATACAAGGCCAATGCCAACCACTGCAGCCACTTGGACATTGTGAGGAACATCCAGCTCTGTGGACGTTGGGGGTAAGAGAGCAGGAATGCGAATGCTAAGAAGCCGAGTAATAGACATATCCATGGTGCCTAGTTTTGCAGCAGAAACACCAAGTAGCAGTCCAATGCTTGTCATTTCATGGCCCTAAGATAGAAACAAAACAAATACATAGTTTAAAATAAAATACTGCCTGCCACTTTCAAGAAGTACTTTTATGTTGACAGGCAAGGTGAGAGGCACTGAGAATACAGCAGTAAACTAAACAAACATGGTCCTTGCTCTCATGGACCTAATGACTTAATAGGAAAAAAAGTGTTAAATTAAAAAACATAAACAAATATATTATTAAAAAGTAGTACAATAAGAAAGTACAAAGTATTATGAAAGAGTATTTTAAAATAGCTTAATTTAGATTGGGAGGGACTAGAGGATTATTAGGGATGAAATCTCTAAAGATTATACAAAGAAATTTATATTAGGACCTGAAGGATGAAAACAAATTAGCCAGGAACAGTGGCAGGAAAGAGGACACTCAAGTTTAGAAGGTGAGGAAGACTGTTTCAGGTGATAAAACAGCATGTAAATAAATGGCTCTGAGGCGATTCAGAAATGAACCCTCACATTAACATCAACTGACCACAAGGGTGCCAAGACAATTCAACAGGTAAAGGGCAGTCTTCAAAAAACAGTGCTGGGACAAGTGGAAGGACACATTCAAAAGAATGAGGCTGGACTCAACACAATATAACAAGTGTTGGCAAAAATATGGAGAGATTGGAACTCTCATGTATTGCTGATGGGGTTGTATAATGGTGCAGTCATTATGGAAAACAGTTTACAGTTCCTCAAAAAGTTTAACAGAGTTACCATATAACCCAGCAATTCCACTCCTAAGTATGTACCACTACTTACCATTACTTCATTACTCTTGAGTAATGAAAACATACATCCGCACAAAAACATGTATACAAATGTTCATAGCAGTATTATTCGTAATAGCTAAAAAGTACAAATAACCCAAATGTTCATCAACTTATGAATAAAATGTACATTCATAAAATAAAACATTTATTCAACAATAAAAAGGAATGTATTGCTGATAGATGGTACAACATGGATGAACCCTAAAATTATCAGGCTAAGTGAAAGAAGCCCATCCTAAAATACCATATTTTGTATGACTCCGTTCATATGAAAGGTCCAGAAAAGGCAAACCCATAGACACGGAAAGTAGATTAGTGGTTGGCAGGAAGTGAAGTGAAGGTGGGGGGGTGAGGTAGAGGAATGGGGAGTCACCACTAGTGGGTACAAGGTTCCTTTATGGGGTGAAAAGATGTTCTAAAATTAACAGTGGTGATGGATGCACAACTCTGTGAATGTACTAAAAACCACTGTACCACACACTTTAAACAGTGAATTGTATGGTATGTGAATTTTATATATTTATATAAATAAAGATTCCTTAAAAAAAAAATAACGCTGTGAAGTGAAAGAGTTTAGTTTGCCAGAGAGCTAAAATAGCCAATCTGTATGGTTAGAGTGTGGGGGAGCAAGAAGAGTGGGGCTGGGTGCAGAGGCTCACGCCTATAATCCCAGCACTTTGGGAGGCTGAAGCGGGCAGATCACCTGAGATCAGGAGTTCAAGACCAGCCTGGCCAACATGGTGAAACCCTGTTTCCATCAAAAATACAAAAATTACGCAGGTGTGGTAGTGTGCACCTGTAATCCCAGCTACTCAGAAGGCTGAGGCAGGAGAATTGCTTGAACCTGGGAGGTAGAGGTTGCAGTGAGACGAGATCACACCACTGCACTCCAGCCTAGGTGACAGGGTGAGACTCCACATCAAAAAAAAAAAAAAAAAAAAAAAAAAAACGAAGAACAGTGGTACCACCTAGGGCTGGAGAAGTGAACAGGATCACACCAGCTCCTAGAATGTATATTAAGAGCAATGGTCGATCCCCCTTTGCCCTCTGGTGTTGGGAATTTTGGCCTTGTTCTAAACCAGTTTCCCTTCACAGAAGTTCAGCCATCGTGTGGGATCAGAATAAGGTCCTGGGGCAACTAAAGGTATCTGGCCAAGGGTACATCCGAAGGACCCTACACCGGCCCCCAGTCCCCAACAGCCTGTTCAGGTGTCGGACAAAGACTTCCAATCTTTCCTATCATGTTTTTCCTACTGCTCTTCTGAGAAATGTTACTTAGTTATGTGTCTCTTTGAGAAATTGCTTCTTTTCAGGGCAGGATGCTGGGTTATGCTTGATGAAGCTAAATAAACTGCCAGCCAGATGAGAATTATAGACAAATAATATGCAGGGACCCCCCCGGATTCATCTTAGTCTTGAGCTCATATAGAATTCAGAGAAATCAAAGGCAGTTGACAAGGAGGGTCAAGGCTGAGTGCAAGTGAACGCAACTACTCCTGCTGGCTTGATCCCCCCCTGGTCATGAATGGTGGCTGCGCGCACATCCACGACCAAGGTAAGCCTGAGAGACGCCTTGGACTCTAGCACAGCAGAGGGAAAGACTAAGGATGCCTTTTTCTCCCCTCTCTCTTTCTAAATGGGTAGCCTGCACTCCTCTCAAGTGCGAGACATTGGGACTCCTTTGATCCTCAGACTCTGAAGAAAAAATACCTGGTATTTATCAGTAGCAAGGCTTGGCCCAGCTAGAAGTTGGAAGATGGGGAGACCTAGTCAGCTGGGGAAAATAACAACTATAATACTATCCTATAGCTAGATCTCTTCAACCACAGAGAAGGAAAATGGTCCAAAATTCCATATGTATAGGCCTTTTTTGCCCTGCAGAATAACCGCAAGCTCTGTCAGCAATGTATAATAGACCTTGCACTTATAGCAGTGATATCCAGCCAGACTTAATCCAGACAGAAGGGAAAAAACAGTCTGCCTCCTTAGAAGAGGAGACAGAGGCCCCTGCACCAGCCCAGGTCCCAGCTCCTCTTGGATCATCTCGTCCCCCTTATCCAGGCCCCCTTTTGAACCTCATCCTGTTAGAAGAGTTCGACCTGGATGCGCTCCAGCATCACTTCTTCCTTTACAGGAAATGCATAGTGAATATGGTCCTATCAAAGTACAAGTCCCCTTTTCTTTACAAGATTTGAGGCAGATAAAAAGAAATCTAGGACAATTGTGTCGACCTGGATAGGTATATTGAAGCCTTTCAGAACCTTAATCAAATGTCTGAGCTTTCATGGAAGGGTATCATGTTACTTCTCAACTAGACTCTTAGAGCTTCAGAGAAGCAGGCGGCTTTACAGGTCACTGAGACATTTGGAGATGAAATGTTTATCTTATTATGGCACCTACCAAAAGGGGGAAGAAATTAGGGAGCCCTTTCTGACAGCCAAGCAGGCAGCATCCACCAATAATCCTCAATGGGACTCAGACACTGCTCTAGGAAAGTGGCCGAGAAAACATTTTTAGGGATGCACAGTGGAAGATCTGAAAACTAGAGGCAAATCTCTCAATTACATTAAGTTATCAACCATAAACCAAGGGTCTGAAGAGAACCCTTCTGTTTTCCTGGAAAAAACTGAGAGAGGCTTTAATTAAACACACATCTCTCTCCTGACTCTATAAAAGGATAGTTAATTTTGAAAGACAAGTTTATAACCCAAGCAGCCCCAAATATTGGAAGAATGCTGCAAAAAGTTAGCTATTGCACCAGACAGTACTCTAAAGAAAATCCTGAAAGTCACCACCTTGGTCTTTTATAATCGGGACCATGAGGAAGCCCAAGAAAAAGGGAGAAAAGGAACGAGAAAAAGGCAGAGGCACTAATAGCTGCCATACAGGCATATAAACCTCTCGATCCCAGGGAGCTTCTCATTCTATGACCGACTGTTATCAGTGTGGGAGCACTAAAAGAGAGTCTGCCCCCGAAATCAGAAGCAGCCCCCACGGCCCTGTCCAATCTGTAAGGGAGACTACTGGAAGACAAACTGCCTCCAGAAACATACGTCCCAAGGTTCAGAGCCGGCTTCTCAAATGGTCCAGCAGGACTGATGGGTCCCAGGGCTCTCCTCCCCAGCTCTGACAGCCCAGGCTGCATTACCATCCAGGAGTCCCGGGTGAGTCTGGAGGTCAAAGGACTCAGAGGACAGACTTCCTACTCAACACCAGAGCAGCCATTCCTGTTCTCCTCTCCATTCTGGGCCTCCCCTCCTCCCTTAGCACAACTGTGAGGGGCGTCTCAGGAAAGCCTCTGACTCGATATTTTTCTCAATCCCTTAGCTGTACCTAGGGAGACCTTTCGTTTACCTATGCCTTTTTAATCATACCTGAAAGCCCGACTCCTCTGAGGTAGGGATATTTTAGCTCACATGGGAACCACCATCCTTATGGCTCCAGGACAGACTCTTTGCCTCCCTCTGGTGGAGACTGATATTAATCCAGGTGTTTGGGCAATTCAGGAAAATACTGGCTGAGCTACAACAGTCTCACCAGTCCAAATCCATCTCAGGGATCTCATCTCCTTCCCTAATTAAAGACAATATCCCCTAAAACCAGAAGCTAGGAAACAACTAGAAGCCATCATTAATAACCTAAGGATGCAGGGCCTTGTTAAACCCTGTGACAGTCCTTGTAATATCCTAATATTGGAAGTACAGAAAGAAACCCAACAGGGAATGGAGACTGGTCCAGGATCTCCACCTCCTTAATGAGTAACTGGTGTAATTAACCAATTTACCCAGTGGTTCCCAATCCCTATACTTTGTTAACTTAGATACCTGAAGGAACTAAATGGTTTGCATTCTTGGAATTAAAAGATGCTTTTTTTCTGCATACCATTATACCCCAACTCCCAAAACTTGTTTGCATTCAGGGATCCCTCCAACCAGACTACCCAGCTAACCTGGATGGTGTTACCACAGGGATTCCAAGACAGCCCCCACCTGTTTGGGCAGGCAATCTCAAAAAGATCTCTCTGAGTTCTTTCAAACTCAAGTTAGTCTTAATATGTAGATTACACTCTACTCTGTGCCCCAACTGAGGAAATTTCTCAGAAAAGCAATAAGGCTCTTCTTAATTTTCTAACTGACAGAGGACATAAAGTTTCAAAGTCCAAGGCTCAACTCCGTCAGACTTCAGTGAAGTACCTATGCCTGGTCTTGTCAGAAGGGACCAGGACACTGGGCGAGGAGAGAATTGGATCCATTTTCTCCTTCCTTCTCCCCAAGACCCTCAGCTAACTAAAGGGATTATCAGGCATTACTGGATTCTGCAGCCTATGGATCAGAAATCTAATTAAAAGCATTGCAATGCCTAATTATAACATATCTAATAATCTAGGGGGACATGCCCATGACAACCCTATTTTGCAAAATCCTGGAATAGAACAGTCCATTTTCAGAGGTTTTCTTCCTGTCCTTTCTAGGTGTCCCTAATATATGGGCATGGATTTTCCCCCTTTTAGTTCCTCTTTGTGTTCTCATTGTAATACTCATATTTGGTCCATGTGTACTTAACCTCCTTGTAAAATTTGTTTTTTCTCGCCTAGAGGCCATCAAACTCCAAGTGGTCATGCAAATGGAACCTCGGTTGATGGCTCTCTTTTACCAGGGGACACTTAGATAGGCCTCTAAGAGAGACCTGACTGCTGTTTCCCAAAACAACACCCTCTGTCAGCATGAAGCAGAACAGTCATCACCCCTATCCGAACAGCAGTTAGATATACCTCTTCAGAGCGGGGATTGATGGCGGTAGGAGGCAGGTAAATTCTCAGATGAAACTCAACCTTCAAGCCAAGGACAGTCGAAAGCCTGAAAACCAAGCTACAAGTTCTGGATAAATCCATGGACTAGAGAGCTCTCATTCCTGTTTGGCATGCTCTCTCCTGATTGGTCCTTATCCTTCACCTACTTTACATATACCTGCCCTTCCCCAGTTGGTCCTCTACACTATCGTGCCTATTTCTAAATGGTGCTTTTTCAAGCATACCCACAGACCAATCAGCATGCACTTCCCCCATTTCAAGCCCATAAAAACCTCTAGACTCAGCCTCGTGGCTGGCAACCCACCTTCGGGTCCCCTCTCGCTGTTGAGAGCTTTCTTGTCACTCATTAAATTCTACTCTGCCTTACTCAGGGAAAAAAAAAAAAAAAAAAAGCAATGGGAGATCATTAATTAAATGGCTTTGACCAGGGAAGTGACATACTCTGATTTATGCTTTAGAAAGATTATTCCATGTACTATGAGACAAATGGACTTAGAAGTACAAGAATGAAGAAAGAAGAGCAAATAGAGCAATTAGGAGCTACTACAATAGCCAGCCAAGGCACAAAGCCAGGCACTGGGAGCACAGGTCTCACCTTGGTCAAGTAGTCATGGATATTGAGAGTCGCCAGCTTGGTAAGGTGCCCATTCAAACCCAGAGCCATGAGAAAGCCAGCATACTCATTGGCCAACTCAGCATGCTTGGGCTTATTGTAAACAATCCAAGCTGAGTCGATCTGGGAGGCAGGAGCTATCTTCAGGCCAGCAGCCACACCATTATGAAAGCTGGCCCAGCTTGTCATGTTGGGAGGCACATCGATGTTTCCACTATTAAGGTCTACTGTTGTGTTCCGAGGAGGGGCACGCCCTATCCAGCCAAACGAAGAACATTGAGAGAATAAAAATCCACAAAACCAAGATTGTTAAATTTAGATCTTTGAGACTAAGATTACTTACGTTTTCTACATTCAAAACCATTAACCCCATAATGCCTGGAACGTTAGGTCTCTATGACCACTTAAAACTTTTGTACATGTGAGTCAAACTTAATGGAACTGGAAAAACCTTCACTGTCTAAACAGTTCATTGTCCTTTTTGTTAAAATGTATGAGGCTATATAATGAGATAACTGATACCAATTTAACATTATACAGAGATGACTGGGATAATCACTCATTTTTTCTTTCAAACAGAGAGCTTAAAAACCAAAGTGAAGACTAACATCACTGTTAAACTATACAAGTTATAAATCCCAACATCTGATGACACTGATGTTAATTTCAAATGTTCTATCCTATATTTTCCCCTAGACATTAAGGAAAAATGACATCTTAAGAAAAGACAAAAGCCAGGCCTGGTGGTGCGTGCCTGTCCCAGCTACTTGGGAGGCTAAGGCATGAGAATCACTTGAACCTGGGAGGCAGAGGTTGCAGTGAGCCAAGATCATGCCATTGCACTCCCACCTGGGCAGCAGACAGAGACTGCATCTCAAAAAAGAAAAAAAAAAAGGAAACAAGAACCTTAATAAATCTGCTACAGGTCTTACCTATATATGCCCCCTTCTCTCTCTTTTTTTCTCTCTCTCTCTATATATACATACAGATATAGATATCTAATTATATGCTATCGTTTAAAATGCTTAGAGATAGTTTTGTAAAAAGCATCCTTTTATAGACTTGAGTCACCCAGGGAACTTCAAAAGGGCATTCACCAGATTATACTTTTACGGTCCATTTATTTAAGAACAATGTAAATTATATGTTCACAATGCTATATGTTCCCTACGAATTTTTTCTTGATTCTTTTCTTTTTGATCTACATTATACACAGCAAACATTGAATCTTTTTAAATATATTTTGAATATTGTCTTAAGTCATGGATAAAATAATTAACATAAATATTTTAATTACTGCATAAAGTTATCCATTTCACTGCAGCTTTAAAAATACCATTTTTAAAGAGTTCTAAGATGTTATGTAAAATAAATTTTAAGTAGATGCAAAGTGTCTTATTTGTAGCATGTACACATACACACACAAAGCACAAAGTAAGACTTATTTGTCTTTACTATATGCTTTTTGTACCTAAAAGCTAACTCAACTGCTAGTGTTAGCACCACAATGAGTAATAAGTTCATAAGTTACACTTGTACTTTCTCAAAAAAGGCAGACATATCAATATGAAAAAACTGAGTGACCTTTCTGAAACATTCATTCATCATATGCAAGAGACATAATATTTATACACGAGAGAAAATAAAATGCAAAGGGTAAGGTAAATTTTCTTCAATGAGAATAACAACATACAAAAGTACAACAGGCCACATCAGTGTGGGTTAAGCAACTATTTAAGAAAATATTCTTTCCTAAATTAAGAGGATAACCTTTCTTTTTGGCCTACCAGAATGACTAAAAGAATAAAATGTTGGATTAATGTCATAAACACATTTTAAATCATGCAAATTCAATTAAATGTATTCAGAAAAAAAGATGCATGTATATATTTTTTAAACCCACCCAAGTATCACTTGAGTGCTAAATCACCCAGATTGAATACATTTTAACATTTGCCAATTTTGCATTAGATTTTCTTTTTAATCTGCACTTAGTATATGAAATCTTTCATATAAACAGTTGGAAAGACTACTAAAATGAACATCTATATACCATGCCTTCCATCAAGAATCAATAATTGTTAAAATTTTGCCATAGGTGCTTTACCTCTGAGACAATTTAAATATTAAAAGCCACTCTGCTCACTATGTCCCTCAGTGAGATTAGGGCTCAGAATAAGCATGGTATGGAGATGGGAATGTGTTCTTTCACTTAGTCAATCTCATTTCCTGCATGCTGCTCAAAGCACAAGCTTTTCACAAATCTGAGTGGAACTCTGGATTTTTTAAAGTATGCAATTTAAAATACTGTATAATTATGTTTGCATATATTATGTACTATTTATCATATATTAAATTATACATTATATGCTACCACATATACTATACACTACTACAACATACATTATACATACATTTTGTATAGGTTTCACAAAACCATATATACTATAATAGAGTTTCAGTGATAATTTCAACTATGTAATTGTCACCTTTAGAACACATTCAAATCAGCATTAGGGGGACATGCACTATAAAATTCATTGTAATCAAGATTATAACTACAGTTATATATGGCAGAAATAAAAACTTGTGCCAGCCAGAAAGGCAATTTGACATGTTCCTTAAAACCATTCATCTTGCTGTCCTAAGAGTTCTACTTCTAAGCATTTAGCCTAAATACACAGGACGAATACGCCCCAACAATGTTTATAATACCAAAAAACTGTAATTTCCAACAATACCAGGCTGCTTCTATAAACTATGGTATATCCGCTGAATGAAATACTCTGAAGCAAATAAAAATGAATGTATTGATTAAAAACACGTGTATACAATACATACACATAATTATAAACACATACATTTATTTGCTAGATATAAAAGGATGTTCACTGTAAATTTTTAAAAAAATCTAAAATAGATATAAATTTTCTGATAATTAAACAAATATAAAATTATAAATATGTGGAAATAAACTTAGTAAACATATATACTAAAATGTTAAAAGGAGTGATGCAGAAGAGTGGGAGTACTGCAAGTGACCATTGTTTCTCTTTTTGCTTAGTACATTTCTTGATTTATACAATGATCATCTGTTTAAACTATGACGTAAGACATTTTAAAACTAAATATTTTTACATATTAAACTTAAGATTATTTAAAATTCAAGTCTCATCGTTATCAATAATATCTTTCTGAACTTCTCCAAGTGACTTTTTAGATCTTGAAATCACCTCATTAAAAAGCAAAAATGAGTAATGAACTATATTCTGCTTCTCTCAAAGTTTAGTTTCACATGGCATTTGAGCTTTGATAACCACTACAGCAGCTATTAGGAAAATTTTAAATCACTGGGGATAGAGGGAGCATTTCTTTTGTTTTAACTAATTTAAAGAACTACACTTAATGCATGTACTTAATCATTTTCCTTTCTCATTGAGCCCAGAATTTAACATACCAGTCAGATTCAATTTAGGAATAGGCAATGGCTCTGTTGGAACAGGATGGTACGAAAACAAGGTAAACATTCCTCGTCCTACAGGAAGAGCCATAGTTCGCTGACACAATTGGAGCAATCTGTAATTAAAGTAAAAACCAACATGTGAAAATGTTTAAAGCAAAGAGCAATTGAAATATCATCTGTAAGTATTTCAAAAGAAGGTGTACTGTATAAGATGAAGTTGTCTCAAAGTAAATTCATACACAGATGTGAGTGAACTACCCAAACATGATTATTTTCATTTTAATATTCTTGTTCCTATTACACTCTTAGGGAGAGACATATTTCCTCTGTTTTGTTTCATATTTACATTGAATGAAAACCACCTGGCCTATAAACCAAGCCGACTCTCTCTAGGCATTCAAAAAAAAAAAAGAAATTTAAAATTCCACTCCGATGGATGCTAACCTTCTCAAAGGAAAATACAGTACTTTTGGGGTTTTTATCACTGTGTTAATTTCAGTCTAGCTGTCCTCAGTACATGTGGGATCCTCCTCCCATCCCTTTTGCCAATACAGCCTCAGAAGTACCATTTCTGTGGCCTGTACACAAGAAAAGAAACAAGGTCCTTGTGTTAGAGGTGAATGGATTTCATGGTGTCTCCAAGGGAAATACAGATTGGTTTCACTTACATGATGGCTAGATTTATAGGACTAATACCATTATGTATCAGGTATGTTCAAGGTTAAAATGGTTTCTGTTGGCTCTACTGTGAAATTAATACACCACTCTTCAACTTCTTCCTATGTTAAAATAGCTTAACATTCCATATAGCCACTTAAAAAAAACTAACAGAAATTTTGGAAGTAGGGCATTTATAACTAAGAAACGCCTATACAAGCTATATCTGAAGACACAGAAATATCCCTTCAGAGGCTGACAACTGACAAACATTTTCTCTGCAGACAAAGCTATTCATAAGCATACACCCTCCTTAACTGGACACACATAACTGCTTTTCTAGCTAACTGGAAAGAAAAATTTTGCTGTCTTAAAGATTCTCTGGGAACACAACCGCAACATTAATTTGGGATCAGGAAAATTCAAAGCCAAGAGTCTGTTGCAACCCATAGAATTTTTTTAGAGGAAATCTTACACATAATTCACTTCAACTTTGCACAAGTAACAAAATTATAATGAGAACAATATTATATCCCCTGAATATAAGATGCCACTCATAAGATGTATCATTATTTCATGAGAAACTAAGAAAGAAAAAGCACTGCCAATTAAACTATGACGCCTGTTCACTGAAATACACAACTGATTTCAGAGATATTAAAAAGTGAAAAAACTTGCATCTTAGAATCAATGAACTCTACTACTAATAATGGCTGACTGCACTGAGCTTTACTATGTATTGAGCAGTATTCTAAGTGCTATGTAAAAATAATTCACTTGATACACAGCACCATCCCATGAAGTATGCCTACTTTTACAAATGAAGAAACTGAGGCAACAAGAGGTAAAGTAATTTAACCAAAGTCACCCAGCACAGCATGGCCATGCCTGGCTCTAGAGGCCATGCTCATAAATCCTATGCTCTAAACTCAACTTCTGTCACTCCATCTTTTTATTCACAGGTGACTAATAACTGGGTACATGTGGAGAGGAAACAGTTAATAGGGAAATCACAACTAATTCAGATCTTCAGCAGCCTGTGGCTAAGTGTGGGTGATGGTTCCCCTCAAAACAGTACCATAAAAAAAGTAAAGAGAACTAGAAAACAGTGGCAGATGAATGATAGATGATAGAGACAAGCAGATAAAAGAACAGGAGAGAATTTTAAAACAGAAGTGTCCCAAGAGAATAGCTCTGGAATGTCATAGGCATGTGAGTCTTATAATGTATCAAGGGATGTATCCTGTGCAGGGGAGTGGCAGAAGAAAGGCTTATCTATTTTTATTTGGAGTATCATCTATCATATCCAAAAAAAAAAAAATACTCATATAAGTTTAAACTACACTAAAAACCCCACTAACCTCAAAATCTATTCCTGATCAAGACACAGAAAAACAAGTCCAGTGTTTTCTTTGTTTGTAAATTCTTAAGGTAACTATCAGGCAAAATAGTTTTACATTCACCTTTTCTAAAGAGTAAAGTGTTATATGTATTTCAAGAGGAGGACGATATGAAATACAACAATTACGTCCTCAAAAGCCAAAGACATTTTGCTAACACACGTGGTTTGTTGAAGTTGGATGAAAACTTAAAACACAGGGCATATTTTCACTTGAAAGTATCTTTTAAATCTCTTTAGGGTTTTAAGTGCTAAAAACTTGAAGGAAAAACAAATATACACAAGACACAAATGTAACAATGAAACATGACAAGAGATAGTGCACGTGTTTTCTTTCACCTGTTTTCCTTTTCCTCGATGAACTCGTGGTCACTGAGCTCTGGGTACTGCACTACATTGACACGGACAGGATGCGCACTCTGAAGAAGCCTTCGCACATCCTGCACCCTTAAATCTTCACTCCATATTAATGACATGACCTCGTGATTCATGTCATTCATGCCGTCATCTTCCTCCTCAGTTTCTGTTCCTGAAGGAACATCTGATGAGAGCACCTGAGTAACAGACTTTATTGTAATAATAATTTCAAAAGCAGTTAACATGCACTTGCTGAACATGAGGATATATAGGCTGATGTGTCATGACTATACTAGCACAGAGAAAATATGTTTTCCAAAGCAGGCATGGGTTGGAGCCGCAATGTATACTGGGACTCTAATCTACAAATCTTTCTAAAAAGTACTATATTGCTGGCCGGGTGTGGTGGCTCACACTCTGTAATCCCAGCACTTTGGGAGGCCGAGGTGGGCGGATCACCCGAGGCCAGGGGTTCCAGACCAGCCTGGCCAACATGGTGAAACCCGGTCTCTACTAAAAATACAAAAATTAGCTAGCCAGACACAGTGGCGCACGCCTGTAGTCCCAGCTACTGGGGAGGCTGAGGCTGGAGAATCACTTGAACGCGGGAGGCAAAGGTTGCAGTGAGCCGAGATCGTGCCACTGTACTCCAGCCTGGGTGACAGAGTGAGATTCTGTCTCAAACAAACAAACAAACAAAACAAACAAACAAACAAAAGTACTACATTGCCTACTTGGAAATATTTGGAAATGACGGGGAGAGTTTAAATTTAGGACAACAGTCAAGGGGCTGGATACAAACAGAGAAATATTCTGAATAAACTATAAAAAAAAATCTAACTCATCCTGATCATTTTAAAAAAGAAATTATTGCAAGTAGAATATGAATACTAGTCACTGCTAATAATGCTAATTTAAATATTGTCTGTTCATTAATAGAAGGAGAAGGAAAAAAGCCTGAAAGGATATACACCAAGGGTTGGGGGAAGTCACACAATGAAATACTTTCTTACTTTACTACTTTTAATAGACAGGATCATGGTTGGATTTCATTATTAAGTTTTTTTTTTTTTTTGAGACAGGGTCTTACTCTGTCACTCAGGCTGGAGTACAGTGGTGTGATCATGGCTCCCTGCAACCTCCACCTCTTGGACTCAAGCGATCTTTCAACCTTAGCCTCCCGAGTAGCTGGGACTACATATGTGCACTGGCCACCCAGCTAATTTTTTTTATTTTTTGTAGAGACAGAGTCTTGCCCTGTTGGCCAGGCTGGTCTTGAACTCATGACCTCAAGGAGATCCACCCACCTCAGCCTCCCAAATAGCTAGGACTACAGGCACATACCACCACACCTGGCTAAATTTTTTAAAAAATTGTTTAAGTAGAGATGAGGTCTCACTATGTTGCCTAGGCTGGTCTCAAACTCCTGGGCTCAAGCAGTCCTCCGCCTTGGCCACCCCAAAGTGCTGAGATTACAGGCATGCGCCACCACACCCAGCCAGTTTTCACTATTTTTTAAAAAATGTGTTTCCAATAAAAATTTCTTAGAAGGAAAAGTACTGAACTGCAGCGAAACAAGTAAGAGGGTAAATTCCTTGATTGTCATCATGTTCTAAGCCCAGCATGTGCTTTAATATGGGGCTTCCCAGTCCAAATAATTAAATCTAACTGCAACACAGATGTGAATTGCATGGAATCATATCATATTCTCTCAAAAACAGTATTATACTCTTTTAACAAAAGAATAACTCCAAGTTGAAATGTTAAAGTTTTGCAACATTTAATGTGAAACCAACAAGGTCAGCCTGAAAAAAAAGTAGATACGACCAAATAATCACTTTTAGTTCCTAAAAATTCATTTTTAGTTCCTACAAAATATCTAATTTAAAAAAAAAACTGTATTCTAATGGGTGAGTTAGCTATAAAACATAGTCTCAAACAGTGACAAAATAAATTTAGATGGGATTAATTATAAAATGTAGCCTCAAATAACTGAACAAACTGTATTTAGACATAATTACTTAAAATCACGTTCAAATACAGATTAATGTTTTAATGCTAATGGTGCTGAACTGCTCTCTCTCACAGGAAAATCATTTTATAAGCAAAAAGATTTGTTTTCTGTTTAAAACAGGATGTAAATACTAATTCAACGAAGAGCTGTGATAGAGGCGCAGATTAAAGGAGAGAGATGCTGGGATGACCCTGCTGGAGATCAGATGCCCATGGAAACTGACTCCGGCATGGGTACACATTAGGCAACTCTGAGGTTAGGAATAAGTTTTGATATAGGCTCTGAAGAAGTAGTAATAAGACCTAAGGTGACTCGTAGTTACAATGTACTGATTATTATGTATTGATTCAAAAGCTACTAAGAGGCAAGGCCAAATTCCCACTGTCTTCTCAGGGACATGAACATAAAAGAGTCACCAGGAGTGGAATTATTATTCCTGAATCCTCCTTGATGAGATTCTACTGTTCATTTTTTAAAGTTACCTAGAATTCTAGAATAAGTTTTAAAAGTTTCATTTTCAAGTTTTGAGGATGATTTAAAAAGATAATTGGAGAGTAATGAAATAATTTAACTTTCTACTTGCAGGATTCCTAGAACTCATTTAAAAAAAAAAACAGACTTGATGACTGATGAAAGACAGTATTTCGGGAGGGATAGCTTAAGACATGTTTTTAAACAACTCTACTGAAAAAAACACATTTTTTCCCTGGGGCTGCAGTTTTATGTGATTAAACAAATATGTTTACACCTATTTAAAAGGTTAAATTCAAAAAATTCAACACATCAAAAAATATGCAGTAGAAAATACTTATATATAATTACTCATCCAAATTCAGGATATATGTGCTCTCCCTTTTCCTATGTAATAATTACAAAGTGGTTAATTACTAATATGGTACAAGTAGGGAAATAGCCATGGTAGTTTCCATGACTACCCTCAGGACTTGTCCTGATTCAAGGCAAAGAAAGATCCAGGCACAAGACAGAACATTCACAAAATCTCCTGCTCCTAATGCTCATCTTAACAATTAATAAGACGCGTACAATTACAAACCCCGTCTGGCATATAATATAAAAGACAAGCTAATATATATACTTAGAAAAAGCCTTAAAGGAAAATGAAGAACATTTCTACTTTATGATTTTATTTAAGGCTAAAATTGGAACTCTGAACTTTCTATGTTGATACTCACAGACTTCCCTTTGGGTAAGTTTCCTTCGCAGGCCTGCTTGGAAAGATCCTGACGTCCAATCAAGAGACAGACAGCTTCTGGCCAGTCTGAGGCAGGCTGTTCACGACAGTGATAAATTGCATCTCTGATGGGAAGAGCAATTCCAAAGGGAAGAGTTTCCAAATCTCTTAAAGTGAATCCTAATGGTTAAAGGAAGAGAGAAAAATTTTAATTTAGACTCGCCACTGTCCCAATTATCCTGACTGAAGTTGGCAACAATATCTATCCTGACAAATAAGTTCATTTTATTCATCTTACTACCAGACTAATGTCTTGACATCAAGGACTAGTATAGGAAGTCTCTTTGAAAGAACTTGTAAAAACCTGAAGAAAAAAAGACAATCTAATAGAAAAATATAAAGGACAAAAAGACATTTCCTAGAAGGGGAAACATAAATGGGCAACATGCATATGAAAAGATGCTCTACCTAATTAGTGATCAGGAAAATGCAAATTAAAGCTACTGAGAAATATAAATGTCAAAGCCAATCAATACTAAATGTTGGCAACTATGTAGAGCAATAATAATTCTTTTTATTCTTTTTTTTTTTTTTTTTTTTGAGATGGAGTCTCGCTCTGTCGCCCAGGATGGAGTGCAGTGGCGCGATCTTGGCTCACTGCAAGCTCCTCCTCCCGGGTTCACGCCATTCTCCTGCCTCAGCCTCCCGAGTAGCTGGGACTACAGGCGCCCGCCACCATGCCCGGCTAATTTTTTTTGTAATTTTTTTTAAGTAGAGACAGGGTTTCACCGTATTAGCCAGGATGGTCTCCATCTCCTGACCTTGTGATCCACAAGAGCAGAAGAAGATTCTGATCATCATGACAGGACAAAAAACATAAACTAGGAAACAGGGACATACATGGCATATATGGTCACCCTACCAGCTGCAGAAAGCATAATTGGTGAATTATTTGCCCAACTGCTCCAGATCCTGGTCAGTAGCCCACACACTAGAATTATAGTTGCTGAGCCCATCCCCCCTTATTCCAAGAATCTCTGATTGGCTGCCTTGGAAGCTTTAGCTCTTCTCACTGTCATACCACCTTTGGTTCTACTGTCCAAATGCTGACCTTCTGTTATAACTGCAGGCAGCCTGGTGGTCAAGCAGATGTCCCCAAGAACTTCCTGGGGTTCTCTCTGAACTTTGAGCCATTTAGAATCACCAGGATGCCTTGGTCACTGTCAACATCAAAATGTGAATCTTCTTAGACACCACCGGTAGTTACCGTACCTCTAGAGGAACTGAGGGTTCTTCACCCACAAATGAAGACCATCTCTAAAGTGCCCCATCACATTCTAGAAGGATACAGCTGCTGGAAGAAAATAAAGTGTCCCACCACCACTCCCACAGTTCTTAAGCTCATACACACCAACAACCACTCCAGGAACCAACTGAAGACTTCAAATATCATAGTACCAGAGAGGGTTGATGCCAAACCCACTTCTAAAACTGTGTTCACTCTCTTGGAGTTACCAAACAGGCTTCACAACCTCAAAGCCATTTCACAATCTCCCCAAAGTCTCAATCTCCCCACAGTCTCCCCAGTCACAATCTCCCCAAAGTCTGCCTTCCCAGACTTTGCTGGTGACTGCCATCACTGACATAACAACGTGGCTGGAACCCTGCTGCTGCCAAAACCACCCTCCGACTCTCTGGCCAAGTCAAACCCCTCACACCACTATGGGAGTAGTGAGAACTCTCTGAAAGGCCACTAACACTTCTGTAAGCCACAACTACCAAAACAAGTCCTCTGAGCCCATGCCACTCACAGTCTTGTCATACCACACCTACCAGTGAACAGTATTGCCTTATAAGCATATAGTTCTGACTCAAGCAGCGTCAAGCCTAGCCTTTTCACAGGATAATTTCTAACAGTTGGGTCTACCCATGAGTTACACGAACCACTCTCCAGATTCAATGAGCTTCTATTACCTCTGTTACAACTATCACTCTTGTGAGTACAGACTAAGTTAACTCATAAGACTGTTTAGAAGATGCCTTTGCTACAAAGGGCACTCCTCGAAAGTTCTTCCTACCCTCCCAGACATTTACGATGTGTGAAGAGAAATGCCCCAACCAGTCACAATCTCCCCAATGTTTGAAGTAGTCAGAGGTATCACACAGTAACCTTGAACTACTTCTCTTAGGTGCCAATAGGACTATGAACTCCATGAATAAAATCAGCTGGTACTAAAAATGGTAACTGCTTATAAGTCAACCACCAGGTCAAAGATGGCTTACTCAAAAAATGTCACAAGAAAAAAAACATCAAATCAAAGTGACCAGCCTCACTGCCTAGCAACCAACCCACTCACTCATTCACACAGAAGGCAAAATTGAAAGGTAGCTGGGACGCCCATAGGAAGAAAACAGTTAGGATGATGCAGGGGAGACTGATACAAGGCTGTTATTCTAATCATCCCATAACAGAGACAGAGTCACAGCTAGGGAATTATTCAGGAATTAGGAAAAGTTATTTCTGGTAAACAAACTCCCACATACTGGGTTAAAATTTCTTTGGAACTTTATTTATCATGACCCTAGGAGCTCTAGTCATATATGCAAATGGATAAACAACAAAGCTATAAAAGCAGAGGGTTTTAATTTTGCTTTTATTTTTTAAATAATAGCAACAAGGAACTTTAGTAAGAATAACATAGTAAAACTAGACCTGTAAAAGTCATCAAAAGCAAACATGACAGGAATAGCATAAAGTAATTTGTGAAAGCTAGTATTATCAAAGCACTGACAGAAGAAAAAGAATGATGCTAAAAAATACAAAACACTTCTTTCAATACCATACCTTATCAATGGCTTTTCCAACCCGAGAAACACTGCTGTGGATGTCTTTGTGGTCGGAGGCCAATTTTTGAACAGTATCCTTTATTCTTTTACAGCACTGTGTCAAAACAAGTCAAAGTGTCCCTGATAATTCAGCATCTTGGCCTATAAAAAAACAAAGGAAGGATTGGTTACTCACTTAAGCAAACCCAAAGATGGCAAGTTTCTAATGGGCCTTTTGGACCATGAAAGATGGAAGAAAAGTGAAGAAAAACCAGTATCTGCTTTGAAGCTGATGGTCACATTCATAGATGTGATTTTTCAAATGGATACTCAGAAAGATATAATTTTTTTATTTTTTGGAAATAAGAAAATTTTACTGTGAAAGGAATCATTTTTATCATTACAACAACCAGCACAGGCTGTGAATAATACTGTCAAGGCAGTATTATTTTTGAGAAAATATGTCTAAGTGAATAAACTCACTTATTAAACCCAGTTACACTGTTCAAGTCATTCTCAAAACGTTCTGGTTGTTACTAAATTTCCTCAAGAGAGATGATTTAGTGCAAATGCTTCATATTCCATATAAAGAGGTAGAAGAAAACAAACTTCCCTGGGTACCACGATGTGCAGAAAGGAGTTAACACAGCAGGTCATAGACTACTACCCTTAGAAAGTCCTGCTTACAAAGTCACCTCTTGGCTGGCATATAGAAACCTGGGAGTTTGGGAGTGTTCCCATCACTCCCTAACTCAGTGTTCCCCAACCTTTTTGGCACTAGGGACCAGTTTCGTGGAAGACATTTCTTCCACGGACGAGGGCTGGGGGGAATGGTTTCAGGATGAAACTGTTCCACCTCAGATCAGGCGTTAGTTAGATTCTCCTAAGGAGCACGTGAGCCAGATCCCTCGAATGTGCAGTTCACAACAGGGTTCATGCCCCTATGAGAATCTAATGCTGCCGCTGATCTGACAGTGGGTGGAGCTCAGGCGGCAATGCTCGTTCACCGCTGCTTGCCTCCTGCTGTGCACGGCCTGGTTCCTAACAGGCCACAGAGGGGTACTGGTCCATACCCGGGGGTTTGGAGACCCCTGCCCTAGCTGAAAAGAATGGCTCATTGTGCCTAAACTGTTGTACAGTGTGATTTATGGTGAACATCTGCTTTCCTTCTGGGAATCTAGAATGTTGATACATGCTAGGCAGTGAGTACCTGGCTTTCTCCTGGCTTGGAGAAAGCTTCCAATAGTCCTCTCCCAGTGAAGTCACATGGAATATGCTTAATTCCTGCAGCCATGGTTTGTGAGAAGTGTTAAGTGTTGCCTACCAGGGAAGCTCATTAGAAGCTCAGTGCCCAGGGTTTTTATTGGGGGCTGGTCACCAGGGCACCCACTGCCTAACTCTGGACTGCCTAACTTTGGACTTTGGACTTCTGCCCCATGAGTCTTTTCCCTTTGGTGATTTTGCTTTACACCCTTTTGCTGTAATAAATTCTAGCTAAGAGTATGATTATATGCTGAATTGTGTGACTCCTTTTAATGAATCACTGGAACCTAAAGGTGGTTTTGAAGACCCCTGACACACATGAGATCAACCAAAAGTTACTACAGTTTACATCCTTTCCCTGAGCTACCTCCCTCCAAATTTTGTTCCTATAGCAGGAAAAAAAGGAGGAGAAGGGAGAAAAACAGACAGATAAAACAAACCCAGTTATGGTATTTGTCATTTCTCTCTCTATCTACGTATTCCCACCTGTAAGCAACAGGCCTGGTTTCTGAAATCCTAACCAACATTATATAGAAGAGCTTCTTGAATTTTAATTTACATCAGAATCACTTAAAGTTAAAACAAAGTAGCTGGACCCCATCCCCAGAGTTTCTCATTCAATAGGTCCGGGATGGAACCTGAGAATTTAAACAAGGAGCCCAAGAGTAAAACAGCCCTAGGATGCCTGCTCATTTAACCAATATTTATTGAGCACTCACTATATATGACAGGTACAGCAGTGAAACAAAATAACCAAAAATCCCTTCCCAACAACTTAACTTCTGGCAAGAGACGTAACACACAAAATAAGCAAATTATATACTACGACAAAAGATGATACATGCTACCTGGGAAAGAAAAGCAGGGTAAGAGAGATGGGGAGTGTGTGTGGGTGGAGCAGCCGCAACTTCAAAACAGTGCTGGCATGGTAGGCTTCACTGAGTAGATGACACTGGAGGCAAGACTTGAAAAAAGTGAAGGAATTACCATGTGGCTGGCTACTTTGGGGTAAGCATGCCAGGCTGCGGGGAGAAAAGCCCTACTGCAAAAATACACCTAGACTATTCAAACAACAAAGAGGTCAGCATGTCAAAAGTGGATTTCTGGCCAAGGAAAATAGAAGAAGAGGTCCAAGAGATAATGGTCCTGGTTTGGTAGGATCTCTTTGGCATTGTAAAGACTTATGCTTTTACTTTGACTGAAAGGGACCACTGCAAGGTTTTGAGCAGAGAAGGCATGTAAACTAATTAAAAAAAAAACCCACAAAAAACATTTTTTTTTTTGAGACAGGGTCTCGCTCTGTTGCCCACACTGGAGTGCAGTGGCACAATCTGGGCTCACTGCAACCTCTGCTTCCCGTGCTTAAGCAATCCTCCTACCTCAGCCTCCCAAGTAGCTTGGATGACAGGCGCCCACCACCACACCGGATAATTTTTGTATTTTTTGCAGAGACAGGGCTTCATTATGTTGCCCAGGCTGGTCTCAAACTTCTGTGCTGAAGCAATCCTCCTGCCTCGGCCTCCCAAAGTACTCGGATTACAGGCGTGAGCCACCATGCCTGGCCGATAAAACATTTCAATATGGTCAGTCTAACTGGCAACGGGAGTACCAGAACTGAGCAGGAAAATAAGAGGCTGTGGCAGCAATCCAGATGAGAAATGACACTGGCTCAGTCCAGGATTTCATGACTGGACATGAGTGAAGAAAAGGACTCACAGATGTCTCCAAGATTTCTAGCCTGGGTCAACTAGAAAGATGGAGTTGTCTTCAGTTAAAACAAAAACAATCTCAGCACTTCAGGAGGCCAAGGCAGGAGGATCACTTGAGCACAGGAGTTTGAAACCAACCTTGGGCAACAGAGTCAGACCCTGTCTCTACAAAACATACAAAAATTAGCTGGGCATGGTGGCACACGACTGTGGTCCCAGCTACTTGGGAAGCTGAGGTGCGAGGATCACTTCAGCCTGGGACGTCTCGGCTGCAGGGAGCTACAGCACTGCACTCCAGCCTGAGTGACAGAGCGAGACCTCAACTCCCCATCCTGCCAAAAAAGAATAAAGGCTAAGCAGGTATGAGGGGAGAGGAGAGAGAGAAAGTTCAGTTTGGGGCTTGTTAAGTTTGAGACATTGAGTAGGCACCGCAGTGCATAAGTGGAGGAGTTGGTGAGATATACAAACCTGGAGTTCAACAGCAGTGTTAGTGCTGGAGATACAAATTTGTGAGTCACTGACATTATATATATATATATATATATATATGATACTTAATGCATGGGACTATATGAAATCACCAGGGGAGTCAGTACAGACACAGAGAAGTGATAAAAGAACTGAGTCTTGAGAACTCCAAGTTTATGAGGCTGGGAAGAAATAGAACTGGAAAAGGAGGCTAACAAAGACTACTGAAGCACTAACTGTGATGGAGGAGGAAACTCAAGAAAAGTATAATGTTGGGGAAACCAAGAGAAGAAAATGTGTCAAGGAAGGAGGAGTAACCAGCTGTGTTGATGTGCTACTAGGTCAAGTAAGATGGGGACTGAGAATTGGCCACTGGATTTACAATGTGGAAGTAATCAGTGACGATGACAAGAATAGTGTCTCTAAAATTCTATGAAAAGAAATCCTAAAAGGTTACAGGGAACTGTGAAGAGGGACTATATTAAGTCTGGTTCAATGACAACTACTGAGATAAATGAAAAGATAAGAAAAAAGCTTTCCTTATCTCTAAATACAGTTGCACAAAGTTTCTATCAAGTGTTTCCAACTTCCAATAACACAATTAGGCTTCCAACTTCTAATAACATAATTTAGGCTAAGGCAAGACTTGGTACTTCAAGAAAATTTCAAAATCTGTTTAAAAGGTGTTCCACAGATTTCTTGGACCAAAAGCATCTAATTGCTTCAGCAGCTCTGTTCTGGCCATTTCTGATCTTTCTGTACCTAAAGCACACCTAACCTCAACAGCCTCATCTTCTCTATGAACCCATCTGACCACAGACTTACTCCCTCTTCTGAATTCCTGGTAACTTCTGATCTCTCCCCTACTCCCCCAGCACTTAATTATAACCCATTTTAACAATTTCATGTATATATACCGTCATCAGTCTCTACTAAACATAAGCCCCCAAGGGAAGACCAAGTCCTTATTATAAATTGTATACTCCAGTTTTATATTAATAGTGCCTGCAAATGTGCAAGACATATAAGTATCTGAATTGATGGTAAATAAAGTGAGGAAAAAATAGTTTTTGTTTTTGCTTTTGTTAGAGCCATATTCAACAAATGGTGCTGAGACAACAAGATATCCACATGCAAAAGAATCACATAATATATAAAAACTAATTCAAATGAGCCAAATGCAGTGGCTCAAGCCTGTAATACAAGCACTTTGGGAGCCCGAGGTGGGTGGATTGCTTGAGCCCAGGAGTTTGAGACTAACTTGGGCAACATGGCAGAACTCCATCCCTACAAAGAATACAAAAATTAGCAGGGTGTGGTGGTGCACGCCCACAGTCCAAGCTTCTAGGGAGGCTGAGGTGGGAGGACTGCTTGAGCCCAGAAGGTAGAGGCTGCAGTGAACCGTAAGCATGTCACTACACTCCAGCCTGGGCAACAGAGTGAGACCCTGTCTCAAAAAAATAAAATCAAAAATAAAAATTAACTCAAATGGAATAAAGACCTAAATGTAAGAGCTGAAACTATCAAATTCTTAAAAGAAAACAGATGCATTTCTGACCTTGAATTAGGCAATGGTTTTTCAGCTATGACACCACAAGCACAAGCAACCAAAGAAAAAATAATTAAAATGGACTTCATCAAAATTAAAAACTTGTGTTGCAAACACTATCAATAAAGTGAAAAGACAATTCATAGAAGGGGAGCAAATATTTGCAAATCACATTCTGATAAGGGTTTAGTATCCAGAATAATATAAAGAACTCTTAAAGCTCAACAATAACAAGACAAACAATGCAATTTAAAAATGGGCAAAGCACAAGGCACAGTTCACGCCTGTAATCCCAGCACTCTGGGAGGCCAAGGCAGGTGAACCACTTGAGCCCAGGAGTTTGAGACTAGCCTGGACAACAAGGCGAGACTCTGTCTCTACAAAAAAAATACAAAAATGTGGCTGGGCACAGTGGCTCATGCCAGTAGTCATAGCAACTAGGGAGGCCGAGGCAAGTGGATCCCTTGAGCCCAGGAGGCTGAGGCTGCAGTGAGCTATGATTGCGCCACTGCATTCCAGCCTGGATGAAAAACAAGACCCTAACTCAAAAAAAAAAGGTCAAGGATTTGAATAGACATTTTTCAAAAGAAGATATACAAATAGCCAACAGGCACACAAAAAGATGCTCAATATTATTGGTCATTATGAGATGAAAATCAAAACTACAATGAGATACTACTTCATGCCCACAAGATTGGCTATCAGGAAAACACAATAATAACTGTTGGAAAGGATGTGGAGAAATTCAAAGCCTTATCCATTGCTAGTGGAATATAAAATGGTGCAGACACCATAGAAAACAATTTGGCAGTTCCTCAGAACGTTAAACAGTTACTATATGACCCAGAAATTCCACTCCTAGTTATATCCTAGTTATATACCCAAAAGAACAACATGTCCACACAAAAACCTGAATCAGAATGTTCACAGTAGCATTATTCATAAGACAAAAACTGGTAAGAAACCAAACCTCCAAAGAATGAATGGATAAACAACGGATTATCCAGTCATTAAAGGAAATGAGGTACTGATACATACTATGACATAGATGAACCTTGAAAATATTACATTAAGTATTCAATAAGCCAGACACAAAAGGCCACATATTGTGTCATTTCATTTGCATGGAAGGTACAGAATAGACAAATCTATAGAGACAGACATAGATTAATGGTATTTGGAGTGGGAGGAGACAGGGTGGGAATGGAGAGTGACTGTTAATGAGTACTGGATTTCTTTCAGAAATAAAGAAAATGTTTTTAAAAAGAAGTCATACCTCCTATCCATCCAGACACATTTATTTCTACAACCAGCAGACAACAAGGTAGGAAAAACACAAAAAATAAAAAGGGTGCCAGGTACGATGGCTCACGCCTGTAATTCCAGCACTAAGGAAGGCCGAGGCAGGCGGATCACTTGAGGTCAGGAGTCTGAGACCAGCCTGGCCAATATGGTGAAATCCCATCTCTCCTAAAAATACAAAAATTAGCTGGGCGTGGTGGTGAGCACCTGCAATCCCAGCTACTAAGGAGGCTGAGGCAAGAGAATAGCTTGAACCCTGGAGGCAGAGGCTGCAGTAAGCCGAGATTGCGCCACTGCACTGCAGCCTCGGTGACAGAGCGAGACTCGGTCTCGAAAACAATAATAATAAAAATAAAAAAGGATGAAGCCAAGCTGGAGGAAAGAGGTCACCTAGAATTTACCACTGAACTTCCACGCACCAACCTTGAAATCCAATGATATTTTCAAATCGTAGTAACTTACATATCTGGAGTTTGGTGCTATTTGTTACCTCCTTTTCTTCCTTTACCATCTACAAATTCCTCTAATTTTTGGTTTTCAATTTTATGAATGACAGATACAAGCAGTTTATGGCCAATTAATTAATACTGAGAGTTCTCAGAATGCTCCAAGGAAAAATAATTTCTGTAAGGTATTTGGAAACTCAAGAAAAGCAGAATGGAATAATCTGAAAGAGAACCCTGGGAAAGCCCTGTTAAGAGAGAAAGAGTTCACTAATGCATTTTCAAATGGACTCAGTGGAAAGCAGCCAAAGGTTTAAAACAGGTTTGAAAATTGCTATAATGACCAGACTGACAGTCAACCAAACTTCTATAAGTCCTACTGGGAGAGTTCTAACGTTCTTTTGATTTCTCTGTATGAAAACACAACCTGCTTCTAGGAGAACCTTTATGTGAAAGAAACTGGATTCAGTTCCTAGAAGAAAAGCTGGGGAATTACTGTGACAGCCATCTCCACCATAACTACATCCAGGTTGGCCACTGCGGTGGTCACTTGTCACCCAGAAGAAAGTCCTGCACTAACTGTGTCTTCCAATGTAGTAAACCCAGGGAACCCAGGCCCAATGCATGAGCCTGAAAGAAACAACTCTGACGCAATGCTCACTCATCACTGGAGGGTCACAAGTACTTTTTAAAGTCAGTTTTATGATTAAACAAGTGTAAGAATTAGCATGTTCAATATAAGCAAAGAACGAACATATGTAGACCATCTACGTGTGTTGCTTTATTAAGTTAAAATTTTCAATAAAATAGAACAGCACCTTTTATCATATAAACAGATTTTAAGCACGACACTCAAAATTTTCAAGTTCTGCCCTTGAGCCTCACTGCTTTGCCATTTTAGGATGTATGCCCACTAGTTTCACAGAAACAATAAATAAGAAAAATGTTTGTTTCCATAGCATCCTATACTTCCCTATCAGAGTTTCACACTTTGTTGTAAATAGTTATTTGTCCATTACTCCCACAAAATTAACTTTAGTAGGAAATATGACCAATCCCCAACGTTTAGTATAGTAACTGGCAAATACTACACGTTCAGTAACTAGTTACCAAAAGAATAAATATGAAAATAATTAATTATGTATTACATAATCTCAATTTCAAACCCAGCATTGAAGACTGTCTGGTACTACCAACACCCTCTGAAATTGCCAGCAGTTTCACTCAGCAGTTCACTGACCCCTCACTCTCTCACAGAATGTTTAGCATCTGCTACACAGTAACACTGCAGCCTAAGTTCTGCAAATACCAAGTAAGTTAGGAAATAATACTGTTCCTGTCTGTCAATAACATTATTGCCTAAGTAGAAAATCCCAAAGAATCTACACACAAACACAATCCAAGAATAGATGAGAGTTCAACAAGGTCACAGTACCCAAGATCAACACAAACATACAAACACACATATGCACACATATTTTCAAATAAGACACATTCACAAAAGAGTCCCCTGGCATCAGTTATAAGTTCCTTCTCTCTTCCAAATAATGACCTCTCCCACCAACCCCAGGAATTAATGGGCTTGTGCTCTGACTCAAGTCACTTTTGAGACAGTTTCTTTTTTACAAAACTATTTCCACATTTGTCAAAGATGCAATGAAACATCTCTAATATATAATGTGACCCTATAAAAGTATATTCTAAGTCAGATATAGGAAGGTATAACAAACGTACACATTAAAAGGGTGACTGGTTTGCACAAAGCTAAAAACTATAAAATCCCTACTAATACCTTGGTTACACCTTCAATACACTTTTAGCATTTTGTACATACATTTGTTTTACTTTCTTCCCTACTGATCACAAGCCTCAAAAAAAAGCACGTCTCGTGTCCAGCTCCGTGACAAGATTTACCCACTATTTTGGCTCACCTTAATACAATCTAGACAAATATATCATTAATATTGACAAGTACGTTTCTCATCCCTACTCAGTATCTGCACTTTTAATTTTCTGTCTGCCACTTATTTTTATGATATGGGGGGAGGGGGTTCAACTCTGCACAAACACACTGTTAAAGATAGCATTGCTAAAACTAAACAGCTGGTTGGTAGGCAGCACACCATGTTGCAGCCTGAAATGTCTGCCATCAGGAGATAATAAAAAGTTCTAATTTGGTCTATAAAAGGCAGTTTAAAGGTGTCAATTACACCATGAAATACATGCTGCCCACGAGTCAAACACATGAGAGATGAGACCCACCATACTTGAGAGCACTCTATAAAAAAATAGGGAGGCACAATATAAAAAAGTATTGTTATGGTGATGATTTTCAAGAAGGTTGAAAGTATCACCACCTAAGACTGGAATATTTCCACAGAAATAAGATTCCGCAGAAATCACTAAGACCTGGCTTGACATTTTAATGAATATCCTATAGGCAGTAAAAATTTAAAATATCCAAGTTTATAAATATTACATGTATCGCATTTGAGCTCTTCTGAGTTATGAAAAGTTAACTCCACTTTCATAAGATGGACAGAGATCTTAAATTTAGAATTAAGTGGAAAGCAAAATGGAACACAAGTTTTGATGCAGATAAATACAAAGAAATCCATTTAGGAAACAAACCTAACTGTACCTAAATGAAAACTCAGACCTCATAGAGATATACTCCAGAATTCATTCTAGATTAGCTATTTAAATAAAAACACTAAAATCAGAAAGCTAAAAGAGTATTAGGCATCACTAAGAAGGCTGGTGGGGGGGGAAATCTATGATATACCACTCTTATAAAAGCCTTGATGCCTTAAAATACAAAATGAAACCAAGAAAAAACAGAAAAAAATGTAAAAGGGAGAACTATGACATTTAGAGTCAATTAACATTTATTGAGTGCTGAAGGCCTGTGTCAGCAATGTTCAAGATACTTTTCCCATGTTACCAATTTCTACACAGATTTAAGAAATTTAGAATGGGAATAAAGTAGATAAAGGATAAAAAGATCTAAGACTGACTCTAGAAAAGTCACTGACAAGGTGACCATGGATATCCTTGCGAAGTACTAGAATAGAAAAACTTGAAACTTGAAAAGGTAAGGTTGGAATTTTTTAAAAATAAGGGACTATTTCATTTTGTCTGTAGTAAAATAAACTGCGGCCCATTGAAATTTGGGATTCTTGTGAGCTACTTCAGCACCTAGGACACAGCGGCTGCTTAGAGGAAAGAGAAAAGGCACAAATAGAACACATTCATTTTTTTCTGGAGGAGGTAAACACTGAAAACAAAATTTTTCCAGTATATTAGTAGCTGGTAAATCTGCAAAGTAAAAGAAAGTATGGTATTTGGTGTTCAACTCCTGACCTTTCAGAGAACAGTAGACTGACAGACACGTGTTCTGATCCAGAGAGATTATTAAAGACTGTGCATCAAATTAGAGGCACAGTGTGCTGCAAACCAAACATGAGGGGAAAAAAACGAAATAAAGTTAATATTTAGAGTGAAATTACATGGTACAGACTAATAGTGCTCCTGGAGCAAAGAACAGTATCAATGACTATCATAGAGAAGACAGGAAAGGCTTCAAAGTATATGAGGCAAGAATTGCAGAGAGAAGAAAAAAGATACAGGCACAAGATTTTAAACATATGTCTGTGACAGTCACATTTTAGAGAACCTATTCACTCCCTTCAAATTCCAAATATAAAGACTTAATCTCTAGGCATCTCATTTATCTCTGAAATGAATGGTGGAACCACATTAGGTTTCCTGTAGCATTGGAATCTGGATTTCATATTTAAAAATCAAACTCAGGCCAGGTGCAGTGGCTCACGCCTATAATCCCAGCACTCTGGGAGGCCGAGGTGGGTGGATCATTTGAGTTCAGGAGTTCAAGACCAGCCTGGCCAACATGGTGAAACCCCATCTCTACTAAAACTACAAAAATTAGCCAGGCGGTAGTGGCGCATGCCTGTAATCCCAGCTATTCAGGAGGCTGAGGCAGAAGAAACACTTGAACCCAGGAGGCAGAGATTGTGGTAAGCCGAGACACTGCAATCCAGTCTGGGCAACAGAATGAGACCCCCCCTCCCCCACCCCCCAAAAAAACAAAAACAAAAACAAAAAAAAATCAAACTCAGATTTCCACCTTCCCCTCTCCTAAACTTCCTATTTTCTACCTGGTTCCATAATGATCTACCCATCATTCATGTTTAAAACCTTGGATTAACCTTTGGTTTTTCCTGCCCTTTTCTCCTACTCTGCCAGACTCCATCTGTGCACCAACTCCTGGTCATTCCTTCCCTCAGAAATCCCTTTCATGTGTCCCTTTAAATTTCTACCACCAGTACCCAAAGACAGGTCCCTATTTCATCAAATCTAGGTTGACACTTAGCCTTAGCTAACCTTCTTGCCTCTAGTCAAACCTCACTCCCAACTCCAAACCAACCTAAATACTGCTGACAACTGGTCTCTGATCGTGTCCCTGTCCCCTCCCTATTCAAAATGTCCCCACCCCACCCCAAAGTAATTCAATATCTTCCCAGTCTACTACTTTCCCTGGTATCCATGGCTTTACAAAACCTGATTCCAATTTAATTTTAATGCTCTTATCGCCTTTCCCCTGCAATCTGGTCCTTCACCTCTCACTCCTCTACACCTTTGTTCTTGCCATCCTCCCCTCCAGGCACTCCATATAGCTCTTTCTGCTATCCATATTCAATTTCTGCTACTAAAACTTCCCATAGGTAAAAAGAGTCTCTCCTTGTCTCAAATCCTACCCCTTTTTGTCCACACCACTCATGTAGCATCTAGCCTAGATACATAACCGTGCATTACAGGGCACTGCTTTTGTTTGTGTGTTTGTTAAAAAATGCCAGTCTCATCTCCCTAACTGGACACAAAGTTCTTAGAGGATGAAAATGCTTGTTCTTTGTAACTCCTAGAAGATTTTGCTTAGTTCTACCTATAAATGGTGATTAATAACTACTGATGAGGTGATCTAAAGTTCAGTTGAAATAATGCCCATCTACTCCCATGCAGTTCTTTCTAAGGGCTCTCTCTCTTCACTGGTGTCTGTACTAACCAGAAGCACTGTTACACACTGTGTGCCATGGTCTTGTTTTTTCCCCCTTTCAAATATGAGTCTGGTCTCTCCAACTAACTTCTAAGTTCCTTAAAGACTCTTATACCTTTTAAGCATTCTTTACAATGTTAAGCAGACCACTGGACACAGAGTGGTATTTAACATAAACCAGTAATAAAGACACCTAAATATTACCCAAAATGTCTCAATTAAACAGTGCTTGGGCCCGGCGTGGTGGCTCACGCCTATAATCCCAGCACTTTGGGAGGCCAAGGCAGGCAGATTACGAGGTCAAGAGATCGAGACCATCCTGGCCAACATGGTAAAATCTCGTCTCTACTACAAAAAAAAAAAAAAAAAAAGTCAGGCCTGGTGGCATGCGCCTGTAATCGCAGCTACTCGGGGGGCTGAGGCAGGGGAATCGCTTGAACTTGGGAGGCAGAGGTTGCAGTGAGCCAAGATCATGCCACTGCACTCCAGCCTGGGTGACAGAGCGAGACTCAGCCTCAAAAAAAAAAAAGCTTAACACCACTTAAGGCACAGACTTTATAAATAACACGTCTACCCTGTTTTACAAATTTCAAAGCCAGTTCACGTCTATTATTTATTTCACTCTCATAACTCTGTGATGTCAGTTTACTGAAGGAAAAACTGGCTAAGCAAGATTGTAGGATCAGGCCGGGCGTGGTGGCTCATGCCTGTAATCCCAGCACTTTGGGAGGCTGAGACGGGTGGATTACTTGAGCCCAGGAGTTCAAGATCCCCCTAGCCAACATAGTGAAACTCCGTCACTACTAAAAATACAAAAATTAGCCATGCATTGTGCACACCTGTAATCCCAGTTACTTGGGAGCACAAGAATCGCTTGAACCCTGGAGGCAGAGGTTGCAGTGAGCTGAGATCACACACCACTGCACTCCAGCCTAGGTGACAGAGTGAGACTCTGTCTCCAAAAAAAAAAAAGATTGTAGAACCAGTAAATTGGCAGTGCAAGGATTCAAACCCAGACCTCCTGGGCCCAGGGTCAAAATTTTAGGTACTATTCCACAAATACAGATTCAACTTCTCAATTAGCCTCCAAGTTCCTGGAGGACCAGGGCCATGAATAATTTCTTTTAAAAGATTCTCTCCTCAACTCCTCCCAAATGTCTTCATGTATCAATAAGATGAATTAAACCTATATGAATTCTGCAGATACAACAAACTCATCATAAATAACACACAGCCTGACACTACATTGTGCCCCCATAACAGACGAAATCACCATCCAGGCCTCCATCTTAAGTGGAGAAAGACTTGGTAATATAAGCCTATGGCCTCTCCAAGCGACATTCCCAAACAACCATTTTGAGCTCAGCCACACAATCACCACACCCATATAAGGTGAAAGCATACTGTATTTCTCAAAATCCTCGAGTCCTGCCAGACAGTCTAGTCTTTGTTCTCTGAAGGGTTGAGTTAACATCTAATCTAAAGAGAATGGCCAGAAGTGTCTGCTACTCTCAGAGCTTTCAAGGAAACGTCCAGTTAGAGAGCATCATCTCCTGGAAGTACCACGGGTCTCCAAGTACACATAGCTCAGAGCCAGGGCCCTCCATAATTTTCTCCCTAAACTGCATTTTTGGATCATTTTTAAAGACTTTGGAAGCCTTACAGATGAAGAAGCAGGGCCCTAAATAAAAATAAGTTAGTTTTAATATTCCAAGTGAACAGTTTGCTAAAACACCATTTTCATCATCCTAAAGACTAAGAGACTAAGACATGAAAACAACAGAAACTTCTCTATTAGCTCTAGTATGACAGTATCACAGAAGTGTTGGCAAGTTTCTCCTTACCAATGTTATTATCCAGAGTTAGAAACTACTTTAGAAATAAAATAACTTTAGGAAAATTACTTTACTATGTCAAGCATTAAAGTAATTTCAAAAAAGTTCTAGAGGAACATGAACCAAGTTGTATTCTCTAGTCTATAGATTAAGTCATACTAACAACTCACTACTTGAATTATATGAGCATTATAGTTAGGAGGCCAGGCAAAAGCTGAGAAGGCGAGGCTAGTCAGGAAAACATCTCAGAGAATGTTACTGATATAACATGTAGCTGTTGCACTGTAATAGACATATATTACTCTGTCTGGGTTTAAGTGTTCCTTTCTAGAACTGTCTCTTTACCTGATGAACAGTGTATTATAAGGCCATATACCTCCTGAGGGGGTGAGCACAGCTCAAGGTGGCCAGAAGACCTCACTCCCTGGTCCCAGTTACTGATTCAGGGAAAGGATCCATAACGGAATAATAAAGGTACTCCCTGGAGTATCTCCAACAAAATGGCCATGTTCCTGTCTTTTGAGCTCCATTGGTCATCTCTACCCCATGTGAAGAAAACTACCCTGAAAATGAAGCCAACAGTTGACAGAAGAGAACAAGATCAGTCCTGATGACATGCCTGGTGCCCCTGGAGCCAGCCTAGCCCTAACCTCAGCCTATTTATACATCAACAAATTCCATTTTAATGAAAACTATTATGTCACCTGCCAGTCTAAATGAATATGGTGCCAAATAAAAAAGAATTAATTATCTCCAGAGTACGTCTGGAAAAAGAATGGCTAACAAAGTTAAATCTACTTCTAAACCCAACTGGAAACACCAATATACTGACTTTTTATTCTTACCACCTAAAATGGCCTAAATAACTTGAGAACCAGTCCGTTCTTCTCTTAGAATGTTTGAACAATGTCCACCCAAACTTTTATTTATGACCTACTGATATACTATTTTCCAGACTAGATGTTAAAAACAGATATCAAATTGTATTCAAAACAAAGTCACTATTCTCTCAAGAGTGTCTTGTTAGTATTTAGCAAAAGTCTGGGTAACAAATGGGCAACCTGGCTATGAGGCCTACTCCATGCACACCAAAGAATAAGGCTAAAAAGGTAAACAAGCTACAAGTCTACCAAGCCCCGATATAATACATTTACTTTCATTCAAAACAATATATTCAACACTGGTCGGCTCTGAAAAAGCACAGATCATTCATATATACAAATAAGCATACTTTTCAACACATGTGTTTAATATACACAACCCAAATTCTAGATTGGAAGATTATACCTAACATGCGACCCTCAACCTCTGGTTTCTGTGTACTGATGCAATATCATACCACAGCAATGAGTTAAAAACGTGACCTCCACAAGTTTCTTTTTTTGTTTTTCATGTTTTACTTGCCTACTTACCTTCTCATTTGTTACCTTCACATTTTTAAAAAGACAGCAGTTCTCCAACTGGTAACCAAAGTTTCAACAGTTTCTTTGATTCACCGAAGAGATAAGGGTAGGAGTTATGGTTTACATGAGTTTTACTACTAGAAGTCACAACATACACACACACCAAAGGAGTTTTAGGTGCTAATACAGTATATGTTGATCACTCCCACAGATGAAGACATCTTTACCAACTTGCAAAGTGAGATAACACTAAGCCTTAATCATAGTAAATGGAAATACATATCCGATGCGTTAAAGAAAAAAGGAAAAGTGACAAATCGTCATTTCACTGGATTCTTTTAAAATTTTTTCTGGAGGTCGGGCGCAGTGGCTCACGCCTGTAATCCCTGCAGTTTGGGAGGCCGAGGCGTGTGGACTGCTTGAGGTCAGGTGTTCAAGACCAGCCTGACCCACATGTTGAAACCCCGTCTCTACTAAAAATACAAAAATTAGCCAGGCGTGGTGGCAGGTGGTGCCTGTAATCCCAGCTACTCAGGAGGCTGAGGCAGGAGAATTGCCTGAAGCCAGGAGGCGGAGGTTGCAGTGAGCTAAGATCGCACCACTGCACTCCAGCCTGGGTGACAGAGGGAGGCTGTCTCAAAAAACAACAAAAAAATTTTTTTTCTGGAGACTGGCATTTATGTCTGTGAAGTGGGCAACCAGGTGGTCCAGGAACAAGAGTAGAAAGATTTTTCAATGGGTGTCTTTTTTATCATTTGAGTTTATACCATTTGAATGTACTATTCACTGGGTTATCTTTTTCATTGTTTGAATGGATACCATTTGAATGTATGACTTACTAAAAATTAATAAATAAATTTTAAATTTAGAAAATTCCTTGAAAGTCACTTTCAGAAACCACATTAGAACTCCGTTAGTCTAAAAATAATCAGAAAAGAATACTGCATGTCCTTTACTCTTACAAAAACTGCAATTTTCCCAAGTATACTTTTAAATGTGTCCTGAAACCATTACCAACTGTTTCTGCCTAATTTTCTTTCACAAAGTATGAGTGCAGAATACCAGCAAAACATGATAAATAGTTCTTTTCTGTTTTTCCCTTCCACCACAGAGGTGCTAATGGGAAACAATATAAATTTGCCAATAGGAAAAAAATGCTAAAAGGCATATACTCACAAATCAAATCACTAAAAGTTAACCATACAGTAGTTAACCCTGTTAAGCCAGGGTTATCCAAAGCACCGCTCCCATACCACTGATGCGAATGGTAATTTTAGCTAGTATGTAAACTAATATTTTAATTGTTATGAATTTATTTTAACATGTAGTTTATTATACCTAATACCTACATACCACATGTAGGACTACACAAATATCACTGCCTAAGATAAATCTACTTAAGTAAAATCGTGAATCCATCTGAAAAATAAGAGTGCACATGTGTATGAGTGAAGTTTTAGAAGCACCAGTGCACTATACAAATTAGATCGAGGCACACTGGGAATGACCACCAGCCTACATTAACCACAATGAACTTAGACCAAACTTCGTGCTCACAGGGAAACTCTCACTGAAAGGCTGGCACAACTAAATGACAGAAGCTGTGATCTCTATTCCTCTTACCTTGGACACCTCACTGCAGGCTCTGGATCACTCCCCACCCTCCTATCTACCACCCTAAGGTTTCTAATTCCAAAGGCATGAAGAGAAGTCTAGAGTCAGTCTCCAGGGAGAGGAATGTCTTGGCCTCGGCAGAGCTCTTCAGTATTCTCCCTGGTTCTTATTGCCTCTTCATATTTCTATTACACCTATGTTGTCCCTGAACCACCAATATTCCCTAACTGTCTATGGCACCAAGTCGAAGCCTGCACTTCCCTCTCAGAGCCTTATATTCCATTATTGTTCTCTGCTGCAGGCCTGATACCAGTCCAACCCCATTTAAAAGAAAAAAAAAAAGATATTCCTGTTGTCAGGCTGATGGATTTGGCCAGAGGTGGATTAAATGGCAGAGCACAAACCAATTCACCAGGTATGAGAGACCAGCCCATACTATCCTCATTTCCCCAAGTGTATCTGCATTAACAAACTTGCATTTTAAAAAAGATTAACGAGAGAAATTTTATGTAAAAGAATTTCAAGCTACTTAAAGGTGATTTAGACCACCTGAGAAATTTTAGGGCTCACTGCAGGACTATCTCCCAGCCAGCAATCAGGCAGTATTTACAATCTGGAATAAGGGTGCTGAGACTAGAAAAGGGTTGTCAATGGGCTTACTAACTAAACTCTTATTTATGTATGATCAGTTTCCATCACAAACTATCCTAACAGCTCATTTAGTATATAGCTGTCTGCTCACAACTTCAGAGATGAAAAAAAAATTTTAACATAAAACATTCATCCTCAGAAACTGAACCAATCCCTTTAGGTTGGCTAAAGGATGCTTCTGCAACAGTCATTCACCAGTATGATGCAATGATGTGTTCTATATAGTCCTCAAAAATTCTGTTTTATTCATACCAGATTCTTGCAAGTATTACCACAAGTAATCTCAGAGAATGAGGTCCAAAGTCCTGACAGAGGGGTCCCAATTAGAGCCTCTCAGGTTATCAGAATCATTTGCCCAGACAGGTATATTCAGAAGCCCAAAAATCTTCCCTTTAAACTTGAAAATAGAGTTCCAAACTCAGTTTTCAGTAAAATACCTTTGAGAAGGGCATATTTAAGTTTCAATGTAATATCTACCACATCACCTGCCGAGAACTTTAATTTAGAAATCATCTGTTTTCAAAAATACCATAGCCCAGATGCCAAAGCATGATGTTTACCTTTACACAAAAAAACACCAAAAGAAGAAAGATTTTATTTGGGAAACTAGACCTGGCACTTGTGGTATTTATTTTCTTTCATGTTTTATAACTACCTTTAGTCACTTAATCCTATTATTGAAGAATTAAAGGAAATCAAAGAGATACCAATATAAGACTAGCAATTTGGTAGACAAGAGGGAAAAAATTAGGAGGCTGAAAAAGGAACACACAAACTCACCAACTCAGACTGTTTTTAACAGCATAGCATACTGTGTGGCCAATACCCCTCAAACCATAAATTCTGAGAAAAGTTCCCTAGTACCCAGTGGAGAGTCAAAAACAAATTCCTGCCTCAGCAATTTCTCACCATCATTTTATCCATCTGAGCCTGGCCCTAAATTTTCTAAAACAAAGCTCACAATCACATCCCCCTTCAACTTACATCCTCTCTCATGGAAGAAAGGTACTTTCTGTTCCATCATTTTCCTCTCAAACTCTGCCTATGACCTGGTCCCTAAAAACGAAATGTTCCTTCCACCTCTCCAAGTCTAGGCCCTTCATTCTCTTCCTCCACTGGTTCCTTGGCAGGGCCGGGAGCACAGAGGGAATACCTCCCACCGCTGTACTGGATTTCCCACACCGCGGTTCACATCGAATTTTTCTTCTTAACCCCCAGTAATCTGGCTTGTCTTAGCAATTCTATGAAACTGCAAGCACAGAGGGTTACTGACTCCCAATAGCCAAATAAAAGCTGACCAATCTCTCCTTTTCTAAGTCCTCGCCCTTTTCGATTTCTGCTGGCTCTATCTAGCCTTGGCTCTCCACTCGCCAAGGAAAATTCAAGACTGTGGTTAGACTCTAGTCTTTCTTCTGTGCAATCTAAGTGATCCCCTCCACTGTCCTCCTAGAAATGACATCAGAAAACAATCTTAGACCTATGCATCTCCAGCCACCAGTAAATAGGAAAGCCCTCGATTCTATCTTCATTAAGCCCTTCAACCTTACTTCACATGTCCAAAACCAAATTCAAAGTCTTCCCAGGATTCCTGTCCCATTCCACCTTCACTTCCCTGTATCTACCAACTATATCATCATCGCCACGTCAGTCAAATTTCCCTTCACAGGCAGCCACCAAGGTCTGCTCGTTTTTCCATACTAGTATTGCAACTCCTATGAGAATTAATACGGTTTTTCCATATTAAAATCTCATCCACTATGACTGCAGGTTTGCTTCCTTCCTGGAGTTCAAAAATGACTGCAGTGTCCAGAATGAGAAGCTGCTGTAAGACTCCTTTCCCATGGACCAGCACCCATCCTCAACTGAAACGCAGTCTGGGAAAGTGTGAAAAAATGAAGGAGAAGGAGAGAGACACTCAGCTAACGCCACTGCCCTCATCTCACCTGCCACAAATAATCTGCATCTTCCCCCAGCTACCAAACCGTCCTTCACATAAATTTCTGTTCAGCCCACAAGCTGAAAAGCCTCCTCAGCCTCTTATTAAAGACCCACTAAATAAGTCCTTTACTTCTTGATCAAAAGGAATCATCGCTGTGACTTCTAAACTGTAAGAAAACCAAACCTTTAAAAGTACCTGTCCTCAGGGCTTGGGGCAGTAAAAAAAAAAAACAATCTAGGTGAAACGTCTTCTATAGGAAAATTTATTTTTTTTGAACGAACTTAACCAGGCAAAGCAAGTAACTAGCAACATGTGCACCATTTACTTGGGCAAATGTCGCCCGTTCCTCCTCGGTGTCATCAAAAGGTACACTGGGAGAACAGAAGGGTTGAATTGAGCTGGTTTCCAAGGAACCATGTCAGAGCCGCTGCGGAGTTAAGAGCTGCGTCCACACAGCAGCCAAATCATGAAGTTGCAGGAGCGGCTGTTGTTAACCCACAGCTAAGAATAACGCTCGACTTTCCAAAATAAAACGAAGAAACGAAGTCCCCTGGCCAATGATTCGGGGCGGCACAGAGGGGAAACGGAGCTTCCTGCACTGCCCTCATCACTCAGAACCTGGGGTCCCAGGCGATTCAGTCACCGCCCGCAGAACAGCGCCGCGGGCACCACGTGAAACTCCCGGGGCCGGCTGGGGGCGGGGGACGAGGGGCGCCCACTCGGGGGTCGGCAGTTTGCAGGTGCGATGGGCGGCCCCCTCACCCACGTTTATCCGGACTGGAGCCCGCCGCTCCCGGCCGGGTTTCCGGGTGGTTCGCGCTCCTTCTGAATTGGCAGCGAGGTCGCGGCAGGTTCGAGGTAAATCGGACGAAGAGGGGAAAAAGTCTCAGGGGTCTGGGGGCCTCCGCGCCTCAGGGGAGGCAAGGGCCGGGCCAGAGGCGCGAGGGTGGGTGAGGGATTCCCGCCGCGGGGCCGGGACCGGGGCTCGGGCAGTGGGCCCTGCCCCGCGCGCCCACGCGGGCCGCCCTACCGTGGCTCTGCAGGATCTCGTGCTTGAGACCGCCGGTGTAGTCGATGAGCTCCTCCAGGCCGCGCTCGCACAGCTGCCCGTAGCCCGAGAACTTGTGCAGCACCTTCTCCAGCTCGCGCTCCACCGTCACGCACTGATCCATGCCGGAGGCGGCGGCGCTCGGCTCCTCGGCGCCCAGGTGTCCGCAGCCGTTCGGCCCGGGCCCCGCCGAGGCCGCGTCCTGCTCCTCGTTCCCCAAGCGGGCGGCGCGGGAGGCTGAGGCGGCCGAGGCGGCGGGCGCACTAGCCGCGGCGCCGGGGGAGCCCCGCGCAGCCGGAGCCCGCCTGCCCCATGGCGCCCTAGCCCCCTGGCGAGTCGCCGCTGCTCCCGTTCGCTCGCTGCACTCGGCCCCGCGTCCCCAGGCCCCGCTCGCGACGTTCGGGTGCCTGCGACGGCGCGGCCGATTGTTTTTGTTTTCACGGGAACCGACCGATGACCTGGTTCTCCCGGGCGGCACCAAGTGCCGCCGACTGGGGGGAGGGGGATGGCCACCCGGGCGAGGAAAGGAGGCGGAGCGGGCCGTACCAAGTACACCCTCGGGGTGGGGGGTGCGACCCGGCGAGAACGGGCGGAGGAACGCGACGGGCGCCCACACGCGCCGCCACTCTAATGGTGTGCGCCGTACCACACGGAAGGCGTGCGAGGGAGAGGGCGAGGGTGGAGCGAGGCCCCAATTGGCCTGAGGAGCTAAATAGGGAACTTTGGAGACAGCCCCAGCGCTCGGAGAGCGCAACAACTACGCGCTCCATAAACAAGGAGGCGGAAACCGGCCCTCACCACTCCGCCCAGAAGCGGGGAATCCCAACCAATGGGCGCGGGGAGTGGTAAGAAGCCAATCCCTGGCCGAGGCGTAAGCCTTCAGCCAATCCGGGCTGAGGGGCCAAACCAACGGGCTCGCTGTTGGAGGGGGTGACTTGGAGAGCGTACCGAGAAACGAGTAGTTTATGGAAAGCCTTGGGGGAAAACTAGACAAAAATACAAAGGGCTGTTTTCCATAGGACGTAGCCCTGATCCCAATTTATTTCGTCTCCTCATCGATCTTAAGGGAAAGGGGTACCGTCATTCCGAACTTTTGGGCGACGGATCCATCTCCCGGGATGAAAAACCAAGCCAGGCCGCCCGGGGGCTGGTTCTGCGTCGGCGGGGGGTCCCTAATGGGAATTAAAGGCGGGGGTGATTGGGCCCGGGTGAGGGGAGCCGCTTGCTGCTCGCGAAAGGCCCGCGCCGGCTGTCAGCGCTGCCCCGGGCTTGCGACACCCAGGAGGTCATGTCCCCATCCCCCGCGGACCGTGGCCCTTTGGCCCCTTGGCCTGGAACCTCTCCTGACGGTGGCCTCGCCCCAGAGCCATGTGCCGGGCAGCTTAGCCGGGTGGAAAGAACACGCGCTGGAGAGCCGGGCAGCCTGGCCCTTGCTCCCTAGGAAGCCTTATGCTATCGGATCGGATCGGCTTTACCCCCTCGGGTAAATCCTTCCCATCGCTTGCTATGGCGTCTGCAGCCTTGGCCTAGACCTCCTTGATCAGCATCGGCTGCACTACCTTTGCATTTCTTCAGGAGCCCAGCTAGTTCGTGCCTCAGGGCCTCTGCACTTGCCCTTTCCTTGGCCCAGAAAACTCTTCCTCCTACCTTTTTCATCCTGAAGTTCTTCTCAGCTCACTTGTCCCCTTACAGAGTCCTCCCCTGGCTGACCACACTAATGTACTTCCTCCCCACCGTTAATACCATAACACATTTTATTATTTCCACACCACTTAAACTCTGAAATGATCTGATGTTTTATTTTTCTGTCTGCACCACTTACATAAAACCATGACGGCAGGCCCCCTGCTTGTCTAAATTTTTTGCCTAGAACAGCCCCTGGCATGAGGTGGTAGGCAATTCTTTTTCTTAAATTAACGTGATAACGTTTTTGAGCCTTAACTTCCGTATAACTGAGAAATAATTGGAATTAATACTTAACTAAATTGTTAGATAAAGGAGAATATATGTAAATACCCATAATAGGCTCATGATAACCACATGATAAAGGTGGTAGTAGTCATTATTAGGGCAGCCCCAACTGGTATTATTTCAGATCTCCCTTCTCCCCACCCCATTTTTCTTCCCTCTTGGCAGATGTCTCTGATTCTTCACTGAGATTAAAAAAAAAAAAAAAAATCTAGCTCCAGCAACTTCTATCACTCTTTTCCAAGTATTGCTGTGTACCACCCATTTTGTGAACATTCTCATGTACCCAAAGGACCAGGAGTCCCTTCTCCCTTTCCAAGACAGCCGTTGGGGCCTGCGGGCTGCCTCTCACCCCTGTCCAGATCTTCCCCCTCTTTCTCTGCAGTAGGTTCTTCCTTTCTACTTTCAGCCCAAATGGGTTTGACCTACCTGGGGGAGGAAACTTAATTTAACCCTCCTCAAGCACTCATTTCTTTCACTGCCAAACTGCCTAGACAAATCTATGTTTATTCCTCCCTTTTCTTCAAGGATCTCCTTGATAAGCTCAGTCACCCTTTTCTCAGTCTTTTTTTTTCTTCTCCTTCAAAGGGTTGTTATAGTATGAAATATTCCATTTAAGGCACTCAACAAAATGCCTGGCACAAGGTAAGAGCCATGATAATCCACTGATCACAAATAATCAATGACTCCTCATTACCTACAGCTTCAGATCCTCTCTCAAGGACATGGTCTGCCCTGTGTAGCAACACAGCACAAACCCCTATCCAGGCATGAAGCACTTTCTCACCCTCAGTGTGACTTGAGTACAGCCCATTCATACTTTGCCTTCTTCTGGGACACTTTTCTTTATTCTGTTTTTCGAATCCTCCCTTTCTTCAAGTAACACGACAAGTCTTACTTTAACTAGTGACACCTTCTAGAACCTAGGCCTGCACTCTTCAATACCATAATCACCAGCCACAAGCAGGTTTTTTTTTTGTTTGTGTTTTTTTTTTTTTGAGATGGAGTCTTACTCTGTCACCAAGGCTGGAGTGCAGTGGTGGGATCTCGGCTGACTGCAACCTCTGCCTCCCGGGTTCAAGTGATTCTCCTACCTCAGCCTCCTGAGCAGCTAGGACTACAGGCACACACCACCACGCCCAGCTAATTTTTGTATTTTTGGTAGAGACAGGGTTTCACCATATTGGCCTGGCTGGTCTCAAACTCCTGGCCTCGTGATCCACCCGCCTCAGCCTCCCAAAGTGCTGGGATTATAGGCGTGAGCCACCGCACCCGACCCACGTGTAGCTATTTAAATTGAAATATAAGCTAGATAATTTAAAATTTAGTTCCCCAATTGTGCTAACCACATATCAAATAATAACCACATGTAGCTGGTGGCTACTGTATTAATCAGCGCAAAATAAATATTTCCATCACTGTAGAAAAGTTTTGTTGGACAGTGCTGATCTAGACCATGACCACAGTAAAGTTACCAGCCCTACCTTTAACTGCTGTAAGACCTCTGTGTAAGTCATTTCATGCCTTAGTGCATACTGCCCCCATATTTTTAGTTAACTTTTCCAACATGTGCCTTTTTGACTCAACTAGACTATCAGTTTTCAGATCTGGGCTGACTTCTTTTTATCTCCCATGATTTAATCAGCATGAAAAAAAGTGTTTGTTAAAGGAAAAAGAATACGCAGATTAGAGGAGAAGAGGCTTCAGAGTTAGCTGGGAGAGAAAAATAGTACTTGTAAGGGCAGAGATTTATGTTGCTTCTTCACTTTGTATTGGCCCTTTCTACACAGTGCCTAATTGCCTTAAGCCTAAACTGTGAATTGTCAAAGAAGCACCTCTAGAAACAACAGGGAAAGAAATTTAGTTTTCAGAGCAACTGCAAATTAGTTTGTTTTTTTTTGTTTTTTTTTTGAGCCAGCCTCTCGATCTGTCGCCCAGGCTGGAGTGCAGTGGCGCGATCTCGGCTCACTGCAAGCTCCGCCTCCTGGGTTCACGCCATTCTCCTGCCTCAGCCTCCCGAGTAGCTGGGACTACAGGCGCCCGCCACCACACCCAGCTAATTTTTTTTTGTATTTTTACTAGAGACGGGGTTTCACTGTGTTAGCCAGGATGATCTCGATCTCCTGACCCCGTGATCCACGCGCCTCGGCCTCCCAAAGTGCTGGGATTACAGGCGTGAGCCACCGCGCGCCGCGCAAATTAGTTTTCTATAATTGCATTTTCACCACACAATAAGGAAGAACACACACACACACACACACACACAAAATCCCACTTTAGTATCAAGTGGACTCCTGCCCCCACATGCTGTTCAGCCTGGAGAAGCTTTAATTGATACTCATTCTGGACTTTGCTCTTGTCTTCCCCTCCACTCCAGATTTGACTCTGTAAAATGTAAGTAAACATCAAAAAAAGACGGGAAAAAGAAAACCTTTTGTCTTTCAGCCAAAATACATATTTATTGTAGGAAAATTAGAAAATACAAACAAGTAAACAGAAATAAAAGTCCCATGAAAGCCCAAGACCCAGAAAAAGAAAATCAGTTTTAACATTCGGGGTGAATTTCCACAGATTTTTTTCTTTTTTGTGCATACACATAAACTCATATGCACATTTTTATGAAAGAACGCTCTCATTGTATTTACTATTTTGTAAACAGCTTTTGTTGTCCTCTTAACATTCCTCCAACAACAAAAACAGTTTTTAGAACTGCTTTTGACATCTTTTTAAAATGCTTAATAGCTGTTACACTAGCTTATAGCTTATTCAACATATCTCATACATATTTTCACTTTGAATTATTCTTAGAAGACTGAAACCAGAGAGAGACAAGATAGAAAAAGGAAAAATTTCATCTCTTAAATTTGAGAAATTATATTTTTAAAAACCTTCTGCTTTTATGCAAAACACACTTTCAGATAAGGGTAAGAAGGACTACATTTATAATTCTGTTAATAAAAATGAATCAGCGAGGTTGGCAAAGAACTAACTAATTTCCTGACTACTCTAGCTCACAACTAATATAAAAGTAAAAGTAAACTGACAAAATGTGTTATTAAAAGAAATTCTGAATTGCAAAAAATAGCATTTCTTCTCATTTAAACAAATCAATTTTTATCTTGTTTTGTTTTGTTTTGTGTTTTAAGAGTTAGTGTCTCGCTGTGTCACCCAGGCCAGACTGCAGTGGTGCAATTATGGCTCACTGTAGTCTCAAACTCCTGGGCTCAAGCGATTTTCCTGCTTCAGCCTCCCAAGTAGTTGAGATTACAGGCATGAGTTACCCACTGCGCCTGGCACATTTTTATCATTTTCAAGTAAAATATATATATCTATCTGAGACATTTCTGGGAATTGCTGCTATGACCAGTTGAAGAAATGGGTGAAAGCACAACTATTAGCAAAAAGTCTTAATCTGAATATTTTCTACATCTTTTATGTCACCTGTGTGGTTTGGGGCCCGTTTGCTGGCTGGATTAATGATACTTGCTCGCCATTATGACTGACTCTTAGGGATTGGATATGCAGTATTGACAGTATTGCACTTCTGTGTCCACCATCTCCGTCTTTCAGCTCCACTGTTTGTAGAAGATAGCCTCTGCTCAGCGGCATAGCCCTCCTCACTGTGGCCTTCACCACTCATGAAGTCCAGGGCAGTTCTAGTCTGGTTGACTACCAGTTAAGTTACCCCCTAATAGACTTCCATGAGGACCTCATTGACTTCCTTGAGTATAGTTTGTAGGCACTGCCCTCGTACCTGGGTGCTTAGCCTATAGGGGGTTATTTATAACTTTTGAAACCTGCTCTCTCAGGTTTTATTGTCTGAGTCTTTTCCTTTCTGGAATCTGGATGTTTTTCTTAGGTTTGTTTCCTGCTCACTGTTGGTGTGCTTTACCAGCTGTAGCAGGAAGAGTGCTAGCACTGTAATCTTGTAATTCATTCAACCCCTCTCAGCCTCAGATGCTTTATCTATAAAATGAGAAGCTTGGAATAGATGACCTTTAAGTTCCTTCCAGTTCTAAAATTACAGAGATGCCAGGGCTTATTAAGTAACATGTGAGGTGCAACACAACCAAACAGGAATAGACAGAGGCATCTTTCCTGTTTTCGAAAGCTTGGAGTCTGAATCATTACTTCCTCATTATGGAAACGTGATGAGGTTTGTTTTTTTGTTTTGGTTTGGATTTTTGATTTTTGATTTTGGTTTTAATAAATAGCTACAATTTATTGAGTGCTTATAACACGCTAGGCATTCTGCTTTAAATGTGGGATTATCTCAGTCCTCAAAGCAACCTTTTAAAGTAAATAATGCCGGGTGTGGTGGCTCATGCCTGTAATCTCAGCACTCTGGGAGGCCGAGGCTGGCAGATCACCTGAGGTTGGGAGTTTGAGACCAGCTTGACCAACGTGGAGAAACCCTGTCTCTACTAAAAATACAAAATTAGCCAGGCATGGTGGCGCATGCCTGTAATCCCAGCTACTCGGGAGCCTGGGGCGGGAGAATTGCTTGAACCCCGGAGGCAGAGGTTGCGGTGAGCCGAAATCGTGCCATTTCACTCTAGGTTGGACAACGAGAGCAAAACTCTGTCTCAAAATAAATAAATAAATAAATAAATAAATAAATAATAAAATTTAAAAATAAATAGTATTTGGATTATTATCCCTGTGTTAACAGATGAAGAAATTGAGGCACAGAGGGGATTAGTAATTTATCCAAGATTACACAGCTGATAAAGTGGTAGAGCTGGAATTTGAATTCAAATCTTTCTGACTCTATAACTTGTAAGTCATTGTACTTCAAAAGGCGAAATTATGCTCCATGATTACTTGTTAAGCATGCTATGTCCAGTAGAATAAAGGAAGCTTTAACCAAACTTCATTGTTTTGTTTTGTTTTGTTTTCAATAACAAAGTCTACTCCACCTACCTTGCAACATTGTTGAGAGAATATATATTAATGTTGCAAGGTAGGTGAAGTAAACATTGTTAAATATGTATTTTTAAATTACACATATATTTAAAAATATACACATATTTTTATATATATGATTTTTTTAAGTGCTCATAAACCATGAAGCCCCACAGAAGTGCAGGGTGCTATTATTTCCTCTTATGATTTCACTTTCTGTCTTTCATTTCTTAGCATATGAATTGTACTTCTTTTTTCAACTTTTTTTAGTAGTTGCCCTAAAGTTGCAATATACATTTACAACTAATCCAAGTCCACTTTCAAATAGCACTGTACCACTTCATGGGTAGTGCAAATACTTTATAATAATGAAATATCCCTAATTATTCCCTCCAGTATAACTGCTGTCATTCTTTGCATTTATATATAAACTATAATCATTCAATACATCATTGCTATCATTTTGAATAAACTATCATCTGTTAGATCAACAAGAAAAAGTTAAGTTTTTTACTTTATTTTCAACTATTCTTTCTCTATTGCTCTTCCTTTCTCCATGTAGATCAGAATTTCTGACCTACATCATTTTCCTTCTCTCTGAAGAACTTCTTTTAACATTTCTTGCAAGGCAGGTCTACTGGCAACAAATTCCCTCAATTTTCATTTGTCTGAGAGAGTGCTTATTTCTCCTTCGTTTTTGAAGGATAATTCCACAGGATACAGAATTCTACGTTGGAGGGTTTTTTCTCAACAGTTGAAATACTTCATTCTACTCCCTTCTTGCTTGCATAGTTTCTGAGAAGTCCTGATATAATTCTTACCTTTGTTCTTCTATAGGTAAGGTACTTTTCTCCTCTGGCTCTTCCAAGAATTTTTTCTTTATCATTGAATGCTCTGGCATATTTCAAAATAACTTTTTCCTTTCTCCTTCCAGAAGCATGGATTTTTTTTCTCTGATATTCACTGTGAGAACCTACCAAAGCTCTAAGAGGTAAAACCCACACAAGTGTGAGAAGCTTCCATGACAGCCTCGCCCCACTGCCCCATCCTAGGGTTTTTAACTCTCAGACTTGTCCACTGTGAGTCTCAGCATTTCTTCAATTACAGTTTAGGTTTTCCTCATGAGTACTGCTTCACTCAGAGATTTCTGTTTCTGAGATGATGCTCCAGCATGTTGCAATTCTCTGTATCTGCTTATCTGACCCCCCAGCTTAGGAGGCAGCAGTTTGCCCTGTGACCTCACTTCTGTGAAGAATCTAAGAATACTGGCCTCAGCAATATGGTGGAAAACACCTCTACAAAAAATGAGCCAGGCAAGGTGATGTGCGCCTATAGTCCCAGCTATGCAGGAGGCTGAGGCAGGAGGATAACTTGAGCCCAGGAGGTCGAGGCTGTAGTAAGCCATGATTGTGCCCCCGCACTCAGCTTAGGCAAAAAGACACCCTGTCTCAAAACAAAATCTAAGAAGAGTTTGTTCAGTTTTTGCTTGTGGTTAGAATGGAGTGATGACTTCCAAACTCCTTACATAAACTGGAAACTGGAAGTCTTCCTATGTATTTGATTCAACCTGTTTATATATCTTATGCATCTGTGCAGGGTAAGGTTTGGGTTGTAAATTGATAAAGTACACGATTCATGGCTTTTGACAACCTGGAGGAGACTCTAGGCGGTAAACTAAAGCAAGTGTTTAAAAATGGCCTTTTGAGGCCAGGCACTGTGGCTCACACCTGTAATCCCAGCAGTTTGGGAGGCCAAGGTGGGCAGATTGCTTGAACCGAGGAGTTCAAGACCAGCCTGGGCACCACGGCGAAACGCCATCTCTACAAAAAATATAAAAAATTAGCAGGGCATGGTGGCATGTGCCTGTAGTCCCAGCTACTTGGGAGGCTGAGGTAGAAGGATAGCTTGAGCCCAGGAGGTAGAGGTTGCAGTCAGCCTAAATCACAACACTGCATTCCAGCCTAGGCAACAGAGCCACACCCTGTTTCAAAAAATAAAATAAAATAAAAATGGCCTTTTGAGACTTCTGGTTCCACCAAGATAGAGTAGTCCCATTTTTCCTAGGCCCTCTCAGAAAAACCTGGATATAACACAAAAAACAAGCATAGGAAGACTTTGAAAGTTGGAAAGAAGTCAGACTGCCTAGGGATCCCAAGACTTGAGGAATGACATGTGGTAAATTCCCTAGTTTCCTCATTTCCTCCTAAATGTCGGACAAGGCACTACAGAATTCTGCAGCCCTGCACCATGAATAGGCACAGACAAAACAAAGACCCATGGAAAGCCTGTTTTCCTGAGTCAAAGAATAGAAAAAAGTGTGGCCCAACAATGAAAAACCTCATCAGCTTCTTCCCTAGTCCAACCAAACACTGATGGAACAACTGCATTCCCCAAACCTCAACCCCCAGCACAGTTTCAGCAGAGCCAACCAGGAAGTTGATATTCCACTCTACCCCTTAACCTATGGAAGTGGGAGGCAGCTCTCCAGTTCCCTGTGGGTGACTTTGGTAGGTCTGACTGGGAGCTGACCTTTTATTCCCTACCTTATAGAAGCAGACAATGCTCCAGTTCCCCCAGCAGATTGAGCAAGGAGACAAGCTTACATCCCCAATCAGAGGCATCAAGGTGGTCGAAGTTGGTGCCACACTTTCACTGGGATGTTGTCAGTGGAGCAATAGGAGAGCTGAACTTCCAGCCCACCATTTGCAATAAGACCATGTGAGTCAGTACTTCAGTTTTGCCAAGTTACTGTCAGTGGGGCCCAGAGGGAAACTAAACATGCCTGTGAAGAAGAAGAAGGAAGAAGGAAGAAGAAGAAGAAGAATTATTAAATAGGATACAAATCCAAACTCTTATAATATGCTATCCAAAATATCCAGGATACAATAAAAAATCATTCATCCAAGAACCAGAAAAATCACAACACGGATGAGAAAAGCAATCAACGGCTGTCAAATGATGAGATAAATCAAGTGTTCAAATTATCTAACAATGATATTAAAATAGCATCATAAAATGCTTCAACAATCATTCAAATTCTCTTGAAACAAAAATTTAAAACCCAGCAAAAAAAAAGAGAATTTATTAAAGAATTAAATGAAAATTATAGAACAGAAAACAAGTACAAGTAAAATTTTAAAACTTGCTGTATGGGCTCGATAGTAGATTGAAGATACCATAGGATAGAATCAGTGATTGAGGACAGACAGATAGAACTTACCCAATCTGAACAATAGAGATAGGGGAAATAATGAACAGGGTCTCAAGGATCTGCATGATATTTAAAAGGAAAAAAAAATTCAAAGAATAGCTGAAAATTCCCCTTACTTGGCAAAAGAGATGAAACTTCAGATTCAGGAAACTGAACAAATCCCAAGTAGGATAAACTGAAAGAAATCTATGATGCTAAGACATGTGATAATTAAGCTTCTGAAGGTTGAAGATAAAGAAAAAATATTGATACTGAAAACAGCCAGAGAGAAATGGTGCATTATTGATAGGGGAGAACCAATTCAAGTGACAGCAGATTTTTAACCTGAAACCATGGAGACCAGAGGGAAATGGCATAACATTCTTCAAGTACTGAACTAAAAGAATTGTCTACCTAGAATCCAATGTCCAGTGAAAATGTCCTTCAGTAATGAAAGGGAAATGGAGACATCTCAGATGAAGGAAAGGTAAGAGAATTTGTCACCAGCAGACCTACCAAAAAGAATGGCTAAAGAAATTTCCTAAACAGAAAGGAAATTATAAAAGAAGGAAACTTGGAACACGAAGGAAAACCACAGCAAAAAAATATGGGTATATACAATAAACTTTCCTCCTCTTGAGTTTTTAAAATTTCTAAATTGATAGTGGAAGCAAAAATTATAGCATTGTTTGATGTAGTTCTAAATGCATGTAGAGAAAATATTTAAGACTATTATAAACAGGGTGATAATGTAAAGGGAGGTAAGGTTTCTATATTTAAACTGGTAAAAAGATGACACCAGTAGACTCTGATGAATATATATAATGTAAAACCTAGAGCAACCACTAAAAAGATATACAAAGGGGTGCAATAAAAACGTTGTAGATAAAGGGGAAGGGGTGTTATTGTTTAATGGGTAGAGAGTTTCTGTTTGGGGTGATGAAAAGATTCTGGAGATGAATAGTGGTGATTGAACAAATAACCCACAGGCTCGCAGGATACAGGAAATCAGATAAATGAAAACAAAGAGAACACACAGAAACAAAAAAATGGCATACATAAGCCCTAACATGTAATTACATTAAATGTAAATGTACATTTGCAAATATAACAATTAAAAATGAGATTGGCAGAGTGGATTAAAAGCCAGGTGCTGTGGTGCATACCTGTAATCCCAGCTACTCAGGAGGCTGAGGCAGGAGGATCACTTCAGCCCAGGAGTTTGAGACCAGCCTGGGCAGCATAGCAAGACCCTTACTCAAAAGAAAAAGAAAAATGTCCCAACTCTATGATGTCTGCAATAAGTTCATTTCAAACATAATGATACAGACAGGTTAAATGTAAAAAGATATACAAACATAATCAAAAGAAAACATAAATGGCTATATTAATACCACCTAAAGAAGACTTCAGAGCAAAGAAAATTACCAGTGACAGAATTGGACATTATATAGTGATAAGAGGGTCAAGAAGACATGGCAATTCAAAATATATAAGCACTAGACAACAGAACAGCAAGATATGTGAAATAAAAAACTGATAGAACTGGAAGGAGAAATAGATCAATTCAAAATAATAGTTGGAGACTTCAACACCCATCTATCAATGATTGATAGAACAACTAGACAAAATCAGCAGGGATTTGAAAAAACTCAGCATCACCACCAACAGACATGATTTAATCAACATTATAGAATACTCCACCCAATAACACCAAGAATACACATTCTTTTTCAGTGCCCATGAAACATATACCAACATAGATCATATCCTGAGCCATAGAACAAAACTCAACAAATTATAAAAAATTGAAATTTGTTCAATTTGTTCAATTGAAATTGAAGTTATGTTCTGTGAGCACAATGGAATTGAACCAGAAATACATAATACAAAAGTATTATGGGGCTCAGGACAGTTCAGAAGGAGAGGAGCCCTGGGAGAAGGCTGAGCTCAGATGGTTGGGGCAGTTGGGGGAAAGAAGTGAGCTGGCTCTGGAGGGCCAGGCTACTCCATATGGCACCCTGCTGGGCAGAGGCAGCTCCATGCCAGGGCACAGGACTTGGTGAGGGGAACAGGAGCTGGACCTCAGTCCCATTGGCCCCCTGGCTGGGTGCCCTCTTACAGGGGCCCAACTGTACATGGTGACCCTGGATGTTGGCCTGGGAACCTGTGATCTTCTACTACATCTGGGGCTGACAGAGGACTCGGGGGCTGAGAAGGAGACATGGTCTCACGATTTGGAGTAGAGAGAAGGCTTGACCAGAAGGGACTGGCTGTGCAGCAGGATAGCTGGAGGCCTATTGGCTGGGCATCCTGTCTACTGGGTCCTGGGCCGGTCTTGGCAGCAAAGTCAGGGCAGATAGCACCAGCAAGCCACAACCGTCCTGCTCCACAGAGCGCTAGAACAGCCACTCATCAGTTACAGCAGGACTATAACGATGACCAAGAAGAGAAGACAAAACAGAAGAGGGTAGGTAGACCAGAAAGAGTGTTCAGAAAGAAGCTTGAAAGAGGAGAGGAGAGACACTCCTGAGTAGTAGCACCAACCTACCAGCTAGATTTGTAACCTCCAACTACTACTTTCTGGCCTCAGTTTTGTCACCTGACTAAGAGGGTTGGAATAAAACGAATTTAAGTCTCTTTTACCTTTGACTAGGACTGACCCAGGCTGGCCTTTCACCAGCTCCTGTCCCCATTTCCAAGGGAAGCTGGGTGGGGGGTAGAGGGTGTGGATGACTTAGTGTGGTCCATCCTCAGACCAAAAACCCAGCTAGGGGCCCACACATTACTGTCTGAAACACCATGCTCAGGTGTGAACAAAGATGCTTGGTTACTGTGGACTTTTAGTTCCAAGGAGGGCTGTGTCTTTCTTAACTCAATGGAAGAATCAAATTAGGAGCCTGGCTGGGCATGGTGACTCACACCTGTAATCCAGCACTTTGGGAGGCTGAGACAAGAGGATCACTTGAAATCAGGAGTTCAAGACCAGCCTGGGCAACACAGCGAGACCCCATCTCTTAAAAAAAAAATAGGAGCCCACATCTTCAGATTCCCAGGGCTGAGATTCTGGGAAACTCAGCCAAACTCCAGAGCTGATGCAAGTAGCAAAGGACCTTTTTTTTGGTCACTGGAGCCTGGAGGACAGACAAGGGCAAGAGGCAGAGAATTCCAGCCTTTACAGGTCACAGAGAAAGTGGAGGAGGAGGAGGTAGCTGATGCCTCCACACCCAGGAGGGAGGGGGAAATGATGAGCAAGATTTTTCACCCTTTCAGTAAAACAAAAAAAATTATTTCTCCTATTTCCTTCTCTGAGATTAATGATAAACTGTCTATCCCCTAAAAGAAAATGATAAAGACTCTAATTTTACTTGGAGGCTTAGAAATGCCATTTCTACGCAAAACAGGGAGCCCATAATCAGACTTGAGCGGGGCAGAGCTTTGATAGAAAATGTTTTCCTCTCTCCCTCTATTTCTTCCCCTCCTTCCCCTTGCAAACCAAGATGCCCGACAGCTAAGAACAATGCTCAATAAAATGAAATAATATTTTAGTCAAAATAGGCCAAGACTGCTCCCAGCCAACTGTAAATTAGCATTTTGAGGGCAAATATGCAGACAATTTGAGATAATGAAGCCTGATTATTCAATCCAATGAATGTTAACTAGGGAGCAGAGGCTCCACTGCCTTATCTCACTCCCTTCGATTTATTTTTTTAATCGTTTCACATTTGAACTCTTTATTTGTTTCTGTTTTATGCGCCCCCTCCCTTCCTCTGTCACACACACACACACACACACACACACACACACACACACACACACACACACACACAGAGTCTCCCTCCCTTCTCTCCTCCATTCCTGCCCAGGCTGCAGAAGGGGACCGTTGCAGGGGCCATCAGTCTTTCCACCCAGCCTGGCCTTCGGGATGGGGTCAGCACGCCTCATGGAGCCCCTACTGTGTGCATGGTCCTTTGTAGAGTTGCAGGGATTTGGGGGTCAATGTGCACTAAACAGATGACACACACCCTGCTTCTTAGAACAGGCCTGGGTGCAGGAGCTGGAGAATGGCAGGTTTATAAAGGAACATGCCAGGTACATGTGGGGCTCAGGGAAGTGGGGGTGGAAGGACATTGCCTTTCATGTCCTTCAATCCACCCTCCATGAAAGGTCAATGTGGAGCACGCCCTGTCCCCAGGAGTCATGGAAAACTTTCTTAAATTATCCTTTGTCCCAGGCAGGACTCACTGCATAATTTGCAGGACCCAGTGGAAAATGAAATGCAGGGGAACTTGCCCAAAAATCATTGAGAATTTCAAGATAGTCATGGCAGAGCATTAGGACACCAAGCAGGGGACCTTCTGAGCTCGGGGCCTGGGCAACTGCGCACGCCACACACCCATGCAGCTGGCCTGCCTCCAGCAGCTAAGGGGCAGCCTCAGGCCAGTGGGAGGTAACATAATGAGGCCTTCTGAAGGAGGGTTGAAGCCCTTCTCAAGTGAAGAGAGAGGTTTCTGAGACGCTGGGGAGGGTCCCAGCTGACTGGGGCTAGCCCCTGGGGTTGCGGGTTGCCATAGGCAGGAGCCCCAATGCCTGAACAGCTGTCAGCATGGTGGTTTCCCCTTGGAGGTACCCATCCTTCAGCCTAGAGATGATGTTTACTTGGTGGCGGAAAGAACAGCTCCCAACTGGGCGAGGCTCCCCGCTGTTACGGTGCTCACCTGGCCTCAACCTCCTCCTTGGGTCCTGGCCCTGCTTTTTCCCTCACGAGTGTGGCCTCCCAGTCCCTGCCCTGTCCCCATGAGCTCCTGCCTGGGTCCAGCCCCTGCAGCTGCCCTTCCCTCGGGGCCCCCTTACCACTCCTTTCAGTGTGTGTAGCAGGAAGTCCCCGCCTGAGCATGGCCTCCCACCTTGTCTGCTCTGCTCCTCAGCTTGCCCTCTCCCCACCAGACCTCCTGCTTGTCGAGTGCCCTGTCCATCACTCTCATCTTCCCGCTGCCTCTGCTCATGCTGGGCCCTCACCTGGGGGGTCTTCAGCCCCCTTCCACCTCCTATCTCCTCTCCACCCATTTCTTCACACCCAGCCAAAGAAGGCAGCTCTGCCTTTTACCGGATGTGCTCTTGAGTGGGTGATTTCACCTCCTTGAGCTTTAGTTTCCCTGTGGGTAAATGGGATTGTAGTGGGGCCTGTCTCGTGAGGTGAGTGAGAAGACCAACCAAGCTGGTGTAAGTAAAGCCCCGACCCCGGGCTGGCCCACCTGAATGTGCATACCTGTTAGCTTGCACTCTGGGGAGCCTCTGGGAAGCTTCAGAATGCTACAGCCAGTTGGAACAGCTGCCCTCCTAGAACTTCCGTAGCCTTTGGAATCCTGGTCACGCAGTGTAGCCTGCATTCTTACACTGTTTCCTCCACCTGATAGAAGTTTCCCAAGAGTAGTGTGGTGAGCACTTAGGACGTGCTCCCTCAGCCTCCTGTGCCACCCTCCTTTTGTCTGGAGAGGCTGGAAAATTAAGAGCTGCATCTCCCAGATTCCCTTGCAGCTAGGCTTCTGGAAGTGAATTGGGTGATACTGATCAGTTAGACTCCTGAAACTCAGAAGGTGGACATGAGACTCTTTCCTGCCCTGGGTTTCTAATGGCTATCAAGATAGTAGAAACACAATTGCCTTTTTCTGCACCAGATTCCCATTGTCCATCCTCTAGCTTCTGGGTGTCAAGAGTCAAAAACTGTTGTTTTGGTTTCAGTAATGGCTTGATTCTGGTCCTTCCTACCCTTCCTTCCTTCTTTCCTTCCTTCCTTCCTTCTTTCCTCCCTCTCTCCCTCCCTTTCTTTCTCTTTCTTTCTTCCTTTCCTTTCTTTCTCTCTCCCTCTTTCTCTTTCTTTCTTTCCCCTTCCTTCCTTCTTTCCTTCCTTTCCTTCCTGTCCCTTCCTTCCCTTCCCTTTTCTTCCCTCCCCTCCCTTCCCCTTCCTTCCTTCCTTCTTTCCTTCCTTCCTTTTCCTTCCTTCCTTCCTTTTCCTTTTCCTTTCTTCTTTTCTTTTTTCTTTCAAGATAGAGTCTCGCTCTGTTGCCCAGGCTGGAGTGCAGTGGTGCAATCATGACTCACTGCAGCCTCAACCTCCTGGGTTCAAGCGATCCTCCCACCTCAGCTTCCTAAGTAGCTGGGACTATAGGTGCCACCACGCCCAGCTAATTTTTACGTTTTTTGTAGAGAGGGGGTCTCAGCCTTCTGCTTCAGATTACTAGTATAAGCCACTGTGTCCAGCTGATTCTGGGTTTCTTGATCTCTGTATTGCAGCTACAGTGGTTTCAAACTCAATTCAAGGGGTGGTCTCAGAGGTTGTAGTGCCACTGGGAGTTAGTTCAGAATTCTGGAATTCCTTCCTGGATGTTCAGGTTAGAACCTACCATTCTGGCTTTTCCAAAAATTTTGAAAGTATCTAATTCTCTGTTAAGTCTCTCTTTGGTGGGTCAGTGCAGTGGATCATGCCTGGAATCCCAGTATTTTGGGAGGCTGAGGTAGGAGGATCACTTGAGCCCAGAAGTTTGAGACCAGCCTGGGCAATATAGGAAGACCTCCCATTTCTACAAAAAATAAGTTTAAAAAATTAGCTGGGGCCAGGCATGGTGGCTCATGCCTGTAATCCCAGCACTTTGGGAGGCCCAGGTGGGCAGATTGCCAGGTCAAGAGATTGAGACCATCCTGGCCAACATGGTGAAACCCCGTCTCTACTAAAAATACAAAAATTAGCTGGGTATGGTGGCACCTGCCTGTAGTCCCAGCTACTCGGGAGGCCGAGGCAGGAGAATCATTTGAGCCCTGGAGGCGGAGGTTGCAGTGAGCCAAGATCGAGCCATTGTATTCCAGCCTGGTGACAGAGCGAGACTCTGTCTCAAAAAAAAAAAAAAAAAAAAAAAAATTAGCTGGGTGTGGTGGTGTGTGCCTGTAGTCTCAGCTTCTTGGGAGGCTGAGGTGGGAGGATAGCTTGAGCCCAGGAGATTGAGGCTGCAGTGAGCTATGATTGTGCCACTGCACTCTAGCCTGTCTCAAAAAAAAAAAAAAAAAAAACAAATTAGCTGGGTTTGGTGGTGTGTGCCTGTAGTCCCAGCTTCTTGGGAGGCTGAGGTGGGAGGATGGCTTGAGTGCAGGAGATTGAGGCTGCAGTGAGCTGTGATCATGCCACTGCACTCTAGCCTGTCTCAAAAAAAAAAAAAATCTCTCTTTGGTTAAAAATGCCCAGATGGGCTTTCTACATTAAATCCTGACAGGCACAAGAATAAACTAAGCCATCTCTTTCTCCTGCACCCCCACTGCACAGCACCTAGTGTAGGTCTCCCTCTTCCTAAGAAAGCCGCATGTCCCATACCAGCTGACCCGGCACCATGGCTGGCCTCTGAGCTGCCCGAGCACATGCTGGACATTTGCCTCTTTGTGCATCGTTCATTTCCTGCCGTTGCCCTGCTCTGTCCTGTAAGCAGGAAGCTGACTCCTGCAAATTACATTTCCCTTGTCCACATGCACAGTGCCTTGTCCACTGGTTTCTTGTTGGGTTCAACCAATGCAAAGCACTGGTGAGAAACCGGAGGGTGAGAGACGGGGAAGGCCAGAGTATTTCCTGTCCTCTCTCTGCTTCCAGTGGCATCTATTTTGTGGAGCCAGCTTCTGCCAGGCAACACCTGCACCACGGCCTCCCAGCTCCCAGCCATTGGCCCCTCCACAGTTAAAGCTCTGCCCTGGCACCCCAGCTCCTGGAGTCATGTAAATACTATCTCCCTGCTCTGACTGTCTAGATCTATGGGTAGTAGCAGCTTCCTGAAATTGCTAATCTTCGAGTTGCCTCACCCTCCCCTGTTTTCAGCTTTTCCAACACTGTCGTAACTGGGTTCTCAAATGAAATCACCTCTCTAGTGAGCTACCTGGTGAGCTGGGTTTTCCTGACAGTGTGGTTCCTCCTATCTGCTACAAGTGGGGTTCGGGGCCTTGAGCCACGTCTTCCCTCCTTGTGGACACAGTCTGTCTCCCCTGCGGCCTCCCTGGCCATTTTGTCCTGGCCCAGCCTGAAGAAACATCTGGGCAAAATCCTTCGGGGTCCCTTTCCCCAGCTGAGGAGTGGGGGGGCGCAGGGGAGGAGCCAGGGCGAACGGCAGCTTTCGCCAACACCTCACTGTTCTCTTCTCGACATGTTTACTCACAGGCTGTCTGGGAAGTGAGAATCCTCCCTAATGGATGTTTCACCCAATTAAATAATTAACTCCAAGTGTTGCTAAGCATCCTCGCCTCTCACCTTCCAGTCCTGGAGGCGTCCTCATGCCAGGCTGCGGCTGCTGCTGAGACAAGGAGCCTAGTGGGAGGAGCCAGGAGTGGGGGACAGTGCCCCTGATGCTTCTGTACAGGATGAGGGAGATAAATGCACCTGAGAGGGAAGGTAAGGAGGGCTGTTCAGATAGGAGGCTGAGGGGAGGCTGAGACTCACAGGAAGTGGCATTAGAACCTTCTGGAGCCTTTCTATTGAATATTAAGTCCTTGAAGGTTTCCCTCTCCCCCAATTCTTCCCATACGCCACAGCAGGGTCCTTGTTCCTTCAAAGAAGGGGAAAGGAAGGGACACAGGCTTCTTCCTAATGGGTAGTCTTGCGTTATGAGGAGTTACAGAGCTGAGCTGCTCTACTAACCAGACAGTCACATAAGGAACCCCGAGGGGAGAGGCTAAATACATTCATACTGTGGAATATCACTCAACCGTTAAAAAGAACAAGATACATTTTCCTGTATAGATAGGAAAAGATCTGTAAGATACTATAAAGTGAAAAAATGCAGATACCAGTACATGCAGTTTAATTTAAGTAAAAATAATGTGCACATGTATGCATATACTTGTCTACCTGTGGAAGGAGGACTGGAACTAGGGACACCAAACTATTCCGAGGGGTGATATATAGAACAAAGCTCCTTTCATGAAAAATTGAACTCACATTTCTGCAGTGTAATCACACATTCTATCTGGATTTATTGTTTAATTGTTTTCTATTGTCAAACATGTCTAAGTTATTGACATTAGAACAGAGAAACTCCAACAGAGAAAGGGAGCACAGCTACATTTTTTTTCTTAAAGATTATATACTATTTCTTTACATGGATGTCTTGATTGATTTAGTTATTGATTCATATTACAATGGAAGGCTGAATCAACTTATACGGCTTTGAATTAATTGTATACCTTCTATTGATGAGTGAATAAATAGTTTTTTAACATTCACCACAAAACATATAAACATTAACAATTTTGTGATATTTTACATAAAACGTGCAAGAAATTCTAAATTTGAAATTAGTATTTATTTTATAGAACATATTATGAAATACTTTTTAAATTAGTAATCAGAAAAAAGATGATTAAATAGTAAAAACAATCATTTGTATTTTTACCAGATATCATCACTTTTAAAAGTTTGGTTTATATTCTTCCAGATAGAACAATATACTAAAATAATATAAATAGGTTATTATGTCAACAAACATTTATATATATTTTTACAGCTGGTTACCCCCATGCAAAAACGTGCCATATGTAATTTTTCTATCTAATATATTTGAAAATGTATGTTATTTAAAAGTTTTCCTATTGTAAACAATACTATAATGAATATTATTAAAGACAGTCTTAAGTTAGCAAAGACTGAAAGGACATGTTCTCTAGTTTAGAGTGTATGACATTCAATCAAGACCTAGAAGACTTATGCCATCCCCCAAGAATGTACTAAAAATCATCTGGGATTATAGAAGGAATTCAGGGAACCCTATCTGCAAGATTATTTACATGCCAGATCCAGTAATTTATGATCTTCTTGGTGTCTGTAAAGTCATAAAAGTCACAGGATTACACCATAGTCATTTGCTTGAAATTGCATTCAAGATATCTGCATTCCATTCCTTAGATGCTTTCCAAAATAATAAAATACCTGGCAGGATTCTGTGTGGAATCTCAGTCTTCCTATGTGGGATGATCACATGTAGCATCCTTAGTGCCAAACCTAATAAAACAAGCTTATTGTTTTTGGTTTTGGCTTTTTTTTTTTTTTTTTTTTTTTTGGAGCATGGTTGAAAAAACTTATGATACCCAGAACAGGTTTAATAAATTTTTCTAAACTGGATATTGATTATCAAAGCCAATTATATGCCTCTAATATATTGATTTGGAGAATTTAGAAAATCAAATATTTCAAATATATCAGAAATCTACATACTAATAAATTTAAATGAAAAAATTTCTATTAACTAATGTATGTCAGCAGCTTTTATTGACAAACTCATTTTATTTTTCCAAAGGCATACAAAGTAGTTTCTATAATAAACCTGGCAAAAATAGATATCTAGCTAGCATTAGCCCAATAATACAAATAAAATCAAATCTTGAAAGAAATGGAACTTTTTACCATTCCAGATAGTATAATAAATGTAATAGTATAATAAATTCGCATAGCTCTATAACGCAGATTTGGCTAAATATGACTCTATAAAATGACATTTAAAAGAACAGTGTTGTATACAGCATATGGATGACATAGTTTCTTACAATTTTATAGTAAAATAATAATTACCTGAATAAGGTAACATCAATCACATTCATTTAAAATAGTTGATTTATAAACTAGCTTGATTTTAAAACAAATAAAAGAAACTATCTACTAAGGTAACAATGAGTATCAATTAGAGTGTCACTTCACAAACTTTAATGTTCATACATATGATGGCATCTTGTTAAAACAGAGCCTCTGTTTCAGTAGTTCTGCACCGACCTGAGAAGCTATGCTTCTCACAAACTTCAAGATGAGATTGATGTTGTTCTTCTATGAACTATACTTTGAGTAACACCAGATTATGAGATTATTAATAATTCAAAAAATAAGCTTATTTTTTAGGAAAAAGTATAAAAAAATCAGGCATTCAAACTCCACAAAAATACTTTTTAAGCCATATTACAAATAGAAGCTTTAAAATACATTTCTTTTCTCTGCATGGTTTATGAATCTTCATTTATAGGACTGGCTAACATTGACACAAAGTTCACAGTGGGTATTATATCCATATATCTACATAAGATGTTCAGCTTCTCTCATTCTCAGCAGGTATGGTCTCATTAACACCTGTGATTTTAAAAGCCTGAGTTTCTCCCAGCAAGATGTAGTTTTATTAATATGTGTTATATTTATATATCTCTCACTTTGCTATGTTATAATGTGGAACCAAACCTATAGCTATTGCTCTAGTATCTGTTTACTTCATAAATATTGACTGCTAGAGGTGTGAATCCTACTAGGGTCTTTTGCATAATTATATGAGGGTAAGCAGTAAACAAAAATGACTGAAGAATAAATGAAAATAATAACTTAGCTTAAATGTAAAGTAAGATGACAAGAATACCATGAAATAAGAGTCACAGAAAGAATGTTTGCTGCTGTTATTTAAATATAAATGTTATTATTTTTGAAGAAATAAATGTGTATACATCTATCTCTTTCAGAAGAATTGTGAATTGTTTACAAATATATTTTCTGAAATATCTTTTTTTTCTTAGTACTGAGGTCTGATGGTAAATGTTTAGTAACTAGCTTTGTATAATAAAAAGCCAGATTTATGGTGTTTTCAGATTTTCATGGTGTAAAAATTCCCAGTGGCCAATTTCAAACTACTGACATGAGATCTCGGAACATAGCATTAGGAAAAGATGCAGAAATGGGCTTTTTTAGAAGCCAGTGCATAATACTTCCAACACAACAGTGACTTAGCAGACTGAGCGTCACTTTACTTTAATGATTAATCACAATAATTGTCAACTGACATTTTTTATTTAATGACTTATAACATGGTTCCAATTATAAAATGTGGAAAATATAAGTAAAATAAAGACAAAATTAACAATAAATCTAACACCCCCAAAATGATTGTTACACATATGTATATATCCTTTGAGAGCTTTTATTAAAATATTTATACTTGTATTTGTTACAAAATTGAAAATGTGTTTTATTTCACTTTGGCATTCTACCCAAACTGACAATATACTATAATTTTCTACAATTATTACTTATTCCTTTAAAAGTACATACAAAACTGAATGAAACTCTATGCTCCCAATATACTAAAATCAAATGATTTTATTCTCTATAGTTTATAGTTTATATTCTATAAAATCTATAGAATGATTTTATTCTCTAAATATACATATTTAGAATGTTTTGAAAATTATTGGTCAATGAACATTCTGACGCAGAAATCCTTGTAAATATTACCTCTGCTTCTTTAGGGTAAATACCTAAAAGAGGAATTATTGAGCCAAAAAGTGCAATTACTTTGAGGGTTTCTGATAAGTGTCCCTAAATTGCACTCAGGAAAATTTGTGTAAGTTTAAACTCTTAAGTGGAGTTGCTGGAGACCCTCTTTCACCTGATTCATAAAACAATCTTAATTAGAAAGAAGAAACAATCCAAATGTCTTTGAGGTTCAAGTACACCACATACTATCGCATTTAATTTTTATAGTCTTTAATTTTATTAGTTCAATTTTTCATATTTGAATTGCCTGTTAGCATTCTTTTTCTTTTAATTTATGTAGGACTATTTACATAATAATGCCATCAATCATTTTTATATGTGTGTCAAGTTTATCTTCTATTGAATAATTTATCTTCATAATTTTGTTCATAATATTTATTGAAATTAGAATGCATAAATATTAAACTTAAAATTATGTTATATAGTATACCATGCATGATTATAAATATTATGTCAAATGTATAAAGTGGTTTTTGCTGTCAGTTTCTGATTTCTCCACCCGATATAATTATTTTATATTACCTCTAATACAACAGATTCAATTCTGGATAATTTGGGGAACAACATAAGAACAGTAGTAATCAAAACTAAATAAAATAACTACATGCAGTTTACAAAAAAAGTTCACATCCTATGAATATATTTAAATTATACTTCACTTAAATGTATCATTTCACTATGCATTTTCTATTGATTTCATAATCATATTCCTTTATTCCATTTTTCCCCCTCTGCTGGCAGAAAGTTTCTATTTTCTGTTGGCATTTAGAGTATCCTAACATTTACAACATGCATTCATGATGTATTAAACTATAACATGAATTAATATTTGCCTCAATTTACAGCAAAATGAAGACCTTCTAAAATTGTAACTCCATTTATTTTTCCCTTCCAACTTCCATGCTATTTTTATAATACATTTTAGTATATGCTATGACTCCCAAAAACATTGTTATTGCTATTATTATGCTACATTGTAAATATTCATTTAAATTTACCCACTGGAATACAACTTTGTGTTTCTTATTACTTCCTGAATCTATAAACTACCACTTAATACCATTTCATTTTTGTTTCAAAGGTAACCATGAGTGTGGGTTCTGTCTTAGTGAATTACTTCAGTTTTCAGTGATCTAAAAAGGTTTTTGTATTATCTTCACTTGTGAAGTTTTAACTGTATATGGGATTGAAGATTAGAAATTATTTTCTTTAGGCCGGGCGCGGTGGCTCACGCCTGTAATCCCAGCACTTTGGGAGGCTGAGGCGGGCGGATCACGAGGTCAGGAGATCGAGACCATCCCGGCTAAAACGGTGAAACCCCGTCTCTACTAAAAATACAAAAAAATTAGCCGGGCGTAGTGGCGGGCGCCTGTAGTCCCAGCTACTTGGGAGGCTGAGGAAGGAGAATGGCGTGAACCCGGGAGGCGGAGCTTGCAGTGAGCCGAGATCCCGCCACTGCACTCCAGCCTGGGTGATAGAGCGAGACTCCGTCTCAAAAAAAAAAAAAAAAAAAAAAAAAAAAAAAAAAAAAAAGAAATTATTTTCTTTCAGTGCATAGAGGTTATAATTCTATTGTCTTTTCACTTACATTGTTTCATTTAGCAAGTTAAGAGTCTAAAGGTGTTCTTTTAAAGGAAACGTGTTTTTCCCCTGACTGTCCATGATATTTTTCTCTTTTACTCTATGTTTCTGCAATTCCTCTCTGTGTCATCAGGTTTTGAATTGCTTTCTGTGTTTTTCTGCTTTGGATTCATGTTTCCCTTTCAATTAATAGTTTAATTCATTTAGAAGCATATCTTCCTTGTTCTTGCTCTACTTTCTTGAGCCCGTAATTATATGTAAGACTTTTCATTAACCTTTGCACTCTACAATATTTTCTATCCTTTTCTTTACTATGTTTGATTCTACATATTTTATTCTAACATACCTGCTAGATCATTAATTTCCTTATCAACTGCTCTCAAACCTATCTTTTGTGTTTTTTATATTGTTTCCTTTTCACATCTGAAATGCCAATTTTAAGCATTCCAATTATTTAATAAAATGTTTATATTTTGTTTTTTATCTTCAGAATAATTCTACTACCTGGGATAATTCTACTAGTGATGCACAATTTTTGTTCCTTAGCTCAGCTAGTTCAGATTCTTGTCTCACAACCAGGAAGAATTAGACAAGTGGACATCAAAGAGTGAGTGGAGTAGAATTTATTAAGTGAAAGGAAAGCTCTCAGGAAAAAAGAGAGGATGTGGGGGTTGGTTCTCCTACCCAAAGACAGGAAAGTTCCCCAATATGGCTGAGCCCAGGGTTTTTTGTGGGCTGAATAGGGAGTGTGTGCTGATTGGTTTGTGAGTATGCAGAAAAGGTTAAAGCAAAGACACCACTCAAAGGTGGGCATGACAACATAGAAAACCAATTAGGCGGCTGGGTGCAGTGGCTCATGCCTGTAATCCCAGCATTTTGAGAGGCCAAGGATAGTGGGTCACCTGAGGTCAGGAGTTCGAGGCCACCCTGGCAAACACGGTGAAACTTCATCTCTACTAAAAATACAAAAAATTAGCTAGGCATGTTGGCACGTGCCTGTAATCCCAGCTACTCGGAAGGCTGAGGCATGAGAAACGCTTGTACCCGGGAAGTGGAGGTTGCAGTGAGCCGAGGTCCCACCACCGCACTCCAACCTGGGCCACACAGCGAGTCACTATCTGAAAAGAAAAAAAAAAAATAGGTAAAATAGGTGAAAAAGGGGGATCAATCAGAGGAAAGCACACAAAACAGGAAGGTGGGTCCTCAATCCAATCCAAAGATTTACCCAGCACAGTTTCCAGCTTGAATGTTGGATTTCACGGGGAACTCATCCCTATCTGCCTTGGGATTTGTCTGCCTCCTGTCTCTATCAATCACTAGCTGGCCTTTTCTGTTATTTTGCTCTTTTTCCTTGTTTTCTTTCATTTTGTTTTGCCTCCTTCTGTGCTAGGTTATCTTTTATTTTATGCTGGATTTATATTTGAAAAATTTATTTTGTTCACTTGCAATACTCATTACAGATACAAAGAATGGCATTGTTTTATATTTTTATAATTTATTTAATGCCTGACTTAATATAAGACATGCTGATTTATTAGATCTACTTCTGCTTTCGGTATGTTGTGATATCATACATTATGTAGTCTCTGGAAAACTCTACTTACTTTACACATGAGAGAGAAAGAGAGAGAGAATGAAAAAATCAAATAAGATCTTAATATTGTTATATTATCTCAGGACCTCATCCCTTTGCCTCTTGAGAGTGGGATGTTAATGGCTTCACATTGCTCCTGATTCACTATTTTTTGTTTGTGCCATTAAGTTTGTCAAAACTATTGAAAACAGTAGAGACCTCACTTATACAGCCATTGACATTTATTCCTCTTTTTGTAACATTATGAATGCTAATCTCAAAAGCACAAAGTTTGAAAAATCGTTGCTTTTATCTTTAAATTACCTGGGTCTTCAATCTTTCATCCCTTTGGACAAGTGGAAAATTCCATACTTGTAGTTTTTGCTGGTAAAGTATCTGAAACTACCCTGTGGTAGGCACCCTCTGAGATAAACCCTAATAATTCCCGCCTCCTAGTATTCACAGCCTTAGGTCATCCCATCTTTACCTTAAGTGTGACGTAGACTGGCTTCAAAATAATTCTGAGAAACTATTTCACTTTCAAAATTATAGGCTATGAAAAGACTGTGATTTACATCTTGGGTACTCTCTCTCAGATGGTCTCTTGAATGGCTCACTCTGTGGATAGCCAGCTTTCATGATGTGAGGCAGTCTCAGATGGTCTCTTGAATGGCTCACTCTGCAGATAGCCAGCTTTCATGATGTGAGGCAGAGTCTTGTGGAGTAATCCACAGGGTGGTGGTGTTGAGGTCCACCAAAAAGCACATGAGTGAGTTTAGAAGAAGGTCCCTCCACCACCTCCTTTGAAATGAATCTTCAGATAAGATCACAACCCCAACTGGCAACTGCACAGCAAATTCAGGAGAGCCTTTGAGCCAAAGGTGCCCAAAAGCCATGCCTGAATTCCTGATCCTCAGAAATTGAGATAATAAATGCTTGTTTCTTTAAGATACAAAGACTTGTGCTAATAAGCTATGCAGTAGTAGATAGTTAACACAGTCTTCTCTTTCCTGGTTTATCACATTTGTGCCAAATATTCTCTTTGCTCAAACTCAAGCCCCTACTTCTAAAAATACAAAACATTGCATCTCTTCTCTGAATCTTTCTTGAGGCAGGTTCTTAAATTTCTATACCTCCATATGCACACAAAACACATATTCCTCCTGACATCTTTCTATCTTTCAGAACCGTTGCTGGTGAAAAGAGTGAAGGTCCTCTGCGTACTTTTTTCCTGAATTCTCATGGACCTCTCTGCCTTTTCCAAATAAGGGCAATCTCCTTTCCTTGAGTCATTGTTTTCCCACAAATCTTCTACTTGACTGAAGTGTTCAGGGCACATAGGATGACTTCAATATGCCTGAATTTACAAAAGACCTTTATCTTGTTTTTTATTTTTGATTCTATTACAGTATCTGAGGAAAGGAGTCAAGAGATTGCCTTTCTGTGTTATATGAATTGAGAGAAAGTTCTGTTACACACACATAAATTAATAATTTAATTTTTCACCTCAAATCTTTTCTTAAAACCAACTAACTATAATTTTCTAATTACAGAACAACTTCTTACATCAGAAAATGGCTCTACATTTCTACTCAGAACTCTCTCAGTTTAGGACTAATCTTACTAACTCATTAAAAGCTTACTAATTCATTATTAAAATGCTCTGGTTTCCCTTTTTATAAGTTGTTCATTACAGTCCATGTCCAAATGGAATGGACCTTTCTTTGTAATTCTTTACACACTGTCTTAGGCCAGTTGGGCTGCTATAACAAAAATGGCATATACTGGATGGTTTATAAGAAACACATATTTATTTCTCACAGTTCTGAAGGATGAGAAGTCAAAGACTGAGGCACTGGCAGATTCAGTGTCTGGGAGCACCCATTTCTCATAGATGACATCTTCTTACTGCACACTTACATGGTGAAAGGGTCTAGTTAATTCTCTGTGTTCTCTTTTATAGGGGCACTAATCACAGTCATGAGGATTTGACCCTTATGACCTAATATCCACCCAAAGTCTTCACCTCCTATTATCATCACACTGGGGGTTCAAATTTCAGAATATGAATTTGGTGGCGGGGGCACAAATGTGTTATGGGGGACAGACCATAACACATATATCTGTAATTGTTTTATTTTTTCAGAAAGTGATCGTATTATTTCTGTGACATGTTATGCCAGAAAATAATACTACCTTTACGCTTGAATCACAATGTAGCTATCAAATATACCTTTTCCTATAAAACTCCATTACATAGCATTTAATATTTAAAAGTGATATTTGAGGCAAATTATTGCCTCACAGCTTAATCCTTTCATTCCACATTCAAAGCATCTCCCATGATTGTCCTCATACAACAACAATCTGTCTGTGCACAAGTGGATTAATTCTTATCTATTTTATACTTTAAACACTTACACTTCTAAGTGTTCTCTACATACTTCCGATTAGACTGCAATTACTTCTGCACCAACCTAATACAAAATAACTTGTTTTTTTTTAATTTTGATCCCACAGGCCTTAATTTGTATCAATCACTTTTAATAAAAGTGAGGTTAAGTAATATTTTTTGAGTCTCTACAATTTATTTAGTGGCATATACACTGCAGATCTCATTCTCTTATCTTTCACATTAGTGATGCAGTTATATATTAGAACAGGACCTTATTAAGATAATAATGAAGATATTTTTCACTGCTCCAGTGGTCACGATTGGATTTTCATCATTCAGATACCTAAGAACAGTGGTCCACAGCCTTTTTGGCACCAGGGACCAGCTTTGTGGAAGACAATTTTTCCACAGATGGGGCACGGAGTACAGTTTGGGGATGAAACTGTTCCACCTCAGATCAACAGGAATTATATTCTCATAAGGAGCACCCAACCTAGATACCTCACATGCATGGTTCACAATAGGGTTCATGCTCCTGTGAGACTCTGATGCCACCACTGATCTAAGAGGAGACAGAGCTCAGGCAGTAATGCTTGCTCCCCACTGCTCACCTCCGGCTTTGCGGCCCCATTCCTAACAGGCCATGGACTGGTACAGGTCCCTGGCCCAGGGGTTGGGGACCGCTGCCTAAGAACATAAATATGGAAATATTTTTGCTCAAATGCACCTAACCTTCAGATGGCTAAAAACCTTTTAGCACCCGGGGTGTAGGATTGAGAGTGGAGATTACTGGCTGAGAGAAACAGCAAAAAACATTCCTCCCATTGAAATTAAATCACTCTACAATTGGGTTTAATTGCTGGACCTACCTGGTAACTAACAAAAATACTAAACATAATTGATTGCCTCATCATTTGAAAACAAGAGGTCACTGAATCAAATAAATGGTAGGAAAATTTAGAACCAATAAAACAAAACATTTTGGATAAAAGTTATTTCTCTCTTAGACCTGTTGCCATGAGAGTCCCATAAATGAACCAGATTTATAGTTAGCAGACTTTCTCAGTCACTTATAAATAATGACCACTGACACATAAAATGCATTCACAAGTAGATGCTTAGATTACCACAAAGGCCTTAAGACCTAAAACATCAATAATGTAATGAGCTTTGTTTTTTGCTACAGACAAACAAAAAATACACCCTGCAATTTTATAAAAAATTCAGGATTAAAGATTTATGTACGCTTATGACTCAAATGTAACCATTATTGTAAGAATGCATGGTAAGCATGACATTGTTTCACTAGTCTTGCTACATCTTAAAATTAATTCGTTCATTCATCTGTCCATCCAGAAAGGATGTTACTATGATATACAGCTTCTAAATGGCCCCCAACCAATCCCCAAATCTTGTCATTGTGGAATCCCTTCCTCTTGAGCATGGACTAGACCATGTAACTCACTTCAAATGAATGCAATATGAAAAAAGAGATGTTACTTCCAAGACTGATTATAAAGGGATTGTGACTTTTTCTCTACTAGGCCCTATTTTACTCTCTCTCTTTTTTCTTTTTCTCTCCCTTTCTCTCTTTCTGTCTGTCTCTCTCTCTGTTCATCTGTCTCTCACTCTTTCTCTCTGTCAAAACCCTGATTCTAAGGAAAACAGGAAGGTATGTTTTAGTGAATTCTCATAATTTTATTTTGGCCCAGCATCCATTTTGAATATAAATCTAACTTTCTCATACTAGAAGCAGGACTCAGTCACACTTGACAGTTTCCAGTTCTTTAACCACATCCACCCTCAGTTCCCAAATGTGATTGGTCCACATATTTGCCTGATACAACTGCTCCCTGGTGACCACTTCTACTTCCCTATGGGACAGCTAGACATAGCCTACCTGACTGACCCCACTGACCCTCAGACCTCACATGGACTGTACAGATATGTCACAGTGACTACCTGTCAGTCACAGCACTACGTCCTGGAACTCTAAAACTTATGTTTGCTTGCTTTAAACCCACCACTTAGAACTCCCTGTGGGTAACCTATTTAGATAAGGTCCTGGATCCAATAAAGGCATTGGCTGATAGGGTTCTCTCTCTCTCTCTCTCTCTCTCTCTCTCTCTCTCTCTCTCTCTCTCTCTCTCTCTCCTCTCTCTCTCTCTCTCTCCCTCCCTCCCTCCACACTCCCTGATCTCTTCGAGTGGCCTCCAGCATGCAGTGTAAATCTCAAGACCTCTAAGTAATAAAATTTTTATTTTCATCTTGTGTCTTGCCAAATCGTTGAAAGAATACTCTCTATCTTAAGGATCCTAAATTAAAATACATGCTATAAACAGCCCTACAGAGAGAGGCACATGTGCCAAAAAGCTTATCTTTCTGGCTAACTGCCAGTAACAACCGGAGGGCAGCCAACAGCCAAACAAGTGACCTTATAAGAGAATTCCACCCCCAGTGGAGACTTTAAATAATCACAACCCTGGCAAAGACCTTAACTGTAGCTTTATGAGAATTCTGAATCACAGGTGCACAGCTAAATAGTGCCTGGATTCTTAATTCAGACAAATTGTGATATAACAAATGCTTGTTGAATAAGTTCTTAAGATTGGGGGTTATTTTTTATGAAACAATACATAAATAAAGCAGTTAAGTATTAATACATAGACTCTATAATCAAATGACCTGTGATGAATTTCTGGCTCCATAATTCTTAGCTTCTTTATCTTAGTCAATTTATACATTTTTTATATATCAATGTCCTTGTTTATAAAGCAGGTATAATAATAGTACCTCTCACATCAAGTTCTTTCAAGTTTAAAACCCAAATGTACATACAGAGATCTTAGAGCAGTGCCTGATTCACAGTAGGCACTTAAATTTTAGCTACTGAAGCTCATTTATTTGAACAATAATATTAAGACTATAAAAAGTTACTAATACACTTTGCGAAATTGAGCAGGTGACATAATCACCTTGGGTCTCGGTATTCTTTCATTCATTCAAAAATATTTAATAAGCACCAATTCTGCATCAACCTGCGTATATATTTATAATAAGAGGGAGAGAAAGCAACAGGAATAATAGTGCTGCCACTAAGTGAAAGAGGAAGACTGCAGGAGAAACAGATTTCAGGGAGAATATACGGGGCAGTCAAATACCAAGAGTGAAGTTGTATGAGCTGTCAATGCTTGTGCAGTTAATATGTTATCATTATCTAAGGAGCATTATCTAAGGAGCAGTCATTCTCAAACATTTATGAGCATCTGATATAGGGCCCAAGAAGTTGCATTTCAACAAAATGACAAATAATACTACAGCTGCTGCTCCAGGAATCACACTACAGTCCATTAATGTGGAATATGTTAAAACAATAAAAAAAGTGAGTTTGATTATTATTATCATTTATAATAATCGGGGAAAAAATGCTTGTCCCCCTAAATGTAAAACCGTTCTTGGTTTAATTGAGAAATAATTGCTATGGTTGCTGTGGAATTTAGTAAATTTTATAAGTATAAAATATAACCTTCCAATCAACACATTTTTCCTACATAAATTTAATAAACATTGCATTGCACGTGGAAATTAATAAGTGGAAATCTTAGTTACACTGTCAGTTCCAAAATAAACAGACTTAGCTTAAACATTTGTTTCAGGTTTAAGTTACTAGCGACATAGAAGTTATCCCTATCTATTTAATGTTGTGCAATGTTAATTAAAATTGTATTTAAAAATTTTTTTTCAAAGGTTTATTCCTACTATGTATTGACTTTGTATTGGAGGCCGTATTAAATTTCCATATTTGCTCTTACATTTTTAATATCTTTCTTAGGATTTTCTACATAAATAGTCATTTGTAAACAAATGTGTTACGCTCCTTTATTTCCAATCAGTATATTTTTAAACGTTTTTTCTTGCTTAAATATATTAGCTACGGTCTCTAGTAGAATGTTAATTGGAAGTACTGAAGGCAAATGTATTTTCGTTCTTCAAAAATTAGGAAGGAATAATCAATTTTCTACCATTATGTATGATCCTTACTGTGGAATTTTTATAGATAGCCTTTATAAAGCTATTTATATTTTTCTGAAAATATTTATAACGAATAAATTTTTAATTTTGTCAAAAGCTTTTTCTGCACTTCTTAAGATGACCATAGATTTTTTTAAATTATAGCAATGTGGAGAAAATACCTTAATTGATTTTGAATGCTAAACCAATATTTCATTCCTGGAATAAAATCTTTTTTATGTTGCCAGATTTGATCGTTAAACTTCTATAAAAAAATCTTTGCATTATGTTTAAGGGGTACTCCTCTGTATTTTTAAAGTTTTGACATAATATGGTCTACAATGATGAATTCCTAAAATGAGTTTTAGGTATTTTCCACTAATTTTTTGGAAAAATTTTGTGTAAAAGTATTATTTTTTCTTGAAATATTTTATATAATTTACCAATGAAGGTAATTAGCCCAGGATTTTTCTTTTTTGGAAGATTTTTATTTATTAATTTAATTTATTTAACAGACATGGTGTTATTCTGGTTTTATGTTTCTTCAGTTATACTGTAGTTTATATTATTTAAAGCCTTTGCACATTTCATCAAGAATGTCAAATTTGACAAAGATTTATTGACACTTTTTCCTTTTTATTGTTGTAATACTTGTAGTAGAGGGTAGCAAACTTTTCTTCTGTAAGAGGCCAGATTGGAAATATTTTAGGCTTCTCAGTTAGTGTAGTCTCTGACATAACTCTTCAAATCTGTTGTAATGTGAAAGTAGCCATAGAGAACACAAAAATAAACGGATGTGGCTATGTTCTAGTACAATTTTTTTTTTCACAAAAACAGGCTATAGGCAATACTTGGTTTTGAGAACTTAATATGCTGATTCTAATTTAGAGATATCTAGATGTATAAATAGGATCAACTACAATGTGCCCTGTTGTATTACAGATATTGTCAATTTGTGTTTTTTCTTTTTTCCTCATCCGATTGTCTAGTGGCTTTTCCTTTTCATTTATCTATCCAAAGAGCAAAATTTTGGTTTGATACATTTTCTCTATCTATTTTTTTGGATATAACTTTCTTTTCTAAAAGTTTGGGTGAATATTTAAGGCATGCGTTTTAAACCTTCCTTCTTTTCTAATACAAGCACTCAAGATTTATAATTTTTCTAAGCATATAGAAGGAATTTGTACCCCACACGTTTTAATAAGATATTTAAAAATCTTTTTCAGTTTGAAATATTTTCTAAATATCCTTCTGACTTCCTCTTTGATTAGTTAGTTATGTAAAAGTGTGTTTCTTATTTTTCAAATTGTTCTGAAATTTTCCAGATATATTTTTGTTATTGGTTTCTATTTAAATTCCTGGTAATGAGAAACCAAACTCTATATAACTTCAAATCTTTGATATTTCCTGAGACTTTTAAAAGAATCACTCAACATATGTTCCATCTCATTAAATGATCCATGTATGCTTGAAAAAAATGTTTATCTATTGCACCACCATAATTCAGCCTGGACGACAGAGCAAAATTCTGTCTCCAAAAAAAAAAAAAACAAACCCTTGATCTTATCCTTTTTGAGTATAGTTTTTATAAATATCTGTTAGGTTATAAAGTTGTTTAAATCAGTTTTGTCTTTATTTTTGTCTATTATATCAATTACTGAGAAATAGATGTTAAAAATCTCTAAATATATTTATGAGTTTCTGCATCATGGATTCTGAATATCTTTATTGGTTTTGTCTTCATTGGCATTGTCATATCTTTTAAACAAATTTACTATTTTTAAATTATGAAGCACTACTTTAAGACGGTGAGTGGCAGCACTCACCGTCTTAAAGTGTATTTTGTCGGATATTAATGTGAAGACATTAGCTTTCTATAAGTGGTGTTTGCATAGTGCATCTTAAATTTTAATTTTAACTATAAAGTGAATATTTTATGATCAGCATATAATTGTCTTATCATCCTGATAAGCTCTCATTTTAATTGGATTGTTTGGTATCTTTATATTTTGTGTGATTTGTTATATGTTTTCTATTATGCCTACCATATTGTTATTTGACTTCCACTGTTTTCTGGTTCATAACTTTTCTAAAAGGAAGTCAGTAATAATTCATAATGCTGTTTTCTTTATTTAATGTCATATTTTTCTAGCTGCTTATACGATTTTTTCAACATACCTTAAATGTTCCATTATATTATATGTGCTTGAGGTTCTCTAAACTTATTATGTCTATAAATTAATATCTTTTAGCATATTTGGAAATTTTTGCCTTTTTAAGTCTTCTAAAAAAAAGTCATCAAATATGTTGTTATTCCACAAATATCTCTTCTCTTTCTCTAGGATATCAAGTACACTGCTCTTAAATTGATATGATAAACCTCTTAAACCCTTAAAATGATATGATAAACTTCTTGATATAGTCCCACAGATCACAAAGATTCATCATTTTTCTCCCTAATGGTCCCTCTATGCTCTTAAATCAGATATTTCTATTAATTTGTCTTTACATTTGCTGACTCTTGTTTCTATCATGTTTATTATGACAATCAGTTCATTCAGTATTTGTTTTTAATTTTAGAAATTTTGTTTTTTAAATATAATTTGCTTTTGGTTTAAAAAATCTTATTTTGGCTAAATTATATATTTTCATTTATTATGAACATGTTTTCATTTATGTCATTTATCATTACTATAGTAGCTACTTTATAATTTTTTCTGTTAAGCCAATATTTAATTCATCTCAATGTATATTGCAGTTGATTGCCCCTATTTTTTGCAATGTAGGTCTGCTATGGTCTAGATATTTATGATTCCCAAAACTCATATGTTGCAATTCTAACCCCAGGGTGATAGTATTAGGAGGTGGGACCTTGGCATGTGATTAGGTCATGATAATGGAGCCCTAAAGAATGGGATTGCTCTGCCTGTAAAGGAGACCTCAGGGAGATTTCTTGCTCCTTCACCCAGTGAAGTCGCAGAAATAAAATTTAGCTCTGAACCAAAAGCAGGCCTTCTCCAGATACTGATTCTGCTGGTATGATGACATTGGACTTCCTAGCCTTTAGATATGTGAGAAAGACATTTCTTTTGTTTATAAGCTACCCAGTTGATGGTCTTTTGCTATAGCAACACAAATGGACTAAGATAGGGTTATATGTGTTTTTAAAATCACACATAGCCTAACTATGAAAGAATGAAAAAATATATATTCAGTAAACAAAAACAGCCAGAATGGCCATAATGATATCAGACAAAAAAGACTTTAAGCCAAAACATGTCACAAGAGACAAGAAGAACATTATATAATGATAAATGGGCCAATTCACAAGAAAGATATAACTATTATAAATATACATGCATCCAACATCAGAGCACAAAAATATATAAAGCAAACATTGATAAAACTAAAAAAAGAAATAGCAAGACAACAGTAGTAGCATATTTCAATATTCCATTCTTAATAATGGATAAAACAACTAGACAGAAAAACAAAAAAGTAACATTTAACTTGAACAAAACTCTAGATCAAATTAACCAAAGACACATATAGAGAACATGCCACCCAACAACAGCAGAATACACATTCTTTTCAAATGCACATAGAACATTATTTAGAATATATCACATTTGGCAACAAAATATGTTTTAACACATTTAAGAAGATAGTAATCATACCAAGTAAATTTTCTAATACATATGGAATGAAACTAGAGATTGATAGCAGAAGAAAGACTGGAAGATTCACAAATACGTTGCAATTGACAACACATTCTTGAACAACCAGAGTCAAAAATAAATCCAATGGGAAATTAAAAAACATCTTGAGACCAACTAAAACTGAAACACAATTCACCAAAACTTATGAGATGCAGCAAAAGTAGTAGTAAGAGAAATGTTTATGGTAATAAATCTCTATGTTAAAAACGAAGAGAGTTATCAAACCAGTAACCTAACTTTACACCTCAAGGACCCAGAAAAACAAAATAAGTCCAAGACAAATGAAGAAGGAAATATTAAAGCTTAGTATAGCAATAAATAAAATAGAGACAAATAAAATGATAAAAAAATGAAAATTAGTTTTTTTTAAAAGACCAACAAAATTGACAAACCTTTGGCTAGACTAAAAAAAATAGATAAGGCTCAAATGAATAAAAGCAGAGTTGAAAGAGAAGACATAATTGATGCCACAGAAATAAAAAATGACAGTAAGAGACTGCTATGAAAAATTATATGCCAACAAATTGAGTAACCGAAAAAGAAAATGGAATAAAATTCTGAAGCAAAAAACCTACCATTTGTAATAGCATTAAAACCTGAAATATAAGAAACCAGATTTATCAAAATATGTGCAAGATATTTACATTAAAAACTACACAATATTGCTCATAGATATTAAAGAAGACCAAAGTAAATAGAGACCATGCTCCTTGGTTGAAACAGAATATTCTTAATATTCCAATTCTCCCCAAAATGATCTATAGAGCTAAGGCAATCCCAATCAAAATCTAAGCTGGCTTTAAAATAGAAACTGAAAAGCCATTAAGAAGTTCTTGTGAGTGTGGCTGGTTGGTCTAGGGCTATGATTCTCACTTAGGGTGCAAAAGGTCCTGGGTTCAAATCCCAGAGGAGCCCAACTTTTAGTTCAAAAGTTCTTGTGAAAACAAAAATAATCTAGCCAAAAATATTCTTGAAAGAGGAAGAAATTTGGCCGGGCGCGGTGGCTCACGCCTGTAATCCCAGCACTTTGGGAGGCCGAGGCGGGTGGATCACGAGGTCAGGAGATCGAGACCATCCTGGCTAACAAGGTGAAACCCCGTCTCTACTAAAAATACAAAAAATTAGCCGGGCGCGGTGGCGGGCGCCTGTAGTCCCAGCTACTCGGGAGGCTGAGGCAGGAGAATGGCGTGAACCCAGGAAGCGGAGCTTGCAGTGAGCCGAGATTGCGCCATTGCAGTCCGCAGTCCGGCCTGGGCAACAGAGCGAGACTCCGTCTCAAAAAAAAAAAAAAAAAAAAAAAGAAAGAGGAAGAAATTTGAAGATATACACAGTCTGCAGCCAGACACAAAAAAATTACATATTGGATTTTTCCTTTTTATGAAATGTCCAGAAAAGAGAAATATATAAAGAATACATAGGCCTGTGATTTCCTGGTCTGGGAGTAGAAAGGATACTGACTGTAAATAGGCATTAAGGTATTTGTTTAAAGTGAAGAAAGTACTCTAAAACTGGATTGTAGTTATCATTGTGTAACAAATATTTGTGAAAACAATTGAGCTGTTTGCTTATAATAGGTGAATTTTATAGTATTTACATTATACATTTATAAAACTTTTTAAAGTATTTTTAATAAAGCTGTGTCATTAAAAAGACCAATAATCTGCCATTCCTAACATGTTTAGTAAAAAAACATGAAACACGCAGCATAAGGATTTTAAAAAGATACTTTTTTGCCAGGTTAATTATTTTATTTTAAAAGCGAAGACTATTTTTTTCAAATTAAGTTAGAGAATCACCCAACATTATAATTCTCTGGGAAAATGTGAAGTTGTGACTTATAAGTAAAAAAACCTGAAGACCATGACTCCAGAAAAAGAAAATCTAATGCAAAGAAATTCTCCTTACTCCAAATTTTGAGTCCCACACATTTTAAAGATTTTTTTTCAAATCCTTTTATATTAACTAATTTATGATACTTAATGGGTCCCAGATTATATAAAAATTCTTATTCTATTTGATTCCAAAATCTGATGGAGCACAGAAAACAACCACCACAATATCGATGAGAAGAAAACACAACAAGATGTTATTTAGGAATATCGGGGGAAACTTTATTACAAAGCTGGGAAATTGAATTCATTTTATATTAAGAATTTAATAAGCTCTTCTGAAGATGAATTCATTTCATGAACATTTCAGCTTATAAATATAAATACAATTATTCTGTGAATGGTACAGAGTGAAAAATTTAATGATTGTCTTGATAGTGATTTAAAAATTATATAAAAGTATATAAACATCTCTATATATACGTATACCACACAAGCGTTGAGTTGATTTTACTGTGAGGCATCCACATTAACATTTAAAATTCAAAAAACAATTTTTTCAGGCATATAAATGGTTTAACATTTGTTTCCGGAAATTCTAACAAGTGAAACTTGACAAGAAAACAAAAATAAGTGTTGTGATTATTGAAAGAAAATCAACATATACTTCTATTTGCTGGTGATATGATTATTCTATTGAAAAGAACTGTTCACGTTTAAATGAATAGCATTAATGTGATACGCACAAAATAGTAAGCTTATGGCACAGAACTTTTTTGAGAGGCCAATGTAGAAAACAAATTGTTATTACCCTGATGATATTTTTATAAGAGAAAACCCACTAATGTGTTGATTGAACAGAATTTCTATCAAAATCTCAATATACATTTTGATTTAATAATTCAAAAAATATTTACAAATACTCAATTAGAGGAGATAAAAATAGATTATTCACTGAATGAATGACTTTGATGCAACTTTCTAACGATTCAGGGAAATTTAAAGTTAGATTCCTCCCCCACATTTACTGAAAACTAAATTTATTTCATAGCAAGTATATATATATATGTGGTAAGAGAATTATTACAAATATAGAATATTATATGTAAATATGTATAAAAGTTTGGCTGGAGAAGAACTGCCTAGTTGTGACACTAAAAGTGGAGACAATTTAGGAACCTATTTAAATATGTAACAATTAATATTAAAAAGCAAATAATTTTTTAAAAATTATAATAAATGCAAATAAAAAGCATTACTATTTCATAAAGAGCTCTTACAAGTCAATAAAAATTTAACCGGTAGAAAAATGGATAAAAGTTCACTGAAAGTAATCTCTAAAATAAATAATTTGAATAATTAATAAGCATCTAAAGAAGCATTGCACATCAATACATTGTCAAATTAATACATTTTTTAAAATGACAAGCTGTCACATTTTTCTGTTCAATAATCAAAACTAAAAATATGTTGCAATATCCAGCAGTGACTACAATGAACTGATATAGGCACTATCCTACATATTTTTAAGAAATAAAAACTCGCAAATTTTCTGGATGTCTACTTGCTAACTTTTAAAAACATTTAGCAAATGGAATGTGCATTTGTTTTACTAAACTATTCCTTTCAATGAATTAATCCTAAATAAATAATAAAAGTATGACACAGTTACAGGGATCTTTATAAGTTATGTTTATAGGAGCAAAAATTAGAACTATACAAGATGCTAACCCTCTATTAAAGAGTCATATTTCCTCCATACAATGGAGAACTGTGAGCCCATTAAAACCTGATAATGTCATGATCTCTAATACATAGTCAAGTGTAAAAATAGGTAGCAAATCAAAATTATCTTCTCTCAATGTACATCTGTGCAAGTCTGTATATGCTCACATGTGTGTGCATAAATCAGTATTTCATATTAATATAAAATATCTAGGTGAACCACATGTTGACCGTGGCTTTGCATTGGGTTTATTTTTATTTTTGTGTGTGTTGTTACAATAGAATTTGTATAACAAGAAAGAAAAAAGTAAATATGTTAAAGTTAAAATATCTACAAAGTACAAGAAATATGAATTAAGGAAAAGTAGAGAAATGGAATCCTGAGTCTTATAAAGAATAACAAGAATAATATCTATTGTGACCCAAACTTAAAAATTTCCCTCTTTTGACCAATTTCTCACCCTGTGTGTTATTAGTCTTCTTTTGATATCTACCTCTAATTTATGTTGGATTAACTGAGGTAAAGACACAGACACATTTCTCTGTGTCATTTGTATTCTGGCACCTCTCTCTATTTGGCTCAACATTAGACTGTCATTTTCATTTTCTCAGGTAATTAGTGATAACCGTGTACCAAATATTAAATATATAATTCATGACAATTACAGAACAATTTCCTGGGGATACAAAATATCTGAAATATAATTTACCCTCTCTGAGTGTTGCCAGTTGAATAAAAGAGTTTAAAGTTATTATGTTGCCTTGGCTATGTCCTTATTTCTGTCTTGCAATGCAATTCACTTTTGGATTCTTGCCTGTATTCCTCCAACAGATCAAGCAACACCTAACTAATAGCGTAAGAATCTGGCCCTCTAATTCAATTCTTGTACATTTTCTGGAAATTAAACTTGAGAAATTGACTTCTATTGTAGACTTGATCTTAGATTACTGTCCATGATCTCTGGAGTTTTTACTCTTGCCACTGGGATCCTAAATTTGTCCCCTTCCTAGTCTATCAGAAAAGTACACCCAGCACATTGGGGAATAATAACAATTAATTAAAGACAGAGGATAAAGCCTATTGAGACATAATACTTCCTCTATATTAATGACTTGGGAAATGTATTTTTATGTAATCAACAGAAGCATTGAGTCTCTATTACCTAAATTATCTTTATTTGATTAGAGACATTACTAAGAACCTTAAGCTTTGTAATAATTGAACCCAATATTTTCAATATGTGAAAAGTGACTTTAGTCCTTGAATATTATTTATTTTTGTTATGGCTACACAAATGTATGCCCAAACTGTATTCTAACAGATATTGTGGTAATTATTTGATAACAATTACAAATTGAATGGTTTTCATTTAGGAATTTTAAAGCCAGTTGGAGTGAAAATGTCCTCATCTTCTCTGGGACAGGTAAGGAAGTAACCAGTAAGTTTGAAAAATATTTGGAAAGTTACATTTAATTTCGTAATCAGTGTATTATTTCCTTTATGTTTAGCAAAATTTGTTGGTTCTTGTAATAAGTTTGGGGTCTTCCCCCAACTGCATAAAGATACATAAATTGGGATTTTTGCTGACTCAAGAAACCTTAGCCAAATTTCATTGATATTTCTTCACCATTCCTCTATTAACAAAGTTTAAAAAAAGATAAGAAATATGAACTCAAAGTATACTTTTATGATTACTATTTTTTAAAATCACCTATTTTTGTGACTGCTTTATTGAAACACTGAATCACTTCATGTATCTGCCTAGTGACTCAAAAAGTGTTATTACAATTCACTTTAAATGAAAGTGCCACTCACAATCTTGATAATTAATGCAGGTAACCGGCTGTGTGAGAAAGTTAACATCAGCCTTAACCTCATGCACTGAACTGTTTTTCACATGTCAGATAGGCATTTCATTTTGAGGAAAGCCATGTTTTTGTTCCTTTTGTGGTTGGAATTTATAATTAATTATACAACATGGAGATGCTGTATTTTAATTATAAAACATTTTAATGTGGAACACATGAGACCTAGGATACAGAATGTAGCAATCAAGTTGTACAACAAATAATCAAACCTCTAATTATGAAAGCTACAGTGGTTCCTGAAATCTAAAAGCAAAAGTCACAGGATGGTTTATTTAACAATAGAATTTATTATATTTTATATCTTCTTCAAAGCTTACTTTGTTTTTCCTCTTATAGGAAATCCTTTTTACCTACATAGAAAAGTTACGTTATTGGAATTTACATCCCTCCTCCATAAGAAAAAAGACATCTTCTCTTCCAAATGTCCACCATGCTAATTTTATCTCTTTCTTATTATATTTAACTTTAAAAATCTTGATCATTATAATTGCTGTGGGTCGTATATTCACTGTGAATATTCTGTGAGAGATGACAGTTTTATTCTTAATAACCTGCATATTAAGAATCGCCATGCCTTTTTCATGGTTAGTGTTCAATCCACATGTTAAAAGAATGAAAAATGCATTACTGAATTATCTTATATTACCCTTTTTTGCAGAATCATTCTTTGTAGTGTTAGTGAAATATGCCGAATATTAAAATAGGAACCAAACTTTTTATAAAATGCTGCCTCTGCTGTCTCACAATGCCTAATGCTACCTCTAAACGATAGTTATTATTCTTTTCTGTCATATAAAGAAACATAGTCATGCCAATTGGTTTTTTGCCACTATATATCCAGTGGGAATCACACAGAGAATCAATTCATTACAATGATAAATTACACCATTAAATAGTATATTATGCCAGAATAATCTAGAAGGTCATGAAAGAAAGATTAAGAGATGACAAGAGAATCTACAATGTGTAAGAAAGTGCATGATACATGAAAAAATAGGTTTTGGTTTGATATCTACCAAATATGTTAAATGAATATATAACCCTGTAAAAATTGAAAAATTACATACTTGTAAAATCAGAATAAAACTTGAGATACTCATCTTTTGTATAACTTACATGAAATTGTACCAAGTGATGACTTTTTAAATACAGTTCTAGTTATTTCATATTTCTACTCAAGTAATGTGGTTTGCTCCATAGGAGTTATTTGAAAATAAACCTCTTTTCAAATGCTCAAATCTATTATTGTTCTGTCAGTTGTGCAACTCATAAATACTCTTTCCTATTCTCTTCAAAACACAGAAGTAATATTAAAATCAGTGGGAAATATTCTTAGACAAGTCATTGATACAAAATATTAAACATATATAAAAAGTAAACTTTAATATTCACCATGTATGTTATTATTTTATATTCAATTTTATAATTTGTTAACACACAAAAGTATTATGTCCTGACCATATCACACTATCACCGCGGGAGGAAGGGTGAGTGGGTAGAAATACCTGTTATTGGTTTTTAAGTAGATCATAGCCAAAGCTAGAGTAGCACCTGGACAAGTCACATCCACATTTATGGTATCTCCTTCCTATTGAAAGAAGAGTTTATGCATGTAAAAGAGTTCTAAATTATTATAAAATTCCTCTGAATAATAACTATGCTTAAAATTAACACATTTACCAATGTCAGTATGAACACTAGTATTTTCCAATTAACTTCCCAGCTTCCAGACTTTTGATCTATTACTTTGCTGTGTACTTACTTTGATTTGATAACTTGGTGATTTATGTTTCTCCCTATGCATTCCTGTTTGAAAGCGCCTACGTCCTCCAACCATGTACTGATAGAGCTGCTCAGGCACATTGAGATCAGACATACCTATCAAATTGCTGCCATGCTGGAAAAGACAATAACAGACGAGTGAAAAGAAATTTTATGAAGGAAGATCCACAACACATACCCATAACAAATATAAAAATGAACTAACTTCAAAGCAGGTTATTTTGGGTTTTGTTTTTTTTATTTCCAATTTAAAGCAAACATTAATCATGAGTTAATAAATATTAATAATTCTCATAAAAGTTTTAATACATGAATGTTCAACTTTAAGTACTGTCTTAAAATACATAAGAGCTTTAGAGTTAGTGACATTTAACAATAAAGAAAAATATTAGTTATATAATTGAAACTGGAACTGTAAATACCTGAATACTGTCATTATTGTACTTAAGAACTTTTCCAACAATAACTATGATAATAATAGTAATTTATTAAATGCATGCTCTGTGTCAGGCACTATTCTGTGTGTTTAACATGAATGAACAGCCATATCAAATAGCTACTATTAAAACCCTATTTTATAAATAAGGAAAGTGTGGCACAGAGGGATTAAGCCCAAGGTTATACAGCTATTATAGTTAAGTTGCAGGGCTATATATAAAACACGGCCATCTGGCTCAACAATCCATGAAGCTGATTAAGCAATACACAATAATGTAGTTAAATGACTTGACTCACTAGTTAGGACCAGAATTCAAGTTGCAATTCCCTGTGTGATTCTTTTCTTTTTTTTTTTTTTTTTTGAGACGGAGTCTCGCCTTCTTGCCCAGGCTGGAGTGCAGTGGCACGATCTCGACTCTCTGCAAGCTCCGCCTCCTGGGTTCACACCATTCTCCTGCCTCAGCATCCTGAGTAGCTGGGACTACAAGCACCCACCACCATGCCCAGCTAATTTTTTTGTATTTTTAGTAGAGACGGGGTTTCACCGTGTTAGCCAGGATGGTCTGGATCTCCTGACCTCGTGATCCGCCCATCTCAGCCTCCCAAAGTGCTGGGATTACAGGCATGAGCCACCACACCCAGCTGATTATTTTCCATTATACCACCAGCCTCTTTAGCTCACGTGCCAATGTGAATTCAAGGCCCTAACAGATGGTCAACCACAAGGTGGATTTTCAGAACACACATGAAAAAAATTCCTTCCACTATAACTTTTTTTTTTTTTAAGATGGAGTCTCACTCTTGTTGCCCAGGCTGGAGTGCAATGGTGTGATCTCGATTCACCACAACCTCCGCCTCCTGGGTTCAAGCGATTGTCCTGCCTCAGCCTCCCGAGTAGCTGGGATTACAGGCATGCGCCACCACACCTGGCTAATTTTGTATTTTTAGTAGAGATGGGGTTTCTCCATGTTGGTCAGGTTGGTCTTGAACCCCCAATCTCAGGTGATCCGATCACCTCGGCCTTATAACTTTCTTTATATCATTTAGTTTGACCATAAGAATGTATTGGTGGTTTTTCAAGGGGAACCACATTTCAAGTGAAACAATCATTTAATGAAACATTTCTGGTAATTCTGTACACATCTCTTGGATGGAGTTAAAGATGGGTCAATCTGATACTGCATTTTGTCACAAGGAAGATGCTACTGGGACAACATTCTGGGATACACAGTGAACATCACTATGGCAAAAGGGGGTTAGGGTTTGTTTCAAGCAGCTACTATAGACTCTTAAGGCTCCCGATCATATACGTTTTCACTATTCTCTGTTTTCAGTCATAGTGGGCTGTCACTTATTCATTCTATGTCTTGAACGCTTTAAAAAAAAAAAACTTTATTCCCTTCAGTTTGTTCATGAACACTGCAAGCTGGAGGAAAAGAAATCTTAAAGTCCCACTCTTGACCACAGTTTCTCTCAATTTGCAAATCTGGTACTTTGAAAAATATCCAAAAAGACAATAGAGCTGGGCAGCAGATTAAGTCATAGTAAGGGACAATATTCAGGTTTAGGTGTCAACGTTATTTGTCTCAACATGTAGATGTCCTAACTGAAGCATGGGAAGGCATAGGCTATGCTTACCCCCAAGCAGACCATGCCCAGGGCCAAGCCAGCAGCTAAGGAGTATGACTCTCTGTCAGTGCAGTATTCCATTTCAGGACCAGGAGGCCGTCCTGTAAAAACAAAAGCAACACAGTTCAAACTAGCTTCTCAAAATCTCATCTCATAAAAATCTTAGAGTTAACTTTCTAGCAAGTTGCACTGGAGATACGAATGGGATATAACTATTCAGAAAGTTATGACACTATAATAAATGGTGTCCACAACTGTAGGTTTACCTACCAAAAAAAAAGGGCCCAAAATAGTTCTTTTTAAATTGCCAATTTAAGTCTTTATAAGCAATGATATTCAAATACTGTGAAACTTTGAGTCTTACCAAAAAAATTACCAAGTAGTAGAAAAAAATTTTAAAGGGAAAAAGGTAAGAGTATTCAAAAAAAAAGTTTTATTTTTTTGTTAAAACATCTGGGCCGGGTGTGCTGGCTCATGCCTGTAATCCCAGCATTTTGGGAGGCCGAGGCAGGTGGATCACTTGACGTCAGGAGTTGGAGACCAGATGGCCAACATGGTGAAACCCTGTCTCTACTAAAAATACAAAAACTAGCCAGGGTGCCAGGTGCCTGTAATATCAGCTACTGGGGAGGCTGAGGCAGGAAAATCGCTTGAACCTGGGAGGCAGAGGTTGCAGTGAGCCAAAATCAGGTCGCTGCACTCCAGCCTGGGTGACAGAGTGAGACACCATCTCAGCAACAACAACAACGAAATATCTTACATTTTGTTTTCATTACTTTCAAATCCACACATCACATGTGGTGAAACATGTTCGAATGATGATAATGAATAAGGAGGTCACTTACTTATGTTGTTAAGCTGTTAAATATTATGTTTAGACATTTATTTCGAGTGTATATAATAATGAGCCCTACTATGGTAGAATTTCTGTGTACTGATCCTAGAAGTCTGACTGGATACAAAATTCACACTTTTAAAAGCACCCTATAACTCTAACACTACCTTGTTGAAAACGATAAAATGTACTATGTATTAAAACCCTTCCCTCTGAAAAAATGTTCACATTCCTGAAATTTTATCCCTATAGGAAAAAAATGCAATTTAAAAAAAAAGAAAAAAGGCTGGACGTGCTGGCCCTTGCCTGTAATCCCAGCACTTTGGGAGGCCAAGGCAGGAGGATCACTTGAGGTCAACGAGTTCGAGACCAGCCTGTCCGACATGGAGAAATCCCATCTCTACTAAAACTACAAAAATTAGCCAGGCATGCTGACAGACACCCGTAATCCCAGCTACTTGGTAGGCTGAGGCAGGAGAATTGCTTGAACCTGGGAGGCAGAGGCTGCAGTGAACCGAGATCGCCCCACTCCACTCCAGCCTGGGTGACAGAGCGAGACTCTGTCTCTAAATAAATAAATAAATAATAAAAATTAAAGAAAAAAATCACACAAAGGTAATCAGTGTAATGTTTATATATAACAACAAAGGATTATTAGAAACAATCTAAAAAGTTCTAAAAGTTAAAAAAAGGCATTTTACAGACCATCGACTCAATGAATATTACACAAAATTTGTTTTAAAACCCATTTATAACAATGATCTATAAAAACAATTTTTAGGCGGGGCACAGTGGTTCATGCCTGCAATCCCAGCACTTTGGGAGGCTGAGACAGGCAGATCACAAGGTCAGGAGATCCAGACTATCCTGGCTAACACCATGAAACCCTGTCTCTACTAAAAATACACAATAATTAGCCAGGCGTAGTGGCGGGCGCCTGTAGTCCCAGCTACTCGGAAGGCTGAGGCAGGAGAATGACGTGAACCCGGGAGGCGGAGCTTGCAATGAGCCAAGATTGCACCACTGTACTCCAGGCTGGGCAGCAGAGCAAGACTCTCTCAAAAAAAAAAAATTTTTTTAATGTACATTCTGACAGTAATTATATAAAAAGGCATATACATATGAATTAAAGATGAAATCTTCTATATACAGTGTGAAAGAGGTATGCCGCAGCTGTGAGACTGTGCAATGACACCATTAGACATCATCATGATATAGCCAAAGAAGGGTAGACTACTTTGCAGATGAACATGCTTTAACAACCAGTGTTGAATATTTTCAGAATAAGCGTTTTTCAGATCTCTGACTTATGCTACCATGTATTGTGATAGCCAAAACATTTCAACTTTGGGAATAATTTCATTTATCATTATAGTAGACTAAATTATGGGTCCCAATCTTCACTGGTTCTCTCCTAGGTTTCTATCAACACCACGAGAGAAACACACCCTCCAGCCTGGGTCCCAGAATGAGGCAGGTGAGGCAGAACGGCAGCAGAACAGCCGGCTACACATCTACAGCCTAAAGCAGAGCTGCCTGGGCCAATGCTATACCTACAACTATCTGATCTTTGACAAACCTGAGAAAAACAAGCAATGGGGAAAGGATTCCCTATTTAATAAATGGTGCTGGGAAAACTGGCTAGCCATATGTAGAAAGCTGAAACTGGATCCCTTCCTTACACCTTATACAAAAATCAATTCAAGATGGATTAAAGATTTAAACGTTAGACCTAAAACCATAAAAACCCTAGAAGAAAACCTAGGCATTACCATTCAGGACAGGCGTGGGCAAGGACTTCATGTCCAAAACACCAAAAGCAATGGCAACAAAAGCCAAAATTGACAAATGGGATCTAATTAAACTAAAGAGCTTCTGCACAGCAAAAGAAACTACCATCAGAGTGAACAGGCAACCTACAACATGGGAGAAAATTTTCGCAACCTACTCATCTGACAAAGGGCTAATATCCAGAATCAACAATGAACTCAAACAAATTTACAAGAAAAAAACAAACAACCCCATCAAAAAGTGGGCAAAGGACATGAACAGACACTTCTCAAAAGAAGACATTTATGCAGCCAAAAAACACATGAAAAAATGCTCATCATCACTGGCCATCAGAGAAATGCAAATCAAAACCACTATGAGATATCATCTCACACCAGTTAGAATGGCAATCATTAAAAAGTCAGGAAACAACAGGTGCTGGAGAGGATGTGGAGAAATAGGAACACTTTTACACTGTTGGTGGGACTGTAAACTAGTTCAACCATTGTGGAAGTCAGTGTGGCGATTCCTCAGGGATCTAGAACTAGAAATACCATTTGACCCAGCCATCCCATTACTGGGTATATACCCAAAGGACTATAAATCATGCTGCTATAAAGACACATGCACACGTATGTTTATTGCGGCATTATTCACAATAGCAAAGACTTGGAACCAACCCAAAAGTCCAACAATGATAGACTGGATTAAGAAAATGTGGCACATATACACCATGGAATACTATGCAGCCATAAAAAATGATGAGTTCATGTCCTTTGTAGGGACATGGATGAAATTGGAAACCATCATTCTCAGTAAACTATCGCAAGGACAAAAAACCAAACACCGCATATTCTCACTCATAGGTGGGAATTGAACAATGAGATCGCATGGACACAGGAAGGGGAATATCACACTCTGGGGACTGTGGTGGGGAGGGGGGAGGGGGGAGGGATAGCATTGGGAGATATACCTAATGCTAGATGACGAGTTAGTGGGTGCAGCGCACCAGCATGGCACATGTATGCATATGTAACTAACCTGCACAATGTGCACATGTACCCTAAAACTTAAAGTATAATTAAAAAAAAAAAATTTCAAAAAAAAAAAATTTTGTCTATAAAACAGGTAACAATTTGAATGAAGAAAACAAAAATTTAATGAATGGCATAAAAATAAATTTCAAGAAAATGAAAGGTGTGTATGATGACTTAATTAAAAGAATGTAAAGGAAAAAAAAAAAAAAAGATTTTCCAGAGTAGCTACTTGTCTCTGCCATAGAATTGTTAGATAGTTTACTGTAGGTGGACTGTAAATAAATGTTTGCTTAGTTCTAACATTTGACTGATATTGGGTTGATCCTTTGAGACTTGGTATATTGTGGATATGCCTAAAGTTTCTTTTTCTACCAAAGATGTGTTGTAATCTATGTCATTACAGAAGTAGGAGAGGGAAGGAAACTACCATTAAAATCAGTACTTAGGAGCCCAGGCACTGTTCTAGATGTTTGCATATATTAATATGATTTCATTTCATCTTTACAGTAACCTAGAAGAAAGATATTTAAATAATGACTTTCCAGATCAAAAAATGAGTTTTGATGGCTTTTCTCAGTTTTCATAATTGGCAGAACTGATTTCCGAATCCTTTAAGTTGATCAGTTGACAGGAATGCATTTATGATTTTTATCTTTTCTTTTGGGGTTACCTTTCAGTTTGACTTTGAAGGATCACTTTCCCCTGTCATTGCGCCCAAAAAAGCAAGGCCTTCTGAGACTGGATCTGATGATGTAAGCATTATTATTTCTTGCTAATATAAATTAATTTATGGATATTCATACTATTCTTCCACTTCTGTGGTATTCCTATCAATTCCTCTATCTTTCCAACACCTTTCACTTTATTTATTTTAATACTGAATAGCAATTATTTTGAAGAGTAGGATCTGTTACATTTTCTATGGTCTTTAATGATTATCCAAAAATTAATGTATGTATTACTGCATGATTTCAGTTTGGGTTTGTAGACATTTTATTATCAACTGATCACCTGAAATGACAGCATTTACCTTTTTTATGCAGTGTTTTTTAAATTAAGGTTCTCAATCGTATCAGGTTCCATGGTATATTCCTTTTTTTTTTTTTTTTTTTTGAGACGGAGTATCGCTCTTGTTGCCCGGGATGGAGTGCAGTGGCACGATCTGAGCTCACTGCAATCTCCGCCTCCCAGGTTCAAGCAGTTCTGTCTCAGCCTCCTGAATAGCTGGGATTACAGGCGCCCGCCACCATGCCTGGCTAATTTTTGTAGTTTTGGTAGAGACAGGGTTTCACCATGTTGGCCAGGCTGGTCTCGAACTCCTGACCTCAAGTGACCTTCCTGACCTTGGCGTCCCAAAGTGCTGGGATTACAGGCATGAGCCACTGCACCTGGCCTCCATGGTATTATTCTTAAGTGGTCCAAATATGTTTTTTTAAATTGTGGTGTAATTTACAAAAATGAAATACATCTTGAGTTTACAGTTTGATCAGTTTTAATATATGCACACTCATGTAACCTACACTCCTATAAAGACACAGAATATTTTTATAACTCCGTAAAATTTCCCCGTGCGGTTTTTTTTTTTTTTTTTGAGACGGAGTCTTGCCTTATTGCCCAGGCTGGAGTGCAGTGGCACGATGTCGGCTCTTCACCTCCTGGGTTGAAGCTATTCTCCTGCCTCAACCTCCTGAATAGCTGGGATTATAGGCATGCGCCACCACGCCTGGCCAATTTTTGTATTTTTAGTAGAGATAGGGTTTCACCATGTTGGTCAGGCTGGTCTTGAACTCCTGACCTCGTGATCTGCCCACCTCGGCCTCCCAAAGTTCTGGGATTACAGGCATGAGCCACTGGGCCTGGCCCCTCTTGCTGTTTTTAATCAGCTTTATTCTCTTCTTCTAGCAATCACTGATCTGAATTCTGTCACCATATCTTAGTTATGCCTGTTCTAGAACTTGATGTAAATAAAATAATATAGTATGTAATCTTTGGTATAAGATTTATTCAGCATAATGCTTTTGAGATTCATTCATGTTGTTACAGATACCCGTAGTTTGTGCTTTTTTATTGCTGAGTAGTATGAATATACCATAGTTTGTTTATCCATCCTTCTTCTGCTGGTAGATATCTAGGCTATTTCCATTTTTTTTTTAAGTCTTATGAATAAAGCAAGCTACTGCCAAAATTCACTGGCAAGTCTTTGTGGATATATATTTTCTTTTTTTGGGGGGGGGGAGGACAGAGTCTTGCTGTGTCATCCAGGCTGGAATGCAGTGGCACGATCTCGGCTCACTGCAACCTCTGACTCCTGAGTTCAGGCAGTTCTCATGCCTCAGCCTCCCCAGTAGCTAGAATTACAGGTATGCGCCACCATGCCTGGCTAATTTTTGTATTTTCAGTAGAGACTGGATTTTGCCATGTTGGCCAGCCTGGTCTCAAACTCCTGGCCTCAATAATCCACCCATGTTGGCCTCCCAAAGTGCTGAGATTACAGGTGTGAGCCACCATGCCTGGCCCGTGGACATACATTTTCATTTCTTTTTTTTTTTTTTTTTTTAAGAGACAGGGTGTCACTCTTTTGCCTACGCTGGACTGCAGTGATGCTATCGTGGTTGACTGTAATCTCGAACTCCTAGGCTCAAGCCATCCTCCTACCTCAGCCTCCAAGTGGCTAGGACTACCGGTATGCTCCATCATGCCTGGCTAATTTTTAAGTAAGACCAGTTGTCTACCAAAAAAATTTGAAAATTAGCCAGGCATGATGGCACATAACCTGTAGTCCTAGCTACTTGGAGGCTGAGTTTGGAGGATGTTAAACACTCTTTCATGTGCTCATTAGCTGCTTATGTATCTTTTTGTGAAGTTTCTGTTCAAATCTTTATCAACTTGTAAATTAGATTTTAAAAAATATGTAAGCTGGTGAAGTTCTTACATGTTCTAGACATGAATTCTTGACCATATTTTCCCTTAGAATGTGGCTTTAACAGTGTCTTTGATGAGCAGAATTTTTTATTTTAGTTATCCAATATATCAGTTTTTTATTTTATTTTATTTTATTTTTGAGATGGAGTCTCGCTCTGTTGCCCAGGCTGGAGTGCAGTGGCATGATCTCAGCTCACTGCAAGCTCCGCCTCCCAGGTTCATGCCATTCTCCTGCCTAAGCCTCCCCAATAGCTGGGACTAACAGGTGCCCGCCACCACACCCAGCTAATTTTTTTGTATTTTTTTTAGAAGAGATGGGGTTCCACCGTGTTAGCCAGGATGGTCTCGATCTCCTGACCTCGTGATCCACCCGCCTCGGCATCCCAAAGTGCTGGGATTACAGGCATGAGCCAGTGCACCCGGCCCAGTTTTTTCTTTTATGGTTAGTTCTTTCTGTATCTAGTCCAATAATTTTTAATTTAGAATAACACACTGTATTAAGCCTTATAAAAACACCAGTAAATTCCAAGATCTGGAAATAGCATAAACCACATTCTCTGAACCAAATGCAGTAAATCACAAGTAGAACCAAAATAGACTGAACATTTGGAAAATGTAGTCCAATCAGTCTGAATATAAAAATCAGTTGATTATTAGATTATATTAGTAGCCCTGGCATCTTATACATGTGGAAAGATGAATACACCAGATGAATGCAGGTGGACCTTCCTTCTTACCAAAACACAGTTCAGTGTAGTGGCCACTAACTTGCCATCTACTTTTCCTATAAAACCTAGCCTGAGATAATCTTAAATTTTCTCTCTCAATCTCTACCTAAATAGTATAATTCTTCTCCCAATGTCTTTCCTAAAAGGGCATGAAAAGATTTTTTTTAATGGTTTTTAAAGGTGGCTTGCCTTAACGTTTATAACTGGCTTGCTATTTTATAGTTACTTCATTCTTAGCATTGTCTTTTTTTTAACATACTCTTAGATCAACTTAATGTGAAAATGAAACTTGAATTGTTTTAAGTGAATTAATTTTCTTATGATATTATAAGGAGGTATTATTTTTAAAAATTAATATTCTTTTTATTCTTCTCAGGACTGGGAATATTTACTAAATTCAGACTACCACCAGAGTGTTGAGTCTCATCTTTTGAACAGATCTTTATGTCTGAGTCCTTCAGAAGCTTCACAGATGAAGGATGAGGATTTTTCACAGAATCTCAGTCTGGATTCTTCTACACTTCTCTTTACTCACATACCTGCAATTTTTTTTGTTCTTCACCTTGTGTATGAGGAGCTTAAGTTGAATACTCTAATGGGAGAAGGAATTTGTTCACTCGTTGAACTTCTCGTTCAGTTGGCAAGGTAAATTTGTTTGTAGGTTAGAAACTGCCAGGAAGTCCTGAGATGACTGTCTTTTCCATGATATCATATAGGGACCTTGTAAATACGTTTCTGAAATCTGCCTTCTCAGAAAACTAGGACATCTCTGTAAACCACAGAGTTGTTTGAAGATACTGGTTTTGTAAGGGCCTGTGAGCCATGCAGGGATTTTTAGTCTTTGTCCTGAGATTAGTGGAAGGTCACGAAAAAATGGAGATGACCTGCTCAGATTTTCATTTTGACAGGATGACTGACTGACTATACTGTGGTGGGAGTTCTAGAATAACATCTGCTGTTTTGTAATATCCACATTCAAATAGTGCTTTATAGTTGACAAAATCATAGTTTACATATAAAGTCTCAAACAAGGTAAGTTTCCTATTTTAGTGATGAGGAAACTTGCCTAAATTTGTTTCCTGGGATATGAGTGTTTGATAGTTGTGGACTCATTTTGCTATGCTATCCTTGTTGCAGTCTGAGGTTGTCCCTGTCTTTGAGGCACTCATAGTAGATCCACAATAAGATAGTTCTAATAATACGTTTCAACACCTTTCAAGAGCTTTGAAGCACCTTGTGTATGGCTCAGAATTCTAGGGTCATACTTGTGTGTTGTTTGACCTTTATGACCTTTGGTGATAAAGAAGTTGAATTTGAATTGAAATGTCAGCCTCTGAGTTAAGACATAGTACATTTTCTAATTTCTGTTGTCTTTTTTGAGATCTTGAAATTCAATCCTGAGACATGGCAGTTTTAATCAATGGTAAATATCTCTTAGGATGTCATTACTATCATCAAAATTATTTTGTAATTAAATAATTTCCAAACCATAATCATGGCTGTCTGAAATAAGTAATGTGTATGATGTTTTACATTTTATCAGGTTTTTTTTTTTTTTACATATTTTATCTTATTTACTCTTTAAAACTTCAGAGTAAGTGAGCTGATATTGCCCCATTTCCTAGAAGAAAATACTGAGGTTTATAGACATGACTTATGGAAGATCACACAGCTAATGAATAGCAGAGGAGGAACTAGATCATGGTGCTTTTACTGTAGTTTTACTTCCACAAAATTTAGCAAAAAGAGGTTGGGTTCCATTTGTCACACTGGGCACTTTAAAGTCCAAAAATACAATAGAGAGACTCTAGATTTGGTTATCTTTCTCATAAGTAAGTTTTTAAATTTAAAGATTCAACTAATTAATCCTTCCAATTCTGTTGGGAGAAAGTGCTGTAATACCTTCTTTTTTGCATGCCCTTACTGTTTTAGGGACTTAAAATTGGGGCCTTATGTAGATCATTACTATAGAGACTACCCAACGCTTGTCAGAACTACTGGACAAGTGTGCACAATTGATCCAGGTAAGTAGTCGTGCTTTTAAATATTTTCTAAACAGTGTAGTGATATTTCCTTGTATCTTTCTCAATGAATAGCAGAGGATGTATTTCTTACCATTAGCTTCTAAGTCAGGGGCAATGCCTTTCCACCAGGCAGATTTTAGTTCGTAGTGCTTGTTTTCTGACACGTAGTAAGCCATAATATCTTCAGTGTATAGGGAAAATTTTACCCATCCCTAAGGTTCTGACTTGCAAAAGTCAGAGAAAGAGCTTCCAGTGTCAAGGATGCTTTTTTTTTTTGAGACGGAGTCTTGCTCTGTCACCCAGGCTGGGGTGCAGTGGCGCGATCTCGGCTCACTGCAAACTCTGCCTCCTGGGTTCACGCCATTCTCCTGCCTCAGCCTCCTGAGTAGCTGGGACTACAGGTGCCCGCCACCACGCCTGGCTAATTTTTCTGTATTTTTATTAGAGACGAGGTTTAATCGTGTTACATAGGATGGTCTTGATCTCCTGACCTCATGATCCACCCACCTCGGCCTCCCAAAGTGCTGGGATTACGGCGTGAGCCACTGCGCCAGGCCACCAACTTAGACTTGTAGAGTACAGTTAGTACCACTAACCATATGCTACTTAAATTCAATTAAAATAAAACATATATTTCCTCAGTGTACTAGCCGCATTTTGAGAACTCAGTAGCCACATGGGGCTAGTGCTACCATATTGGACAGTGCAGATACAGACACAGAACATTTCCATCACTACTGTACTGTCCTAGACCCTGAGCTAAAGGTACTGAAATTTGGGGCCCAGTTGTTGGAACAGAGCTGAATCCTGGATGTTTCTTTTGTTTTTTTCACCTTTAGGGTTAGGGCAAAATTTTTGGTTAGATTCTTCTTCTTCTTTTTTTTTTTTTTTTTTTTTTTTTGAGACAGGGTCTCACTCTGTCACCCAGACGGGAGTGCAGTGGTACGATCTTGGCTCACTGCATCCTCTGCCTTCCAGGCTCAAGCGATTCTCCTGCCTCAGCCTCCCAAGTGCCTGGGATTGCCTGGGGTTATAGGTGTGTGCCACCACGCCTGGCTAATTTTTGTATTTTTAGTAGTGATGGGGTTTCACCATGTTGGCCAGGCTGGCCTTGAACTCCTGACCTCAAGTGATCCACCTGACTCAGCCTCCCAAGGGGCTGGGATTACAGGTGTTAGCCACCACATCCAGCCTTTGGTTAGATTCTTTATATGCCTTGGGAACAAGAATTTGCTAAATTTCCATCCAGGGTGGGATAAAATAGAAGTCATTTAAATTCTACATTTAATAACATAGTTCCTTATGTGCTGTGGCAGAAAACATGAAGCATTTTGGAGAATATGGAAAAACGTTATTCCTTTTTTTTTTTTTTTTTTTTTTTTGAGACAGAGTCTCGCTCTGTCTCTTAGGCATGATCTGGGCTCACTGCAACCTCCACCTCCCGGGTTCAAGTGATTCTTCTGCCTCAGTCTCCCAAGTAGGTGGGACTACGGGTGCGCACCACCAGGCCCAGCTAATTTTTTTCGTATTTTTAGTAGAGACGGGGTTTCACCATATTGGCCAGGCTGTTCTTTAACTCCTGACCTCGTGATCCACCTGCTTGGGCCTCCCAAAGTACTGGGGTTACAGGCGTGAGCCACTGCACCCAGCTGGAAAAATATTATTCTAGTTGTTTCAAAATGACAAGTAACTGTTGATCATCTTCCGTTTAAAATAAAATAATGTTGTCTTAATGTATTTTCGTGTCTTTTTGAATATTTATCTAATTTTAAAGGTCAAACAGGATTTATGCATCATCCATCATTTTTTACGTCTGAGCCACCAAGTATTTATCAGTGGGTGAGTTCTTGTCTGAAGGGCGAAGGAATGCCGCCTTATCCTTACCTCCCTGGAATCTGTGAAAGAAGCAGACTTGTAGTCTTGGTATGTATGTGGAGTGTTACTACCTATCTCCTTTTTCTTTTAAAATTTAGTTTTAAAAAGTACACCTAATATTAAGTTTTTCTTTCTGTGTATAGTTCTGTGAATTTCAGTACATGTATAGATTCATGTAATTACTACAATGAGGATATAGAACATTTACATCACCCTCAAAAATTTCTCTCATGATTTTGAGACTCATCCAAGTTGTTTCCTGTATCGACAGTTCATTGCATTCTATGGCTAATTAGTAGTTTATTGCATGAATGTGCCATAGTTGGTTTTTCATTCAAGATAATTGGGTTGATTTCAGTTGTTAGCAATTGTAAATATAGATGCTGTCAGCATTCATGCTTAGCGTTTTATGTGAACATAAGTTTTGCTTTCTCTAGGACAGGTACCTAGGAGTAGGATTGATGGGTCATACAGTTAAGTTTATATTTTGTTTTTAAAGAAACTGTCATCTGTTTTCCAGAGTGGCTCTTCCATTTTACATTTTTACCAGCAATATTTAAGAGATCATTTACCTGCATTCTTGTTGGTATTTGGTATTGTCACTCTTTTTTATTTTTGTCTTTCTGAGAGATGTGTAGTTATACCTCATTGTGGTTTTAATTTGCATTTTCCTAATGGCTAATGATGTTTTCAGCGTTCTAGGTATGAGGTTTTGTCAGATATGTGGTTTGCAGATATTTTCTTGTGGTTTCTACCTTGTCTTGTCTCGTCATTCTCTAAATACATCAAAGAACAAAAGTGTTTAATTTTGATGAAGCTAGTTTATCTGTATTTTTCTTTAATGGATATTGCTTTCAGTGTCATGTCTAATAATTCTTTGTTTAACTTCAGGTTTTGAAGATTTTCTCCTGGGTTTCTTTGCATGTTTTACATTTAGATCTCTAATCCATTTTGTTAATCTTTTATAACATGTCAGGTTTTAAGTCAAGGTTTTTATTATTTCATTTGGATATCCAGTTCTTTCAGCACTGTTTTTTGAAAAGACTATCCTTCCTCTATTGCATTTGCACTTTTGTCAAAAGTTAATTTGGCCACATTCTTGTGTGTCTGTTTCTGGACTTTCTATTCTGTTTCATTGATCTTTGTGGCTGTCTACGCTGTCATTACTGTAGCTTTATAGTAAGTCTTTAAAATTGATTAGCGTTACTCCTCCCTTCATTACTCTTCTTGCCTTTTCATATTGATTTTATTTTTATTTTTATTTTTGAGACAGAGTCTCACTCTGTTGCCTAGGCTAGAGTGCAGTGGAGTGATCTCAGCTCACTGCAACCTCCACCTTCTGGGTTCAGGCGATTCTCCTGCCTCAGCCTCCCAAATAGCTGGGATTACAGGATCCCACCACCACGCCCGGCTAATTTTTTGTATTTTTAGTAGAGACGGGATTTCACCATATTGGCCAGGCTGGTCTTGAACTTTCAACCTCAAGTGATCCGCCTGGCTCAGCCTCCCAAAGTGCTGGGATTACCGGTGTGAGCCACCGCGCCCGTCCCCTACTGATTTTATAATCCGCTTGTCTATAGCTACAAAGAAAAATCTTGCTGAAATTTTTTTCAAAGAAACACTTCTTTATTTATTTTTATTATTTTTTATTTACCTCTAGCTGCAAATCTCATGATTTATTTATTTTTAGAAATTAGTTTGTTATTACTGGTTAATACATGTCCAAGATCAAACCTTCATATAGAACCATAGGGCTGTAACGGTGAATGAGGTAAGTTTCTTGGCATACCTGTTCCTCAGTCCCCCCATCCTGGAGCAGCCTGCTCATAGGCCCCTTGTGGGCCTTTTCAGGTGGGGTCTTCCCAGGCTTGCAGGAGAACCATATGCTTTTGTCCCTTCTCTCAAATGTTGGCAGACTGCAAATGTCTTTTCCTCCTGCCCTTCTTTTTCTTTACTTTACGTTTTGCTCCGCTTCATGGTGAGAAGTGCTTCAGAGTCCCCCCATGGCTCCAAAACAGACATACAGAATGAAGATTCTGTTTAAAAAACACAGATTTTTTTAATGATAGCAAAATATATATAACATAATATTTGTCATTGAAATTGTTATTATTATTATTTCTTGAGATGGAGTCACTCTGTTGCCCAGGCTGGAGTGCAGTGGCACGATCTCGGCTCACTGCAACCTCCGCCACCTAGGTTCAAGCGATTCTCCTGCCTCAGCCTCCCGAGTAGCTGGGATTACAGGCATGAGTCACCAAGTCTGGCTAATTTTTGTATTTTTAGTAGAGATGGGGTTCACCATGTTGGCCAGGCTGGTCTTGAACTCCTGACATCAAGTGATCTGCCCACCTTGGCCTCCCAAAGTGCAGGGGTTACAGGCGTGAGCCACTGCGCCCGGCCTGAAGTTATTTTTGAGTGTACAATCCAGTGGCATTGAATACGTTCACATTGTTATGTTGCCATCACCACTGTCCGTACCCAAGACTTCTTCATCATCCCCAACATAAACTCTGTACCTATTAGAGTGACTCCCCATTCCCCTTCCTTCCAGGCCCTGGTAATTCCGTTCTCTTTCTTATGAATTTGTCTCTTGTAAGTACCTCATATTATGGGAATCAAGCAATATTTATCTCTGTGTCTGGCTTATTTCACTTAGCATAATGTTTCCAATGTTCACCCATATTGTAGCATGTATCAAAATTACATTGTTTTAAAGGCAGTATTCTATATAGTATTCCATTGTATGGATATACCACAATTTATCATTTCACCTGATGATGGACATTTGGGTTGTTTCCACCTTTTGACTGTGGAATAGTGCTGCTGTGAACCATGGGTATGCAAATATCTGTTCAAGTCTCTGCTTTCAGTTCTTTTTAATATATACCTGGTGGTGGAATTGTTGGGTCATATGGTAGGTAATTCGATGTTTAACTTTTTGAGAAACTGCTAAACTCATTTTCATAGTGGCTATACCATTTTACATCCTTATCAGCAATGCAAGAGGAAGGGTTCCAATTTCTCCACAGTCTTGCCAACACATATTATTATTTTCTATTTGTTTTTTTAAAAATTATAGCCATCCTAGTATTTATGAAGTGATATCTCATTGTTTTGATTTGCCTCCTTAATGATTAGTGATATTGAGCATATTTTCATGTGTTTATTGGCCATTTACGTATCTTCTTTGAAGAAATATCTATGCAGATCTTTTGTGTATTTGAAAATTGGATTTTTATTTTTGAGTTTAGGCATTTTTATGCTCTAGATATTAATGTGTCAGATACATGATTTGCAAATATTTTCTCCCATTCTATAGGTTTTTCTGTGAATGTCTTTTCAGTAAAACTGGCATGAGTGCTCAGTTTACCTCTCTGGCCTTTCATCTTAGTTTTATCCTCTTGGTATTCCTTTATAACTTGTCAGCTCAGAGATCTATTTATAAAAATATGAATTTATTTTTATTTATAAAAATATTCTGAAAAATATCAACAGAAGCCCTTATTGATAGGTTTTTGGTTTCGTCATTATAAGTTTTATTGGACTTTTTTTATTTTTTATTTTTTTTATTTGAGACAAGGTCTTACTCTGTCACCCAGGCTGGTGTGCAGTGGTGCAATCATGGCTCACTGCAGCCTCAACCTCCCGGGGCTCAAGCAGTCCTTCCACCTCAGCCTCCTGAGTAGCTGGGACCACAGGTGCACACCATCACACCCGGCTAATTTTTGTATTTTTAGTAGAGATGGGGTTTTGCCATGTTGCCCAGGTTGGTCTTGAACTCCTGACCGCAAGTGATAAATTTTTTTTATGTGATGTTAGCTAATGAGACATTTGTAGTAACCTTCTAGCTTATGGTGGCTCTTTTTCTATTGACTCACTTGTATATGCGGAGATGGCATTGTCTGTGTACCATTTGTTGAAATGAGGGAAAGGAAGGAAGTGAGATAACATTTATTGGGAGCCTGTTGTCTTCAAGGAACTTCATGTATGTTTTCTCATTTAATACAGAGATCTTATGTACTTTTGTGTTTGTGTTATATGTTGAATATTTTAACTCTTTTGAGAGACTTTTTCCTTGGTCTTATCTTTTTCTTTTCCTCCTCAAAGCAAATACCACTACAGCTCTGTACTACTAGATACTTCTTAGATAGTGAGAGAGCACTATTCGATACCTGTTGGAATGACTGAAAATAACTTTTGGTGAGGATATGGAGCAACCGAAACTCTCATACATTACTGGTGGGACTGCAAAAGTGGCACAGCACTTTGGAAAACTGTTTGGCAGTTTCTTGTGAAGTTAAACATACACTTATATAAGACAAATTCCAACTGCTTGGTATTTACTTAAGAGAAATGAAAACATATGCCTACATAAAGACCCGCATGTATGTGAATGTCTTTGGGGCCAGGCGCGGTGGCATAATCTCAGCACTTTGGGAGACCGAGGAGGGCGGATCACGAGGTCAGGAGATCGAGACCAACCTGGCCAACATGGTGAAACCCTGTCTCTACTAAAAATACAAAAATTAGCTGGGCGTGGTGGCGCATGCCTGTAATCCCAGCCACTCTGGAGGCTGAGGTGGGAGAATCGCTTGAACCCAGGAGGTGGAGGTTGCAGTGAGCCAAGATTGTGCCACTGCACTCCAGCCTGGCGACATAGCGAGACTCCGTCTCAAAAAAAATAAACAAATAAAAAATAAAGCAGCTTTGGTCATAGTGACCACAAACTGGAACCAAATGTTCATCAGTTTTTGAGTAGGTAAACAAAGTTTGGTATGTCTGTATAATGGAATACTACTCAGCATGAAAAGGAAGAAACTAGTGATCCTTGGAGAGACGTGAATGAATCTCAAAGACGTATGCTAAGTTAAAGAAGTAGCACGAAAAAGACTACATATCATATGATTCATTCACATGATATTGTAGGATAGACAAAACTGTAGAGCAAGAAAACAGATGAATTGTTTCCAGTGCTGGGTGTAGGAGGAAAGGATTGACTACAAAAGGAACGAGGGAACTTTTTGGTATGATGAAAGTATACTATATGTGAGTGTGGTAGTGGTTATGTGATATAACATTTGTCGAAACTCACAGAGCTGTACACCTAAAATGGACGAATTATTCTATGTTATAATTATTTTCTAGTTACACTTCAATTATGTAGCTAGGTGTGGTGGCTCATACCTATAATCCCAGCAGTTTGGGAGGCTGAGGCAGAAGGATTGCTCGAGGTCATGAGTTTGAGCCCAGCCTGGGCAACACAGCGAGACTCTGTCTTTACAAAAAATAAAAATAATATAAAAGAATTAGCTGGGCATGGTGGTGTGTGCTTGTAGTCCTAGCTACTCTGGAGACTGAAGCAGGAAGATTGCTTGAGCCAAGGAGTTTGAGGCTGCAGTGAGCTGTGATTGTGTCACTGCACTCCATCCTGGGTGACAAAGTGAGATGCTGTCTCTGGAAAGAGAAAAATAATGTTAATTTTCTTCTTTTGCAGAGTATTGCACTGTACATACTTGGTGATGAGAGCTCGGTTTCTGATGAATCCTCACAGTATTTAACCAGAATAACTGTAGGTAAGTTGGTGCAATGTTGCCTCTGGAAACAAATTTTTGTAGATGTCAGTATCAGAATTGAAAAAAGAATTGAATTTTTCTTGTTTGCTTTGGCGGCCATGTCTTACCTTTTTAGTACTGTTCTGGTCTGTTGCGGTCTGTTGTCCACAACTAATTTTCAGGTATCAGGATTACTTAAAATCTAATAAATCTTGTATTTTCAGTGCGGGTAAAAAGGACTATTTTAGCCTGAAGGAAATTATTGTACCATTGACTCTTGAACAACATGAGTTTGAGTTGTGTGGGTCCACTTACAATGAAATTCTTTTCAGCCAAATGCAGATAGAAAATGCAGTATTCTCTGATGTGAAATCCATATGCAGGTTCTGCAGGGCCAATTGCAGGACTTGAGCATGCAGGGATTTGGGTACACATCGGGTGTCCTAACCAATCCCCTGAGTATTCTGAGGGCCTTGACTGTACTTTTCAGCCTGCCACAGTATTGCTTATTTTATTATTTTTTTAGATGTTGTTTGCTAATGGATTCTTATTTTCAAATGTCTTCTACATGTTACATGTTTTCTTTACCAGGATGACTATCAAAATTAAGTTTCATTTTGTTGCCTTTTAGCCCCCCAGAAGTTGCAAGCAGAACAAGTGGAAAACAGGTGACTTTTATTTAGACTGTGCTTTTATGTCAGACACTTAAAACAATATTATTTACTGTTCTGCTTAATTACTTTATGTTTTATTCTCTTATAGGTTTAGTTTCAGGCATTCTACGTCTGTTTCTAGTCTAGCTGAAAGATTGGTTGGCTGGATGACTAATGTAGGTGAGAGCTTCTTTGTTACCTGCTAACTAGGCCGTGCTTCCTCCAGACTAGCTAGAAGTGGAAGGCATGAGGAGAGAGGGGCTCTGGCTTTGTGAAAAGGCCTCACAAGATTGAGATTATGGTTCATCAAGCCATATTCTTTTTTCTCGACAATCTCACAACTTTCATATAATAATATGTGGGATACCAGCTTTTTATCTTGGTGCATAAGGAATCTTTATTTGCCATTACATTGGAACATTTGAGGCTATGGCTATGTAAGCTGGTCTCTGAGAATGGAGAACTCTAATCACCCTACATATACACCTGAAATCATTGTGATACTCAGATATCAGAAATGGGTGGTTTTGGCAAAGTCTAAAAGCAATAATATAAACATTTCAGGGTATACTTTTGAAGGATAAATGCACTTTTGAAGGGATTTCAGGCACCAAGATGAACATTGAACTGGGAAGAGGAAGAGGAAGGAAAAGCGTTCTATATTCCCTATTCCCCAAACCTATGCTCCTAGGTTTTAAATTAAGTAAAATACCAAAGAAATTTTTTTTCACAAAGAACTGAAAAACAAAATTAAAAATTACTGCCACGAAGACATGATTTTAAAAATGAGGATATTATATGGGATGTATGTTAAAAAGTAAAGTTTTAATGAATATTAAAAGATGTTTTTGAAGTCTTATCTAAAGTATGTTCTAAATGAAGTTTCTGACAGGTTTTTTTTTTTTTTTTTTTGCATTTTACCTTAAAAATGACAATAACTGTTGCGTAGTATACATACAGGATACCTATGCTGAAAAATATTGGATTAGTTCTATCCATTTGTATATTGCATAATATTTAATAAGTGTTATTCTCATATAAGGAAACATTTTTTGCCTCAATAGTTAATCGACTTTTTATATTATAAATAATGCATAGTATTATAAAATTTAGAAAATCATGATAAGAAAAACATGATTTAATTAACCTGAGGATAAAAAAATTTAAATATGAAATATGGTATACTTACAAAATAATATGTCAAACGTATATGTTTAGTTTAGAGAATGGTACTAAAGTGAGTATTGATGTACTGGTCACCCACCCCTAGAAATAGAACATTACCCGCATAGTAGAAGGCCCTTACATATCTGTTCTTGGATGGTCCCCTCCTGTCACACACCCCAATGTTATAGTGAACCACTGCCCTACCTACATTTGTGTTACCTTACTCTTGTTTTTCTTTATAGTTTTACATCTTTATAAATTGCTAGGTTTTATGTAGTTTTGAAAATATATAGATGTAAATATATGTTCCTTTTTCTTCACTCAACTTTGTTTTTTAAAGATTCATCCATGTCGACTCACGTAGCAGTAGCAGTGGGTCATTCATTTTCTCTGATATAGAGATTACTTTGTTTGAACATATCACAATTTAATTACCCATTCTGTTAATGATAGACAATCGGACTTACCCCTTTCTCCATCTCTTTTTTTTTTTCCATAGCAAACCAGTATTGCTAATGAATATTTTTATACCTGTGTCTTGGTGTACCTGGGTGTAAGTTTCTATATGGCTGTTGATGGATCAAATGGGTGGACTGACCTATACATACCAACTGTTTTCCAAAGTGGTTGTACCAGTTTACACTACCATTGGCTATGGATAAGAATTATTGTTGCTCGGGCCGGGCACGGTGGCTCATGCCTGTAATCCCAGCACTTTGGGAGGCCAAGGCGGGTGGATCACGAGGTCAGGAGATCAAGACCATCCTGGCTAACACGGTGAAACCCTGTCTCTACTAAAAAAAAACTACAAAAAAAATTAGCCGGGCATGGTGGTGGGCGCCTGTAGTCCCAGCTACTCGGGAAGCTGAGGCAGGAGAATGGCGTGAACCCGGGAGGAGGAGCTTGCAGTGAGCCGAGATTACACCACTGCAGTCCATCCTGGGTGACAGAGCAAGACTCCATTTCAAAAAAAAAAAAAAAAGAATAAAAAGAATTATTATCGCTCTACATAGTTGCCAACACTTGGTATTGATTGGCTTTGACATTTACATTTCTCAGTGGCTTTAATTTGCATTTTCCTGATCACTAATTAGGTAGAGCATCTTTTCATATGCATATTGCCCATTTATGTTTCCCCTTCTAGGAAATGTCTTTTTGTCTTTTATATTTTTCTATTAGATTGTCTTTTTTTCTTCAGGTTTTTACAAGTTCTTTCAAAGAGACTTCCTATACTAGTCCCTGATGTTAAGACATTAGTCTGGTAGTAAGAGGAATAAAATGAATTTATTTGTCAGGATAGATATTGTTGCCAACTTCAGCTAGGATAATTGGGACAGTGGCAAGTCTAAATTAAAATGTTTCTCTCTTCCTTTAACCATTAGGATTCACTTTAAGAGATTTGGAAACTCTTCCCTTTGGAATTGCTCTTCCCATCAGAGATGCAATTTATCACTGTCGTGAGCAGCCTGCCTCAGACTGGCCAGAAGCTGTCTGTCTCTTGATTGGACGTCAGGATCTTTCCAAGCAGGCCTGCGAAGGAAACTTACCCAAAGGGAAGTCTGTGAGTATCAACATAGAAAGTTCAGAGTTCCAATTTTAGCCTTAAATAAAATCATAAAGTAGAAATGTTCTTCATTTTCCTTTAAGGCTTTTTCTAAGTATATATATTAGCTTGTCTTTTATATTATATGCCAGACGGGGTTTGTAATTGTATGCGTCTTATTAATTGTTAAGTTGAGCATAGGAGCAGGAGATTTTGTGAATGTTCTGTCTTGTGCCTGGATCTTTCTTTGCCTTGAATCAGGACAAGTCCTGAGTGTAGTCATGGAAACTACCATGGCTATTTCCCTACTTGTACCATATTAGTAATTAACCACTTCGTAATTATTACATAGGAAAAGGGAGAGCACATATATCCTGAATTTGGATGAGTAATTATATATAAATATTTTCTACTGCATATTTTTCGATGTGTTGAATTTTTTGAATTTAACCTTTTAAATAGGTGTAAACATATTTATTTAATCACATAAAACTGCAGCCCCAGGGAAAAAATGTGTTTTTTTAGTAGAGTTGTTTAAAAAGATGTCTTAAGCTATCCCTCCCGAAATACTGTCTTTCATCAATCATCAAGTCTGTTTTTTTTTTTAAATGAGTTCTAGGAATCCTGCAAGTAGAAAGTAAAATTATTTCATTACTCTCCAATTATCTTTTTATATCATCCTCTCTTAAAACTTGAAAATGAAACTTTTAAAACTTATTCTAGAATTCTAGGTAACTTTAAAAAATGAACAGTAGAATCTCATCAAGGAGGATTCAGGAATAATAATTCCACTCCTGGTGACTCTTTTATGTTCATGTCCCTGAGAAGACAGTGGGAATTTGGTCTTACCTCTTAGTAGCTTTTGAATCAATACATAATAATCAGTGCATTGTAACTATGAGTCACCTTAGGTCTTATTACTACTTCTTCAGAGCCTATATCAAAACTTATTCCTAACCTCAGAGTTGCCTAATGTGTACCCATGCCGGAGTCAGTTTCCATGGGCATCTGATCTCCAGCACGGTCATCCCAGCACGTCTCTCCTTTAATCTGCGCCTCAATCACAGCTCTTCGTTGAATTAGTATTTACATCCTGTTTTAAACAGAAAACAAATCTTTTTGCTTATAAAATGATTTTCCTGTGAGAGAGAGCAGTTCAGCACCATTAGCATTAAAATATTAATCTGTATTTGAATGTCATTTTAAGTAATTATGTCTAAATACAGTTTGTTCAGTTGAGGCTACATTTTATAACTAATCCCATCTAAATTTATTTTGTCACTGTTTGAGACTATGTTTTATAGCTAACTCACCCATTAGAATATAGTTTTTTTTTTTAAATTAGATATTTTATAGGAGCTAAAAATGAATTTTTAGGAACTAAAAGTGATTATTTGGTCGTATCTACTTTTTTTTCAGGCTGACCTTGTTGGTTTCACATTAAATGTTGCAAAACTTTAACATTTCAACTTGGAGTTATTCTTTTGTTAAAAGAGTATAATACTGTTTTTGAGAGAATATGATATGATTCCACGCAATTCACATCTGTGTTGCAGTTAGATTTAATTATTTGGACTGGGAAGCCCCATATTAAAGCACATGCTGGGCTTAGAACATGATGACAATCAAGGAATTTACCCTCTTACTTGTTTTGCTGTAGTTCAGTACTTTTCCTTCTAAGAAATTTTTATTGGAAACACATTTTTTAAAAATAGTGAAAACTGGCTGGGTGTGGTGGCACATGCCTGTAATCTCAGCACTTTGGGGTGGCCAAGGCGGAGGACTGCTTGAGCCCAGGAGTTTGAGACCAGCCTAGGCAACATAGTGAGACCTCATCTCTACTTAAACAATTTTTTAAAAAATTTAGCCAGGTGTGGTGGTATGTGCCTGTAGTCCTAGCTATTTGGGAGGCTGAGGTGGGTGGATCTCCTTGAGGTCAGGAGTTCAAGACCAGCCTGGTCAACAGGGCAAGACTCTGTCTCTACAAAAAATAAAAAAAATTATCTGGGTGGGCGGTGCACATATGTAGTCCCAGCTACTCGGGAGGCTAAGGTTGAAAGCCTGCTTGAGCCCAAGAGGTGGAGGTTGCAGGGAGCCAGGATCACACCACTGCACTCCAGCCTGAGTGACAGAGTAAGACCCTGTCTCAAAAAAAAAACAAAAAAAAACTTACTAATGGAATCCAACCATGATCCTGTCTATTTAAAGTAGTAAAGTAAAAGGTATTTCATTGTGTGACTTCCCCCAACCCTTGGGGTATATCCTTTCAGGCTTTTTTCCTTCTCCTTCTATTAATGAACAGACAATATTTAAATTAGCATTATTAGCAGTGACTAGTATTCATATTCTACTTGCAATAATTTTTTTTTAAGAAATGATCAGGATGTAGTTAGATTTTTTTTTATAGTTTATTCAGAATATTTCTCTGTTCGTATCCAGCCCCTTGACTGTTGCCCTAAATTTAAACTCTCCCCGTCATTTCCAAATATTTCCAAGTAGGCAATGTAGTACTTTTGTTTGTTTGTTTGTTTGGTTTGTTTGGTTGTTTGAGACAGAATCTCACTCTGTCACCCAGGCTGGAGTACAGTGGCACGATTTCGGCTCACTGCAACCTCTGCCTCCCGCATTCAAGTGATTCTCCAGCCTCAGCCTCCCCAGTAGCTGGGACTACAGGTGTGCACCACTGCGTCTGGCTAGGTAATTTTTGTATTTTTAGTAGAGACCGGGTTTCACCATGTTGGCCAGGCTGGTCTGGAACCCCTGGCCTCGGGTGATCCACCCACCTCGGCCTCCCAAAGTGCTGGGATTACAGAGTGTGAGCCACCACACCCAGCCAGCAATATAGTACTTTTTAGAAAGATTTGTAGATTAGAGTCCCAGTATACATTGCGGCCCCAACCCAGGCCTGCTTTGGAAAACATATTTTCTCTGTGCTAGTATAGTCATGACACATCAGCCTATATATCCTCATGTTCAGCAAATGCACGTTAACTGCTTTTGAAATTATTATTATAATAAATCTGTTACTCAGGTGCTCTCATCAGATGTTCCTTCAGGTACAGAAACTGAGGAGAAAGATGATGGCATGAATGACATGAATCACGAGGTCATGTCATTAATATGGAGTGAAGATTTAAGGGTGCAGGATGTGCGAAGGCTTCTTCAGAGTGCGCATCCTGTCCGTGTCAACGTAGTGCAGTACCCAGAGCTCAGTGACCACGAGTTCATCGAGGAAAAGGAAAACAGGTGAAAGAAAACACGTGTACTATCTCTTGTCACGTTTCATTGTTACATTTGTGTCTTGTTTATATTTGTTTTTCCTTCAAGTTTTTAGCATTTAAAACCCTAAAGAGATTTAAAAGATACTTTCAAGTGAAAATATGCCCTGTGTTTTAAGTTTTCATCCAACTTCAACAAACCACGTGTGTTAGCAAAATGTCTTTGGCTTTTGAGGACGTAATTGTTGTATTTCATACCGTCCTCCTCTTGAAATACATATAACAGTTTACTCTTTAGAAAAGGTGAATGTAAAACTATTTTGCCTGATAGTTACCTTAAGAATTTACAAACAAAGAAAACACTGGACTTGTTTTTCTGTGTCTTGATCAGGAATAGATTTTGAGGTTAGTGGGGTTTTTAGTGTAGTTTAAACTTATATCAGTATTTTTTTTTTGGATATGATAGATAATACTCCAAATAAAAATAGATAAGCCTTTCTTCTGCCACTCCCCTGCACAGGATACATCCCCTGATACATTGTAAGACTCACATGCCTGTGACATTCCAGAGCTATTCTCTTGGGACACTTCTATTTTAAAATTCTCTCCTGTTCTTTTATCTGCTTGTCTCTATCATCTATCATTCATCTGTCACTGTTTTCTAGTTCTCTTTACTTTTTTTATGGTACTGTTTTGAGGGGAACCGTCACCCACACTTAGCCACAGGCTGCTGAAGATCTGAATTAGTTGTGATTTCCCTATTAACTGTTTCCTCTCCACAAGTACCCAGTTATTAGTCACCTGTGAATAAAAAGATGGAGTGACAGAAGTTGAGTTTAGAGCATAGGATTTATGAGCATGGCCTCTAGAGCCAGGCATGGCCATGCTGTGCTGGGTGACTGGTTAAATTACTTTACCTCTTGTTGCCTCAGTTGCTTCATCTGTAAAAATAGGCATACTTCATGGGATGGTGCTGTGTATCAAGTGAATTATTTTTACATAGCACTTAGAATACTGCTCAATACATAGTAAAGCTCAGTGCAGTCAGCCATTATTAGTAGTAGAGTTCATTGATTCTAAGATGCAAGTTTTTTCACTTTTTAATATCTCTGAAATCAGATGTGTATTTCAGTGAACAGGTGTCATAGTTTAACTGGCAGTGCTTTCTCTTTCTTAGTTTCTCATGAAATAATGATACATCTTATGAGTGGCATCTTATATTCAGGGGATATAATATTGTTCTCATTATAATTTTGTTACTTGTGCAAAGTTGAAGTGAATTATGTGTAAGATTTCCTCTAAAAAAATTCTATGGGTTGCAACAGACTCTTGGCTTTGAATTTTCCTGATCCCAAATTAATGTGGCGGTCATGTTCCCAGAGAATCTTTAAGACAGCAAAATTTTTCTCTCCAGTTAGCTAGAAAAGCAGTTATGTGTGTCCAGTTAAGGAGGGAGTATGCTTATGAATAGCTTTGTCTGCAGAGAAAATGTTCGTCAGTTGTCAGCCTCTGAAGGGATATTTCTGTGTCTTCAGATATAACTTGTATAAGCGTTTCTTAGTTATAAATGCCTTACTTCCAAAATTTCTGTTAGTTTTTTTTAAGTGGATATATGGAATGTTAAGCTATTTTAACAGAGGAACAAGTTGAAGAGTGGTATATTAATTTCACAGTAGAGCCGACAGAAACCATTTTAACCTTGAACATACCTGATACATAATGGTATTAGTCCTATAAACCTAGCCATCATGTAAGTGAAACCAATCTGTATTTCCCTTGGAGACACCATGAAATCCATTCACCTCTAACATAGGGACCTTGTTTCTTTTCTTGTGTACAGGCCACAGAAATGGTACTTCTGAGGCTGTATTGGCAAAAGGGATGGGAGGAGGATCCCACATGTACTGAGGACAGCTAGACTGAAATTAACACAGTGATAAAAACCCCAAAAGTACTGTATTTTCCTTTGAGAAGGTTAGCATCCATCGGAGTGGAATTTTAAATTTCTTTTGTTTTTTTGAATGCCTAGAGAGAGTCGGCTTGGTTTATAGGCCAGGTGGTTTTCATTCAATGTAAATATGAAACAAAACAGAGGAAATATGTCTCTCCCTAAGAGTGTAATAGGAACAAGAATATTAAAATGAAAATAATCATGTTTGGGTAGTTCACTCACATCTGTGTATGAATTTACTTTGAGACAACTTCATCTTACACAGTACACCTTCTTTTGAAATACTTACAGATGATATTTCAATTGCGCTTTGCTTTAAACATTTTCACATGTTGGTTTTTACTTTAATTACAGATTACTCCAATTGTGTCAGCAAACTATGGCTCTTCCTGTAGGACGAGGAATGTTTACCTTTTTTTCGTACCATCCTGTTCCAACAGAGCCATTGCCTATTCCTAAATTGAATCTGACTGGTATGTTAAATTCTGGGCTCAATGAGAAAGGAAAGTGATTAAGTACATGCATTAAGTGTAGTTCTTTAAATTAGTTAAAACAAAAGAAATGCTCCCTCTATCCCCAGTGATTTTAAATTTTCCTAATAGCTGCTATAGTGGTTATCAAAGCTCAAATACCATGTCAAACTAAACCTTGAGAGAAGCAGAATATAGTTCGTTACTCATTTTTGCTTTTTAATGAGGTGATTTCAAGATATACAAAGTCACTTGGAGAAGTTCAGAAAGATATAATTGATAATGATGAGACTATTGAATTTTAAATAATCTTGAGTATAATATGTAAAAATATTTAGTTTTAAAATGTCTTATGTCATAGTTTAAACAGATGATCATTGTATAAATCAAGAAATGTCCTAAGCAAAAAGAGAAAAAATGGTCACTTGCAGTACTCCCACTCTTCTGCATCACTCCTTTTAACATTTTAATATATATGTTTACTAAGTTTATTTCCACATATTTATAATTTTATATTTGTTTAATTATCAGAAAATTTAAATCTATTTTAGATATTTTTTAAAATTTACAGTGAACATCCTTTTATATCTAGCAAATAAATGTATGTGTTTATAATTATGTGTATGTATTGTATACACGTGTTTTTAATCGATACATTCATTTTTATTTGCTTCAGAGTATTTCATTCAGTGGATATACCATAGTTTATAGAAGCAGCCTGGTATTGTTGGAAATTACAGTTTTTTGGTATTATAAACATTGTTGGGGCGTATTCGTCCTATGTATTTAGGCTAAATGCTTAGAAGTAGAACTCTTAGGACAGCAAGATGAATGGTTTTAAGGAACATGTCAAATTGCCTTTCTGGTTGGTGCAAGTTTTTATTTCTGCTATGTATAACTGTAGTTATAGTCTTGATTACAATGAGTTTTTTAGTGTATGTCCGCCTAATGCTGATTTGAATGTGTTCTAAAGGTGACAATTACATAGTTGAAATTATCATTGAAACTCTATTATAGTATATATGGTTTTGTGAAACCTATACAAAATGTATGTGTAATGTATGTTGTAGTAGTGTATAGTATATGTAGTAGTATATAATGTATAATTTAATATATGATAAATAGTACATAATATATGCAAACATAATTGTACAGTATTTTAAATTGCATACTTTAAAAAATCCAGAGTTCCACTCAGATTTGTGAACAGCTTGTGCTTTGAGCAGCATGCAGGAAATGAGATTGACTAAGTGAAGAACACATTCCCATCTCCATATCATGCTTATTCTGAGCCCTAATCTCACTGAGGGACATAGTGAGCAGAGTTGCTTTTAATATTTAAATTGTCTCAGAGGTAAAGCACCTATGGCAAAATTTTAACAATTATTGATTCTTGATGGAAGGCATGGTATATAGATGTTCATTTTAGTAGTCTTTCCAACTGTTTATATGAAAGATTTCATATAATGAGTGCGGGTTAAAAAGGAAATCTAATGCAAAATTGGCAAATGTTAAAATGTATTCAATCTGGGTGATTTAGCACTCAAGCGATACTTGGGTGGGTTTAAAAAATATATACATGCATCTTTTTTTCTGAATACATTTAATTGAATTTGCATGATTTAAAATGTGTTTATGACATTAATCCAACATTTTATTCTTTTAGTCATTCTGGTAGGCCAAAAAGAAAGGTTATCCTCTTAATTTAGGAAAGAATATTTTCTTAAATAGTTGCTTAACCCACACTGATGTGGCCTGTTGTACTTTTGTATGTTGTTATTCTCATTGAAGAAAATTTACCTTACCCTTTGCATTTTATTTTCTCTCGTGTATAAATATTATGTCTTTTGCATATGATGAATGAAAGTTTCAGAAAGTTCACTCAGTTTTTTCATATTGATATGTCTGCCTTTTTTGAGAAAGTGCAAGTGTAACTTATGAACTTATTACTCATTGTGGTGCTAACACTAGCAGTTGAGTTAGCTTTTAGGTACAAAAAGCATATAGTAAAGACAAATAAGTCTTACTTTGTGCTTTGTGTGTGTATGTGTACATGCTACAAATAAGACACTCTGCATCTACTTAAAATTTATTTTACATAACATCTTAGAACTCTTTAAAAATGGTACTTTTAAAGCTGCAGTGAAATGGATAACTTTATGCAGTAATTAAAATATTTATGTTAATTATTTTATCTGTGACTTAAGACAGTATTCAAAATATATTTAAAAAGATTCAGTGTTTGCTGTGTATAATGTAGATCAAAAAGAAAAGAATCAAGAAAAAATTCGTAGGGAACATATAGCATTGTGAACATATAATTTACATTGTTCTTAAATGGACCATAAAAGTAAATCTAGTGAATGCCCTTTTGAAGTTCACTGGGTGACTCAAGTCTATAAAAGGATGCTTTTTACAAAACTATCTCTAAGCATTTTAAACAATAGCATATAATTAGATATCTATATCTGTATGTATATAGAGAGAGAGAAAAAAAAGAGAGAAGGGGGCATATATAGGTAAGAGCTGTAGCAGATTTATTAAGGTTCTTGTGTCTTTTTTTTTTTTTTTTTTTTTGAGATGCAGTCTCTGTCTGCTGCCCAGGTGGGAGTGCAGTGGCATGATCTTGGCTCACTGCAACCTCTGCCTCCCAGGTTCAAATGATTCTCATGCCTCAGCCTCCCAAGTAGCTGGGATAGGCACGCACCACCAGGCCTGGCTTTTGTCTTTTCTTAAGATGTCATTTTTCCTTAATGTCCAGGGGAAAATATAGGATAGAACATTTGAAATTAACATCAATGTCATCAGATGTTGGGATTTATAACTTGTATAGTTTAACAGTGATGTTAGTCTTCATTTTGGTTTCTAAGCTCTCTACTGTTTGAAAGAAAGATTTCAAAGCAGTGATTATCCCAGTCATCTCTGTATAATGTTAAATTGGTATCAGTTATCTCATTATATAGCCTCATACATTTTAGCAAAAAGGACAATGAACTGTTTAGACAGTGATGGTTTTTCCAGTTCCATTAAGTTTGACTCACATGTACAAAAGTTTTAAGTGGTCATAGAGACCTAACATTCCAGGCATTATGGGGTTAATGGTTTTGAATGTAGAAAATGTAAGTAATCTTAGTCTCAAAGATCTAAATTTAACAATCTTGGTTTTGTGAATTTTTATTCTCTCAGTGTTCTTCGTTTGGCTGGATAGGGCGTGCCCCTCCTCGGAACACAACAGTAGACCTTAATAGTGGAAACATCGATGTGCCTCCCAACATGACAAGCTGGGCCAGCTTTCATAATGGTGTGGCTGCTGGCCTGAAGATAGCTCCTGCCTCCCAGATCGACTCAGCTTGGATTGTTTACAATAAGCCCAAGCATGCTGAGTTAGCCAATGAGTATGCTGGCTTTCTCGTGGCTCTGGGTTTGAATGGGTACCTTACCAAGCTGGCGACTTTCAATATCCATGACTACTTGACCAAGGTGAGACCTGTGCTCCCAGTGCCTGGCTTTGTGCCTTGCCTGGCTATTGTAGTAGCTCCTAATTGCTCTATTTGCTCTTCTTTCTTCATTCTTGTACTTCTAAGTCCATTTGTCTCATAGTACGTGGAATAATCTTTCTAAAGCATAAATCAGAGTATGTCACTTCTCTGGTCAAAGCCATTTAATTAATGATCTCCCATTGCTTTTTTTTTTTTGAGTAAGGCAGGGTAGAATTTAATGAGTGACAGGAAAGCTCTCAACAGCGAGAGGGGACCCGAAGGTGGGTTGCCAGCCACGAGGCTGAGTCTAGAGGTTTTTATGGGCTTGAAATGGGGGAAGTGCATGCTGATTGGTCTGTGGGTATGCTTGAAAAAGCACCATTTAGAAATAGGCACGATAGTGTAGAGGACCAACTGGGGAAGGGCAGGTATATGTAAAGTAGGTGAAGGATAAGGACCAATCAGGAGAGAGCATGCCAAACAGGAATGAGAGCTCTCTAGTCCATGGATTTATCCAGAACTTGTAGCTTGGTTTTCAGGCTTTCGACTGTCCTTGGCTTGAAGGTTGAGTTTCATCTGAGAATTTACCTGCCTCCTACCGCCATCAATCCCCGCTCTGAAGAGGTATATCTAACTGCTGTTCGGATAGGGGTGATGACTGTTCTGCTTCATGCTGACAGAGGGTGTTGTTTTGGGAAACAGCAGTCAGGTCTCTCTTAGAGGCCTATCTAAGTGTCCCCTGGTAAAAGAGAGCCATCAACCGAGGTTCCATTTGCATGACCACTTGGAGTTTGATGGCCTCTAGGCGAGAAAAAACAAATTTTACAAGGAGGTTAAGTACACATGGACCAAATATGAGTATTACAATGAGAACACAAAGAGGAACTAAAAGGGGGAAAATCCATGCCCATATATTAGGGACACCTAGAAAGGACAGGAAGAAAACCTCTGAAAATGGACTGTTCTATTCCAGGATTTTGCAAAATAGGGTTGTCATGGGCATGTCCCCCTAGATTATTAGATATGTTATAATTAGGCATTGCAATGCTTTTAATTAGATTTCTGATCCATAGGCTGCAGAATCCAGTAATGCCTGATAATCCCTTTAGTTAGCTGAGGGTCTTGGGGAGAAGGAAGGAGAAAATGGATCCAATTCTCTCCTCGCCCAGTGTCCTGGTCCCTTCTGACAAGACCAGGCATAGGTACTTCACTGAAGTCTGACGGAGTTGAGCCTTGGACTTTGAAACTTTATGTCCTCTGTCAGTTAGAAAATTAAGAAGAGCCTTATTGCTTTTCTGAGAAATTTCCTCAGTTGGGGCACAGAGTAGAGTGTAATCTACATATTAAGACTAACTTGAGTTTGAAAGAACTCAGAGAGATCTTTTTGAGATTGCCTGCCCAAACAGGTGGGGGCTGTCTTGGAATCCCTGTGGTAACACCATCCAGGTTAGCTGGGTAGTCTGGTTGGAGGGATCCCTGAATGCAAACAAGTTTTGGGAGTTGGGGTATAATGGTATGCAGAAAAAAAGCATCTTTTAATTCCAAGAATGCAAACCATTTAGTTCCTTCAGGTATCTAAGTTAACAAAGTATAGGGATTGGGAACCACTGGGTAAATTGGTTAATTACACCAGTTACTCATTAAGGAGGTGGAGATCCTGGACCAGTCTCCATTCCCTGTTGGGTTTCTTTCTGTACTTCCAATATTAGGATATTACAAGGACTGTCGCAGGGTTTAACAAGGCCCTGCATCCTTAGGTTATTAATGATGGCTTCTAGTTGTTTCCTAGCTTCTGGTTTTAGGGGATATTGTCTTTAATTAGGGAAGGAGATGAGATCCCTGAGATGGATTTGGACTGGTGAGACTGTTGTAGCTCAGCCAGTATTTTCCTGAATTGCCCAAACATCTGGATTAATATCAGTCTCCACCAGAGGGAGGCAAAGAGTCTGTCCTGGAGCCATAAGGATGGTGGTTCCCATGTGAGCTAAAATATCCCTACCTCAGAGGAGTCGGGCTTTCAGGTATGATTAAAAAGGCATAGGTAAACGAAAGGTCTCCCTAGGTACAGCTAAGGGATTGAGAAAAATATCGAGTCAGAGGCTTTCCTGAGACGCCCCTCACAGTTGTGCTAAGGGAGGAGGGGAGGCCCAGAATGGAGAGGAGAACAGGAATGGCTGCTCTGGTGTTGAGTAGGAAGTCTGTCCTCTGAGTCCTTTGACCTCCAGACTCACCCGGGACTCCTGGATGGTAATGCAGCCTGGGCTGTCAGAGCTGGGGAGGAGAGCCCTGGGACCCATCAGTCCTGCTGGACCATTTGAGAAGCCGGCTCTGAACCTTGGGACGTATGTTTCTGGAGGCAGTTTGTCTTCCAGTAGTCTCCCTTACAGATTGGACAGGGCCGTGGGGGCTGCTTCTGATTTCGGGGGCAGACTCTCTTTTAGTGCTCCCACACTGATAACAGTCGGTCATAGAATGAGAAGCTCCCTGGGATCGAGAGGTTTATATGCCTGTATGGCAGCTATTAGTGCCTCTGCCTTTTTCTCGTTCCTTTTCTCCCTTTTTCTTGGGCTTCCTCATGGTCCCGATTATAAAAGACCAAGGTGGTGACTTTCAGGATTTTCTTTAGAGTACTGTCTGGTGCAATAGCTAACTTTTTGCAGCATTCTTCCAATATTTGGGGCTGCTTGGGTTATAAACTTGTCTTTCAAAATTAACTATCCTTTTATAGAGTCAGGAGAGAGATGTGTGTTTAATTAAAGCCTCTCTCAGTTTTTTCCAGGAAAACAGAAGGGTTCTCTTCAGACCCTTGGTTTATGGTTGATAACTTAATGTAATTGAGAGATTTGCCTCTAGTTTTCAGATCTTCCACTGTGCATCCCTAAAAATGTTTTCTCGGCCACTTTCCTAGAGCAGTGTCTGAGTCCCATTGAGGATTATTGGTGGATGCTGCCTGCTTGGCTGTCAGAAAGGGCTCCCTAATTTCTTCCCCCTTTTGGTAGGTGCCATAATAAGATAAACATTTCATCTCCAAATGTCTCAGTGACCTGTAAAGCCGCCTGCTTCTCTGAAGCTCTAAGAGTCTAGTTGAGAAGTAACATGATACCCTTCCATGAAAGCTCAGACATTTGATTAAGGTTCTGAAAGGCTTCAATATACCTATCCAGGTCGACACAATTGTCCTAGATTTCTTTTTATCTGCCTCAAATCTTGTAAAGAAAAGGGGACTTGTACTTTGATAGGACCATATTCACTATGCATTTCCTGTAAAGGAAGAAGTGATGCTGGAGCGCATCCAGGTCGAACTCTTCTAACAGGATGAGGTTCAAAAGGGGGCCTGGATAAGGGGGACGAGATGATCCAAGAGGAGCTGGGACCTGGGCTGGTGCAGGGGCCTCTGTCTCCTCTTCTAAGGAGGCAGACTGTTTTTTCCCTTCTGTCTGGATTAAGTCTGGCTGGATATCACTGCTATAAGTGCAAGGTCTATTATACATTGCTGACAGAGCTTGCGGTTATTCTGCAGGGCAAAAAAGGCCTATACATATGGAATTTTGGACCATTTTCCTTCTCTGTGGTTGAAGAGATCTAGCTATAGGATAGTATTATAGTTGTTATTTTCCCCAGCTGACTAGGTCTCCCCATCTTCCAACTTCTAGCTGGGCCAAGCCTTGCTACTGATAAATACCAGGTATTTTTTCTTCAGAGTCTGAGGATCAAAGGAGTCCCAATGTCTCGCACTTGAGAGGAGTGCAGGCTACCCATTTAGAAAGAGAGAGGGGAGAAAAAGGCATCCTTAGTCTTTCCCTCTGCTGTGCTAGAGTCCAAGGCGTCTCTCAGGCTTGCCTTGGTCGTGGATGTGCGCGCAGCCACCATTCATGACCAGGGGGGGATCAAGCCAGCAGGAGTAGTTGCGTTCACTTGCACTCAGCCTTGACCCTCCTTGTCAACTGCCTTTGATTTCTCTGAATTCTATATGAGCTCAAGACTAAGATGAATCCGGGGGGGTCCCTGCATATTATTTGTCTATAATTCTCATCTGGCTGGCAGTTTATTTAGCTTCATCAAGCATAACCCAGCATCCTGCCCTGAAAAGAAGCAATTTCTCAAAGAGACACATAACTAAGTAACATTTCTCAGAAGAGCAGTAGGAAAAACATGATAGGAAAGATTGGAAGTCTTTGTCCGACACCTGAACAGGCTGTTGGGGACTGGGGGCCGGTGTAGGGTCCTTCGGATGTACCCTTGGCCAGATACCTTTAGTTGCCCCAGGACCTTATTCTGATCCCACACGATGGCTGAACTTCTGTGAAGGGAAACTGGTTTAGAACAAGGCCAAAATTCCCAACACCAGAGGGCAAAGGGGGATCGACCATTGCTCTTAATATACATTCTAGGAGCTGGTGTGATCCTGTTCACTTCTCCAGCCCTAGGTGGTACCACTGTTCTTCGTTTTTTTTTTTTTTTTTTTTTTTTTTTTGATGTGGAGTCTCACCCTGTCACCTAGGCTGGAGTGCAGTGGTGTGATCTCGTCTCACTGCAACCTCTACCTCCCAGGTTCAAGCAATTCTCCTGCCTCAGCCTTCTGAGTAGCTGGGATTACAGGTGCACACTACCACACCTGCGTAATTTTTGTATTTTTGATGGAAACAGGGTTTCACCATGTTGGCCAGGCTGGTCTTGAACTCCTGATCTCAGGTGATCTGCCCGCTTCAGCCTCCCAAAGTGCTGGGATTATAGGCGTGAGCCTCTGCACCCAGCCCCACTCTTCTTGCTCCCCCACACTCTAACCATACAGATTGGCTATTTTAGCTCTCTGGCAAACTAAACTCTTTCACTTCACAGCGTTATTTTTTTTTTAAGGAATCTTTATTTATATAAATATATAAAATTCACATACCATACAATTCACTGTTTAAAGTGTGTGGTACAGTGGTTTTTAGTACATTCACAGAGTTGTGCATCCATCACCACTGTTAATTTTAGAACATCTTTTCACCCCATAAAGGAACCTTGTACCCACTAGTGGTGACTCCCCATTCCTCTACCTCACCCCCCCACCTTCACTTCACTTCCTGCCAACCACTAATCTACTTTCCGTGTCTATGGGTTTGCCTTTTCTGGACCTTTCATATGAACGGAGTCATACAAAATATGGTATTTTAGGATGGGCTTCTTTCACTTAGCCTGATAATTTTAGGGTTCATCCATGTTGTACCATCTATCAGCAATACATTCCTTTTTATTGTTGAATAAATGTTTTATTTTATGAATGTACATTTTATTCATAAGTTGATGAACATTTGGGTTATTTGTACTTTTTAGCTATTACGAATAATACTGCTATGAACATTTGTATACATGTTTTTGTGCGGATGTATGTTTTCATTACTCAAGAGTAATGAAGTAATGGTAAGTAGTGGTACATACTTAGGAGTGGAATTGCTGGGTTATATGGTAACTCTGTTAAACTTTTTGAGGAACTGTAAACTGTTTTCCATAATGACTGCACCATTATACAACCCCATCAGCAATACATGAGAGTTCCAATCTCTCCATATTTTTGCCAACACTTGTTATATTGTGTTGAGTCCAGCCTCATTCTTTTGAATGTGTCCTTCCACTTGTCCCAGCACTGTTTTTTGAAGACTGCCCTTTACCTGTTGAATTGTCTTGGCACCCTTGTGGTCAGTTGATGTTAATGTGAGGGTTCATTTCTGAATCGCCTCAGAGCCATTTATTTACATGCTGTTTTATCACCTGAAACAGTCTTCCTCACCTTCTAAACTTGAGTGTCCTCTTTCCTGCCACTGTTCCTGGCTAATTTGTTTTCATCCTTCAGGTCCTAATATAAATTTCTTTGTATAATCTTTAGAGATTTCATCCCTAATAATCCTCTAGTCCCTCCCAATCTAAATTAAGCTATTTTAAAATACTCTTTCATAATACTTTGTACTTTCTTATTGTACTACTTTTTAATAATATATTTGTTTATGTTTTTTAATTTAACACTTTTTTTCCTATTAAGTCATTAGGTCCATGAGAGCAAGGACCATGTTTGTTTAGTTTACTGCTGTATTCTCAGTGCCTCTCACCTTGCCTGTCAACATAAAAGTACTTCTTGAAAGTGGCAGGCAGTATTTTATTTTAAACTATGTATTTGTTTTGTTTCTATCTTAGGGCCATGAAATGACAAGCATTGGACTGCTACTTGGTGTTTCTGCTGCAAAACTAGGCACCATGGATATGTCTATTACTCGGCTTCTTAGCATTCGCATTCCTGCTCTCTTACCCCCAACGTCCACAGAGCTGGATGTTCCTCACAATGTCCAAGTGGCTGCAGTGGTTGGCATTGGCCTTGTATATCAAGGGACAGCTCACAGACATACTGCAGAAGTCCTGTTGGCTGAGATAGGTATGGGATTAATAGTGCTGAATCTTCATAGGCATGTACTCTCCACTCCACATTAACCCAATTAAATAGTAAAATTATAAAAATTAAGGAAAGACAATGGTAGCTTTTGTGAGCAAAGAATGATCTAGTACTAATTAAAAAAAACAACAAAACTCTAAGTAATGTTATCCAAGGCTAATGTAACTGCAGGTTATTAACCTCCATGTTTATTTGCTAGCTCATTACTGAATTCCAGTGGTCACATTTAATGAGGTACCTGTGGTTTTAATCAGCTATGAGTATGCTGTTTATCCGGCTTTACCAGCAGTGTCTAGCAGTGGCCTGCACTTAAAACTCAGAGTAGATTGTTTTGGTCCCTGAGAGACACTAAACTAAACACATCACAGTGTTTACTGTGTTGGATAACAGCACTTCCAATAGAAGTCAAGTAATGGACTCCTGCTTTCCTCCTTTACATGCTGGTGGGTATGTTGGTGATGAACCTGGAAATGGTAAGGTCCACACACTCACTTTAGTGAACATTGTCTCTGTTTTTTATTGGGTCCAAACTTTTTGGAAATCTTAATGTGTTGTCATCTTTTTCTGCCAAATGGAAATGCTATTGGCATTATTAATATGCTCAACAATTTAGTTACATACTTATATGTCCTATTCAAGATCTTTTCTATATGGATTTGTGAATATATTGTTAAAGATGTATTATTCTTTAGTATCATTGTATCAGATAGCTATTGCCACAGTGATGCTACATACATACAGGCATAGCATTGGCCCAGGCAGCTCTGCTTTAGGCTGTAGATGTGTAGCCGGCTGTTCTGCTGCCGTTCTGCCTCACCTGCCTCATTCTGGGACCCAGGCTGGAGGGTGTGTTTCTCTCGTGGTGTTGATAGAAACCTAGGAGAGAACCAGTGAAGATTGGGACCCATAATTTAGTCTACTATAATGATAAATGAAATTATTCCCAAAGTTGAAATGTTTTGGCTATCACAATACATGGTAGCATAAGTCAGAGATCTGAAAAACGCTTATTCTGAAAATATTCAACACTGGTTGTTAAAGCATGTTCATCTGCAAAGTAGTCTACCCTTCTTTGGCTATATCATGATGATGTCTAATGGTGTCATTGCACAGTCTCACAGCTGCGGCATACCTCTTTCACACTGTATATAGAAGATTTCATCTTTAATTCATATGTATATGCCTTTTTATATAATTACTGTCAGAATGTACATTAAAAAAATTTTTTTTTTTTGAGAGAGTCTTGCTCTGCTGCCCAGCCTGGAGTACAGTGGTGCAATCTTGGCTCATTGCAAGCTCCGCCTCCCGGGTTCACGTCATTCTCCTGCCTCAGCCTTCCGAGTAGCTGGGACTACAGGCGCCCGCCACTACGCCTGGCTAATTATTGTGTATTTTTAGTAGAGACAGGGTTTCATGGTGTTAGCCAGGATAGTCTGGATCTCCTGACCTTGTGATCTGCCTGTCTCAGCCTCCCAAAGTGCTGGGATTGCAGGCATGAACCACTGTGCCCCGCCTAAAAATTGTTTTTATAGATCATTGTTATAAATGGGTTTTAAAACAAATTTTGTGTAATATTCATTGAGTCGATGGTCTGTAAAATGCCTTTTTTTAACTTTTAGAACTTTTTAGATTGTTTCTAATAATCCTTTGTTGTTATATATAAACATTACACTGATTACCTTTGTGTGATTTTTTTCTTTAATTTTTATTATTTATTTATTTATTTAGAGACAGAGTCTCGCTCTGTCACCCAGGCTGGAGTGGAGTGGGGCGATCTCGGTTCACTGCAGCCTCTGCCTCCCAGGTTCAAGCAATTCTCCTGCCTCAGCCTACCAAGTAGCTGGGATTACGGGTGTCTGTCAGCATGCCTGGCTAATTTTTGTAGTTTTAGTAGAGATGGGATTTCTCCATGTCGGACAGGCTGGTCTCGAACTCGTTGACCTCAAGTGATCCTCCTGCCTTGGCCTCCCAAAGTGCTGGGATTACAGGCAAGGGCCAGCACGTCCAGCCTTTTTTCTTTTTTTTTAAATTGCATTTTTTTCCTATAGGGATAAAATTTCAGGAATGTGAACATTTTTTCAGAGGGAAGGGTTTTAATACATAGTACATTTTATCGTTTTCAACAAGGTAGTGTTAGAGTTATAGGGTGCTTTTAAAAGTATGAATTTTGTATCCAGTCAGACTTCTAGGATCAGTACACAGAAATTCTACCATAGTAGGGCTCATTATTATATACACTCGAAATAAATGTCTAAACATAATATTTAACAGCTTAACAACATAAGTAAGTGACCTCCTTATTCATTATCATCATTCGAACATGTTTCACCACATGTGATGTGTGGATTTGAAAGTAATGAAAACAAAATGTAAGATATTTCGTTGTTGTTGTTGCTGAGATGGTGTCTCACTCTGTCACCCAGGCTGGAGTGCAGCGACCTGATTTTGGCTCACTGCAACCTCTGCCTCCCAGGTTCAAGCGATTTTCCTGCCTCAGCCTCCCCAGTAGCTGATATTACAGGCACCTGGCACCCTGGCTAGTTTTTGTATTTTTAGTAGAGACAGGGTTTCACCATGTTGGCCATCTGGTCTCCAACTCCTGACGTCAAGTGATCCACCTGCCTCGGCCTCCCAAAATGCTGGGATTACAGGCATGAGCCAGCACACCCGGCCCAGATGTTTTAACAAAAAAATAAAACTTTTTTTTTGAATACTCTTTCCTTTTTCCCTTTAAAATTTTTTTCTACTACTTGGTAATTTTTTTGGTAAGACTCAAAGTTTCACAGTATTTGAATATCATTGCTTATAAAGACTTAAATTGGCAATTTAAAAAGAACTATTTTGGGCCCTTTTTTTTTGGTAGGTAAACCTACAGTTGTGGACACCATTTATTATAGTGTCATAACTTTCTGAATGGAGTTATATTCCATTCGTATGTCCAGTGCAACTTGCTAGAAAGTTAACTCTAAGATTTTTATGAGATGAGATTTTGAGAAGCTAGTTTGAACTGTGTTGCTTTTGTTTTTACAGGACGGCCTCCTGGTCCTGAAATGGAATACTGCACTGACAGAGAGTCATACTCCTTAGCTGCTGGCTTGGCCCTGGGCATGGTCTGCTTGGGGGTAAGCATAGCCTATGCCTTCCCATGCTTCAGTTAGGACATCTACATGTTGAGACAAATAACGTTGACACCTAAACCTGAATATTGTCCCTTACTATGACTTAATCTGCTGCCCAGCTCTATTGTCTTTTTGGATATTTTTCAAAGTACCAGATTTGCAAATTGAGAGAAACTGTGGTCAAGAGTGGGACTTTAAGATTTCTTTTCCTCCAGCTTGCAGTGTTCATGAACAAACTGAAGGGAATAAAGTTTTTTTTTTTTAAAGCGTTCAAGACATAGAATGAATAAGTGACAGCCCACTATGACTGAAAACAGAGAATAGTGAAAACGTATATGATCGGGAGCCTTAAGAGTCTATAGTAGCTGCTTGAAACAAACCCTAACCCCCTTTTGCCATAGTGATGTTCACTGTGTATCCCAGAATGTTGTCCCAGTAGCATCTTCCTTGTGACAAAATGCAGTATCAGATTGACCCATCTTTAACTCCATCCAAGAGATGTGTACAGAATTACCAGAAATGTTTCATTAAATGATTGTTTCACTTGAAATGTGGTTCCCCTTGAAAAACCACCAATACATTCTTATGGTCAAACTAAATGATATAAAGAAAGTTATAAGGCCGAGGTGATCGGATCACCTGAGATTGGGGGTTCAAGACCAACCTGACCAACATGGAGAAACCCCATCTCTACTAAAAATACAAAATTAGCCAGGTGTGGTGGCGCATGCCTGTAATCCCAGCTACTCGGGAGGCTGAGGCAGGACAATCGCTTGAACCCAGGAGGCGGAGGTTGTGGTGAATCGAGATCACACCATTGCACTCCAGCCTGGGCAACAAGAGTGAGACTCCATCTTAAAAAAAAAAAAAGTTATAGTGGAAGGAATTTTTTTCATGTGTGTTCTGAAAATCCACCTTGTGGTTGACCATCTGTTAGGGCCTTGAATTCACATTGGCACGTGAGCTAAAGAGGCTGGTGGTATAATGGAAAATAATCAGCTGGGTGTGGTGGCTCATGCCTGTAATCCCAGCACTTTGGGAGGCTGAGATGGGCGGATCACGAGGTCAGGAGATCCAGACCATCCTGGCTAACACGGTGAAACCCCGTCTCTACTAAAAATACAAAAAAATTAGCTGGGCATGGTGGTGGGTGCTTGTAGTCCCAGCTACTCAGGATGCTGAGGCAGGAGAATGGTGTGAACCCAGGAGGCGGAGCTTGCAGAGAGTCGAGATCGTGCCACTGCACTCCAGCCTGGGCAAGAAGGCGAGACTCCGTCTCAAAAAAAAAAAAAAAAAAAGAAAAGAATCACACAGGGAATTGCAACTTGAATTCTGGTCCTAACTAGTGAGTCAAGTCATTTAACTACATTATTGTGTATTGCTTAATCAGCTTCATGGATTGTTGAGCCAGATGGCCGTGTTTTATATATAGCCCTGCAACTTAACTATAATAGCTGTATAACCTTGGGCTTAATCCCTCTGTGCCACACTTTCCTTATTTATAAAATAGGGTTTTAATAGTAGCTATTTGATATGGCTGTTCATTCATGTTAAACACACAGAATAGTGCCTGACACAGAGCATGCATTTAATAAATTACTATTATTATCATAGTTATTGTTGGAAAAGTTCTTAAGTACAATAATGACAGTATTCAGGTATTTACAGTTCCAGTTTCAATTATATAACTAATATTTTTCTTTATTGTTAAATGTCACTAACTCTAAAGCTCTTATGTATTTTAAGACAGTACTTAAAGTTGAACATTCATGTATTAAAACTTTTATGAGAATTATTAATATTTATTAACTCATGATTAATGTTTGCTTTAAATTGGAAATAAAAAAAACAAAACCCAAAATAACCTGCTTTGAAGTTAGTTCATTTTTATATTTGTTATGGGTATGTGTTGTGGATCTTCCTTCATAAAATTTCTTTTCACTCGTCTGTTATTGTCTTTTCCAGCATGGCAGCAATTTGATAGGTATGTCTGATCTCAATGTGCCTGAGCAGCTCTATCAGTACATGGTTGGAGGACGTAGGCGCTTTCAAACAGGAATGCATAGGGAGAAACATAAATCACCAAGTTATCAAATCAAAGTAAGTACACAGCAAAGTAATAGATCAAAAGTCTGGAAGCTGGGAAGTTAATTGGAAAATACTAGTGTTCATACTGACATTGGTAAATGTGTTAATTTTAAGCATAGTTATTATTCAGAGGAATTTTATAATAATTTAGAACTCTTTTACATGCATAAACTCTTCTTTCAATAGGAAGGAGATACCATAAATGTGGATGTGACTTGTCCAGGTGCTACTCTAGCTTTGGCTATGATCTACTTAAAAACCAATAACAGGTATTTCTACCCACTCACCCTTCCTCCCGCGGTGATAGTGTGATATCCTCCCTGACCTTGGTTGTAAAATTCAGTTATCTCATGTGTTTCTTTCCCCTGTGCTGGATTAAGCTGATTTTTTGTTCTTTCAAGTACTGTAAGTTTTTGAAAGAAAACTTGCAGTATTTGAAGTTATAAAGATTTTACCTGGAAATAATGTATTTGGCTATTTTAATGGTATTTGACAATATAGTTTTCAATTTCTGTTCATTTCTGTTTTGTAGTTGATGTCAGTAACACCCAAACAATGCCCATGTTTGTTTTCATTAATTTAGCATATTGCTGTGAGGACTGGTTAAGCCAGAAATACTTATCATTTAGTGTGATCTTGGTTACCATGTAAAACAATGGTTTTTGCCTACTTCAGGAGCTTTTGTAATTACCAAACCGTCTACCTTCCTAACTTGCTATATTAATGCTGACGCTTGAAAGTAAGATCTTTGGCATTTATGCTTACACTTTGCATGAGGAATAAGTTGAGTACAAGACGTTATGTCATGTCTTAAGTCTATTAATTAAAAACAAATTCTAAGATTCAAGGAGTTTTCAGTGTTCCACATTTCTCCCTTTAGAAAAAGTAAATGTGTGCAGAATTAACAAAGTGTTTAAAAATAGATATTTATTACTTTACTATTTGGATGAATGTGTAGGGCAGTGCTTCCTTGGCACTGGGGATATTTCATTGAGCAAAACTAAAAATATCTTCCCTCATGGAGTTTATGTTATAGTAAGACATACATGTACATCTATAATAACTATTACATTAGAAGGTGTGAAGTATTGTGAAAAATATGTAGAGCTGTAGTGGAGCGGGAAGAAATGTTTTGAAATAGAGCTTGAGATTCTTGATTGTCTTGCCCTCTACTTGAACAGTGTGCCTTACTGTTTTCCTCCACCACCAGATCTATTGCAGATTGGCTCCGAGCCCCTGACACCATGTATTTGTTGGACTTTGTGAAGCCAGAATTTCTCTTGCTTAGGGTATGCTTTGTCTTCATTTGTGTTAACATGAGAAGTCTATTTGTGGTTCTTAAACTTAGCTTGTAAGCCGGGCACAGTGGCTCACGCCTGTAATCCCAGCACTTCAGAAGGTTGAGGCAGGAGGATTGCTTGAGTCCAGGAGTTTGAGACCAGCCTGGGCAACACAGGCTGTTCTCCATGACTGAATGAATGGCAAACATAAATGTCTTTACAAGAGAGCCTTTTATTTTTAATTTGTCATGCATATCTAATTGGCAGTGTTCATTTGAAATTTCACAAATAGGACTTTGGGAATCCCAAGAAAGGTAACCACGTTGATATTTAATACTTGGAGTGACATTTCACTGTCTCACATTATTATTCAAAACTTCCTAAAAAGCAACAAGTGATTAGGACTTTTTTACTGCTTTGTTTTACATTTTTGGATTACTATCAGGGATGTGATAATACTGTTAAGGTTGAATCTAAAGAAAGTAACAATTCACTTAATTGTCTAAAATTTTCCCTCTAATTCTTTTTTTTCTGATGTTTAAACGTAGCATATAGAAGCTTTTAAATTATGTGTAGATAGAGCTATGATTCTTTCCTTTGTGATTTTTTTCTTTTCCAGAGTACATTTTAAAAAGTACCCGCACAAGCCCTCTAAACTTTGGTGATATTCAACTCAATTTTAGTTTTTCTTTGTTAAAATTTAAATCTTTATTTTAATGAGTAGTTTAATGAGTAAGACGGTTCCCAACTTAGGTTTTTTAACTTAACCATAGTGTGAAAGCGGTACTCATTCAGAAGAAACTACTTCCAATTTTAATTTTAATTTTTTTCTTGTACTCCTGGCAGTATGATGCTCTCATGGTGTTGGGTAATGGCAGCAAGCTGCAGCTCCCAGTCAGCCATGCAGTCATGAGGGTAAATGACCCATACTCTACAGTTTACTATGCTGACAGAGAATTTCACTCAATTATAGGCTAATTTGAGTGTTCGGAGCATGTTTAAGGTAGGCTAGGCCAAGCTGTGTTGTTTGGCAGGCAAGGTGTATTAAATGTATTTTCTTTTTCTTTTTTTTTTTTTATGAGATGGAGTCTCACTCTGTTGCCCAGGCTGGAGTGCAGTGACACCATCTTGGCTCACTGCAACCTTTGCCTCCTGGGTTCAAGCTATTCTTGTTCCTCAGCCTCCTGAGTAGCTAGGACTACAGGCGTGTGTCACCATGCCTGGCTAATTTTTGTATTTTTAGTAGAGATGGGGTTTCACCATGTTGGCCAGGCTGGTCTCAAACTCCTGGCCTTCAGTGATCTGCCCGCCTTGGTCTCCCAAAGTGCTGGGATTATAGACATGAGCCACTGAGCCTGGCCTAAGTGTATTTTCAGCTTAAGGTATTTTCAACTTACAATAGGTTTATCAGTACATAACCTTACTGCATTTGCATATACTTATTTTTCAAAATTCTCAACAGTTGGGAACTGATTCTTAAATTGTTCTGTTTATTATTATCATTGTTATAAAATGTATGAACTTTACTTGCTCTAATTAATTTTATCTCTGTTGCATTTTTAAGACACTTGCTCGATGCCTGATTTTGTGGGATGATATTTTACCAAATTCCAAGTGGGTTGACAGCAATGTTCCTCAAGTAAGTACATATAATAAATATTATATCTTTAGTAGCATAAAATTATGATTTCTTATGGGATTTTTCAAAATTCTGTAAAATATTTTTTCTTATGAAGGCAATATTGATCATTAGGATACCTCTTAAAGACCTAAGAACTTCCATTTTAAGATTCTGTGCTGCACAGACCACCGCCTTCTCTTTTAGCCTCAGGTCCCTAGAAATTGTAGTTTTTAAAAATTAAATATGAATATCGGTGTTGCGTGGGAGTTAAAAAATGAAAGGAAAAAACTAAATATGTTTGCCAGAATACTCTAAAAAAGTGTTGATATTTTTGTCATAATTAAGTGCACATTTCTAAGATGCTATTTTACTTCGTGACAATTTTAGATCTCCTAATAACTCTTTTAATTACTTTATATCATATTTATTCGATAAGCCAAGTATACTAGTTAAAAATGAACAGATTTTTTTGGTAAAAACTGAAAACCGAATATTGTAACTAGCCACTGCCCTTAGACAACTGTCCATGTCTAGTGGTCTCAGTTTCTTTATGTAGATTGTTTCTTTCAGTATTTTCAGAGGAAAAATCTCAAAGATTGAAAGAAGTTAATATGAACACCCACATCACCAATAGACTCTATAATAATATTTTACTGTATAAACATGTTTCATCACTTATCTATCCACTTATCTATTCCTCTATCTAATCCAACATTTTTTGATGAATTTCAATGTTAGTTCCAAACAGTAATACACTCCATCCCAAAATTGTACCATATATATTAACTGGAATTGGTATTTACATTTTTTCCTTTTAAGATAAAATTTATATATCGTGAAATGCACAAATGTTAAGTATCCTATTGGATAAGATTTGACTAACACATAGACCTGTGGAAACCAGCCTCTATCCCTTGTGCCCCTTCCCTCTTTGTGCATTCACCTGTACCCCCAGGTAACCAATATGTATTTTGTTTATCTCCCAAAATATGTTAATTTCCAGATGTAGAACTTTATATTAATGAAGCCACATATGGCATATACCCTTTTGTATAAGACTTCTTTCAGCGTTTTCAAGATATTGAGTATATTAATAGTTCATCCTTTTTATTATTAGGTGGTACAGATTGAGTATTTCTTATCTGAAATGCTTGGGACCAGAAGCGTTTTTGGATTTTGGAATACTCGAAATTATACTTACTGGTTGAGCATCCCTCATCTGAAACTCTGACATCTGAAATACTTCAATGAGCATTTCCTTTGGGCATCATGTTAATGTTCAAAAAGGTTTGGATTTTGAGCATTTTGGATTTTGGATTTTCGGATTAGGGATCCTCAACTTGTGTATTCCATTTGCAATCCTATTAGGTGGGGCTGGAATTACTGAGGCATAGGGTAGATGGTATATTTAGTTTTATTAGAAATGATAAATCTTTTCCCAAAGCGGCTGTACCATTTGACACATTGACCAACAGTGTTTGAGAGTGTTGGCTGTTGCCCATCTAACCGATAATTAATGGTGTTAGTTTTTTAAGTTTTAGTGCTGCTGATGAATACGTAATGATATCTGACTGTTGTTTAAATTTGCATTTCTCTGCTGACTGTTAATGTTGAGAACTTTTTCATTGGTTTATTGGTCCTCCGTCTATCTTTTTTTGTGAAGTGTCTGTGCATGTCTTTTGCTTATTTTTTAAAAAAATTTGTATTTTTATTACTGCGTTGCTGGAGTTTTTTTAATGCATTCTAGAAACCCGTTCTTTGTCAGATTTCTTTTTTTTTTTTTTTGAGATGGAGTCTTGCTCTGTCGCCCAGGCTGGAGTGCAGTGGTGTGATCTCGGCTCACTGCAAGCTCCGCCTCCCAGGTTCACGCCATTCTCCTGCCTCAGCCTCCCGAGTAGCTGGGACTACAGGCACCCGCCACCATGCCCTGCTAATTTTTTGTATTTTTAGTAGAGACGGGGTTTCACTGTGTTAGCCAAGATGGTCTCGATTTCCTGACCTCGTGATCTGCCCGCCTCGGCCTCCCGAAGTGCTGGGATTACAGGCGTGAGCCACCACGCCTGGCCTGTCAGATTTCTTTTGCAAATATCCCTCCCAATCTGTGGCTTGCATATTCATTTTCTTAGTAATAATTTTAATGAGCAGAAGATATTAGAATGTTAAATAATGTCTGATTTGTCAGTTTTTTCTTATGGTTATTCTCTATTCCTATGAAAAAAACCATTTGTCTAACCCCATCATGAAGATAATCTTTTCTGCTTTTCTCTAAAAGCTTCCAAAGTTTTAGTTTTGTGTATACTTACATAATTCATTTCAAAGTAATTTTGTATATGATATGAGGTACATGTTGAGGTTGTCTACCAGGGAAGCTCATCAGAGACTCAGCACCCAAGTTTTTAATTGGGAGCTGACATGTAGGTAAGGTACTCTCTGCCTTGTATGTACCCAAGTTCCAGATTCTCAGGAGAATGTGTGTTAGCCTAAACCACGCTGTTTGTAGTTCAAGCACGGTAAACACAGATATATACATTTTGTTTTAAAGCAACCGGTTAATTTACTTGGAATCAGATTGTCATTCTTTCTTGGTTGCTAGCTCTAATCTTGGTGCACGTCTTTATCCTGTGGGCTGTTGGAGTCTGCCCTGTGCACACATGGTTCATGGATCAGGCAGACATTTGCACAGAATTTATATACAGAGCTTGGGGCCCTGTCTCTGTGGCTCTCTCCTTTGTCATATTCTGTCCTCACCTCCCAATGGGTGTGGTATTTTCCTGTATCCTGGTTGTTAAGGCCAAGAAGGTTATGAGCTTTTAATTGTAGCTTTTGCCATCTTTCTTGGCGCAGATAGACCTGCTTTCAGAGCAGAAACCGCAGAAAGGAAAATGTATCTAGTGGTGTTCCTCTCTTCCATGGATCGACTCTCCCCTCTAGAATCTGCTTGCGTTTGTCCTCACTCCAGTGTCTTGAGGTCAGGAGTTGGTGAATTAAGCCCACCTGATTTTTAGAAAGAAAATTTTATTGGAATATGGCCATGCCCATTTGTTTACTTATTGTCTGTAGCTGTTTTTTGTTACAAATGCATAGATCAGTAGTTGCTGGTATTTACTATTTGACCCTTTTAGAAATAGTTTACCGACCCCTGCCATAGATAGTTTGGATTTTATATTTTGTCTAGGGTTTACACTTGGTGTATGAGTTGATCTGATAGGAATTTATTCATCTATTATTTGAGGAAGTAGAACTCCTAGGTTTGTTTTTATTTGTTTAGTTCTTCCAGTTTTGTTAATCACTGATATGAAAGAGGTGAGGAAGAATTGTTTTAAATGACTCGCTCATTTGTTACCATAATTTTAACTCTAGCATATTCAGATGTCAGAGATTTTAGTTTTTTTGAAAGTGCTCTTTGAAATGTATATTGTAGGATGAAATACTTTTTCTTTCACTCCTTCATTCAGCACATACTCATGAATCCTCTGTAAATGCAAGGCACGTGCTAAACTCTGTAATACATTAAAGATACATCAGACATATAGAGTGTTCTCAAAAAACTTTAGTTTATTAAATGCACTAAGTTCAGCTTACTGAGATTAAACATGTGTACAAGTAACTGTAATTCCAAAGTGGAAAGTATAAATTCATGTCAGAGAGTGGTCTTTTTTGCGGCCTGGTGTGGTGACTCGTGCCTGTAATCCCAGCACTTTGGGAAGCCAAGGTGGGCACATCACTCGAGGTCAGAGTTCGAGACCAGCCTGGCCAGTGTGGTGAAACCCTGTCTCTACAAAAAACAAACGAACAAACAAAAAAACACAAAAAACAGTGGTCGTTTTTTGTTTTTATGAAAATATGGTTTTTGGACTTTTAGTATAGAATAACATCTCTCTCTTTTTTACTTCAGACTTTATAATGTTATATTTGGTCTTTATTACATCAGGGATACTGCAAATAGGAGAGATAACAATTTCACAGTTCTCCTGATTGATATTTCCTATCAGCTTCCACTTTTCTCTGGGTTCTCATCTGGAGCTACATTGATTCTGGAGCAGGGTTCCTTGTAGTGAGCAACCTAGCGTTAAAAGGAGGATTTTTTTTTTTAAAGGTCACTTTGTAAACTGCTTGTCTGTTTGAACTTAGGGCATATGTAAAATAACAACTAGCATCTTCATAGTACTTTTTCTTTCATAAAAAGCTTTACATACAGGGTGCGGTTACTCACGCCTATAATCCTAGCGCTTTGGGAGGCCAAGGAGGGTGGATTGCTTAAGCCCAGGAGTTCAACACCAGCCTGGGCATCATAGTGAGATCCCATCTCTACAGAAAAATACAAAAATTAGCCAAGCATGGTGGTGTGCACCTGTAGTCCTAGCCACTTGGGAAGCTGAGATGGGAGGATTGCTTGAGTCCGGGAGGTAGGGCTGCAATGAGCCGTGATCGCACCACTGCACTCCAACCTGGGTGACAGAGGGAGACCCTGTCTCAAGGCAAAAAAAAAGAAGAAAGATATTTTAAGTCTTTGATTTGGTGATATTCAGTACATAAGAAGACTGTATTATAAGTGCCTTCTAATATTTATTTATTTTATTTTATTTTATTTTTGAGACTGAGACAGGGTTTTGCCCTGTTGCCCAGGCTGGAGTGCAGTGGTGCGATCTTGGCTCACTGCAACCTCCACTTAGCAGGCTCAAGTGATTCTCGTGCCTCAGCCTCCTGAGTAGCTGGGATTACAGGCCCAGCTAATTTTTTGTTTTTCAGTAGATACGGGTTTCACCATGTTGGCCAGGCTGGTCTCGAACTCCAGGCTTCAAGTGATCCGCCTGCCTTGGCCTCCCAAAGTGCTGGGATTACAGGCGTGTAAGCCACTGTGTTCGGCCAATATTTATTGTTTTATTGAAGAAAACATCCTGAAATGTTAAGAAATCTTCTAAGAAATCTTCTCAGAAGATTAAAAGAATAAATCTTAAATACATTCATATGTTTAGCAAACATTAGCTTTATCTTTTTTGGCTTTTTTCTTTTAGGAGAAAAGGATCAAATGTCTTCTTGGTTGTTACAGCTAGATATTCTGTGTATGTTTTTCGGTAAATTGTTCATTACCTATACTAAAAGGAAAAGGATGTCTTTTCTAAACAATAGTTGTAACATAGCTGATAAACATATTGACAGTTTAGCTTATCTTAGCCTAGTGAATAACCTCACCTGTGGTAGGTATGTTGGATTAATGCTGGAAACATCCCGTAAAGAAGAAGTCTGATTAGAGTTGTCTCCTATTTCTCTTTTCCCACTTCTTCCCCTCACCCCTGCCCCAATTCTAAAGCCATCATCTTTGTATTTCAGTTGACTGGTATGCAATATTATGACCCTGTTACTGATTTAGAATATACTTACGTCTTCCTGTTTATATTTGTTCAGCCCTATTTAATTATTATTATTATTATTTTTTTTTTTTGAGATGGAGTCTCACTCTATCACCCAGGCTGGAGTGCAGTGGCGTGATCTTGGCTCACTGCATCCTGCACCTCCCAGATTCAAGTGATTCTACTGCCTCAGCCTCCTAAGTAGCTGGGATTACAGGCGTGCGCCACCACGCCCAGCTAATTTTTGTACTTTTAATAGAGATGGGGTTTCACCATGTTGGTCAGGCTGGTCTCGAACTCCTGACCTCGTGATCCACCTGCCTTGGCCTTCCAAAGTGCTGGGATTACAGTCGTGAGCCACCATGCCTGCCCTTAATTATTATTCTTACTTAGCCCATCTTAGATTTGAAATTTGATTACATTCAATGAGATTAAAATATAGGCTTTTGAGTGAAACGGTTTGGTAAAGCTTACTTTGTATAAATATAGCCATGATAAGCAGTATGTTATTCTTCAGATTATTAAATATTTGTAATGAGAACATTGATATCTAAGTATTCTTGCTTTCTATATTGACAGATTATAAGAGAAAATAGTATCTCTCTCAGTGAAATCGAATTGCCGTGCTCAGAGGATTTGAATTTGGAAACTTTGTCGTAAGTGATGTATAATGCAAATTAGCTATCCTAGCGTCTATCAGATAATTAAATTGAAATATACCATGTGGGAGTAATATTGTCCTTGATTTAAGTAATTATGAATCCCACATGTTTCTAACCATTATTTATCAGATGTTCATGACGTTGGTTAAAGCTCTCTGAAGTACAGAGCTCTTGCCCTCAAAAAGCAATATTGGAGATTTAACTTGTATGTATTTGTTTTTTATCCTTTCCATTAAAGAAATTGGCAACAATTTTAAAAATTGTTTTTGCTGCATATGAAACTGTAGGCAAGGGGCAAACTTCATGAGTAAGGTGACCCGATGCTTCTGCTGAAAAAAAAAATACATAGAAATCTGCTGACTGAGGGCACTTCATCATTCCCAGAAAGATATAAACTAGCTTAGAGAACTGGAATATTTATTGTTACTTATTTCAAGTTAATTTTAAAGTAAAATAATGATTATTAAATTTCTTGTCACCTGTTTTCAGCCAAGCACATGTCTACATAATTGCAGGAGCCTGTTTGTCTCTGGGTTTTTGATTTGCTGGCTCAGAAAACTTACCAGCATTTAACTGTTTGGTAAGAAGTATTTTAGTTTACTGTGTTCTTTTTTTTTGTTTGTTTTAACAAAGCTTTAAGATGCTTCTTATAACTTGGAATTTTTTCTTTTGTTTTTCTAGCATAAATTTGCCAAAGATTTTATGACTTATTTGTCTGCACCTAATGCTTCTGTTGTAAGTCTTTTTATCATTCTCCTTGGGAATAAAATTAAACTTGAAAAAAATTTACTGATGATCCAGTTACTTATGTGTTATCAGATATCTCTGCTGTTTTTTTAAATGTAGAATGAGAGATCTGAAGAACCATTAGCTCATCTTTTTATTTTTGTTTTGCGATATTAACTTAGGTGAGAATATGATTACCCTGGAAGGATGCACAGGTATCTAGTTCTTGTGACAAGAGAATAAAAAAGGCCATAATATTCACGGGTTGTCATACCTCATGTAATTCTGTCTCAGTATTAAATATTGGGAATTTCCTTTTTAAAAAATATTAGTACTTAGTAAGGATTCAGTTGCTTTTGAGGCATTGCTTCTCTGATGACAAGACTGAGAGATTTTATTTCCTGGTAAAAGCTACATGGATTTATGCAACACTATTTATAATATGGAAAAGTTAGAAACATCAAAAAAGTCTAAAAGTAGTTAATTAAATTTGATTATGGTTTATTTATATATTCTTACACAGTGGAGCTACCAAAATCACGTTATACAAGAATTTTTTGTGGCTGGGTGCAGTGGCTCATGCCTATAATCCTAGCAACTTTGGGAGACCGAAGCAGGAGGATCATTTGAGCCCAGGAGGTTGAGATCAGCCTGGGCAACATAGGGAGACCCCATCTCTACAAAAAATAAAAAATTAGCCAGGTGTGGTGACACACACATGTAGTCCCAGCAACTTGGGAGGCTGAGGTGGGTGGATCCTTTGACCCCAGGAGGTTGAGGCTGTTGCATCACTGCACTTCAGCCTGGGTGACAGAGTGAGAGACCCTGTCTCCAAAAACAACAACAACAACAAAAAAGAAACAACTTTTTTTTGTGAGTGAAGCTTGCTTGTAATAGGTCATTTAAAAGGTTAAAAATATTGTGTAGAGTAACATCTCCATTTCATTTGGAAAAAATATGTGTAGGTAAAGGAAAAATTCAGAGAAAAAGCCAAAACGTTAACACCAGTTATCTTTGGGTGTGACATTCCAAGTGATTGTTATGTCTTGATATTCAATATTTGAAATTATTTCTGTTGAACTTATATTTCATAATCAGGGAAAATATTTGTATTTACAGATTTTTTTTTTTCTCTGAGACAGCGTCTCGCTCTGTCTCCCAGGCTGGAGTGCAGTGGCGCGATCTCGGCTCACTGCGAGCTCCGCACCCCGGGTTCACGCCATTCTCCTGCCTCAGCCTCCCGAGCAGCTGGGACCACAGGCGCCCGCCACCACGCCCGGCTAACTTTTTGTGTTTTTTAGTAGAGACGGGGTTTCACCATGTTAGCCGGGATGGTCTCGATCTCCTGACCTCGTGATCCGCCCGCCTTGGCCTCCCAAAGTGCTGGGATTACAGGCGTGAGCCACAGTGCCCAGCCCAGATTTTTTTTTAAGTTACAAACTTTTGTAGTCTTCTAATGATGGCTAAGCTAGTTCTGATAATAAAGAAATGTAACACAACAGTTATAGTGATGTCATCTCTTCACCTGACAGACAGGTCCTCATAACCTAGAAACTTGTCTGAGCGTGGTGCTGCTGTCTCTCCCCATGGTCATGGCTGGCTCAGGAAACCTAAAGGTTTTGCAGCTTTGTCGCTTCTTACACATGAAAACGGGTGGTGAAATGAACTATGGTTTTCACTTAGCCCACCACATGGCCCTTGGACTTCTATTTTTGGGAGGAGGAAGGTAAGTGAATATGTATTTTTCCAATGAAAAGATCTCATTGGTGAGATCTATAAGGGTGACTTACGTTGATCTTGAAGATAACATGAAAAATTTAAATTCTGACTAGCTCTTAGCTTAACTAGCAGCATTATTCGACTTGATGGGCTTCTTTGTAGTTTAACCGTCAACTTATGGTCTACTCAGTAGAATTACCATCCTCTCTGACACACTGAGCATCACTGTATTTCTCAGAATAGTCTGTGCTCTGTTCTTCAGTGCATTACTGCTTGTGCCCACCTGGTTAAAAATTTTACCATTCTACTAAGCTACTTTCTCAGAAAGGTCACAAACAAAATCGTTTACCAGATCCTGTGACATTTTCTTAGTTTTCAGCTTTCTTGATCTTTTTCCAACATGTGCCATTCCTGACTACATCCTTTATAAGACTGCCCTGGCTTTAGATGAACCAAAAACCATGTACAGAAAAGTGTATAAATCATAGGTGCACAGGTCAAAGAGCTATCTACCACAGAAAAATCTCTTTGTTATCATGTAGATCAAGATTCTGTATAGCACTTTCAACTCACAGCACCCGTCTCTGCTTCTGCCATGCACCCCTCTCAATCACTATTATCTTCCTTTCCCCAAAGATAGCCCTATCTAGTCTTCTAACACCTTACGTTGATTTTGCCTGTTTTTGACATTTAAATTGAATTATACACGATGTATCCTTTTGCACTTTACTTTTGCTCAACATTATGTTTGTAAGATTCATGTTGTATGTAGCAATGGATTATTCAAGTTTCAGTGTTGTATTACACTTTCATTGTATGACTGTACCACATTTTATTGATCTCCCCCATTGATGGATATGCTTCTTGCTTCTAGTTTGGGGCTGTTATGAACAGTGCTGTTAGGGAAAGTTGTACATGTCTTCGATTTTGTTGTATATAGAACTGTGTGGAATTGGGTCATAGGTTGTACGTGTGTATTCACTTTCAGTGAATAATACCATCAGTGCTGCAGTGCACTTGTACCATTTTACATACTCATGGGCAGGATGTGAAGTTCCAGTTGTTCCATATCCTTGTCAACCCTTGTTATTGGTATAGTCTTTTTAGTAGTCTTTTTAGTTTTAGCCAACTAGTAGGTATATAACAGGATCTCATTGTGGCTTTAATTTCTGTATTTCTGAATAATGTTCTTGAGTACCATTTTACACTTTTAATAGCCAACTGCAAAACCTCTTTTGTGATGTCCAAATCTCTTGCTACCCAGTTTTTGTATTTATCTATGTTAAAATTTTTATTTGTGGTAAAATACACATAACGTAAAACTTATCAATTTTTAGGTATGCAATTAAGTAGTGTTAATTATATTCACACTGCCGTGCAACCAATCTCCAGAAATTTTTCATCTTGCAAAACTGACATTCTATAGCCATTGAACAACTCCCTGTTTGCCCCTCCCACCAGCCTCTGGCAGCCGCCATTCTACTTTCTGTTTTGATGAGGTTGACTGCTCCACATTGGTTTAGCTTTGTATTGATTTCTGTGGATTCTTTAAACTATGTCCTAAGCCCTTGGTCAGCTTTGTTTGTTGCAGCTATCTTTGCCACCCTAGGGCTTGTTTGCCTTTTCACTCTCTCTCAGTGGTGTCTTTTGATGACACAATTATTAATGTTCTTCTTTTATAGTTTTTACTTCTTTGTGTTGTTTATGAAATATTTTCTTACCCAGAGAAAAGGAGATATTCTCCTATCTTATCTTCTAGAAGTTTTTAGCTTTTCCATTCACATTTGAATCTAAAATCTACCTGGCACGGATTTTTCTCCATGTTTTTTTCCCGCTGCTATTGAAAAGTTTCTCCTTCTCCACTACTCTGCAGTACCACATCTATTATATAAGTTAAGTGCCTATACACCTGTGTTTATTTCTGGGCTATTAGGTTTTGCTGGTCTGTTTTTCTGTACTTGCACCAATACTCCATTGTCTTATGAGTCTTGGTATCCAGTTGAGTAAATCCTTCAAACTCGGTTTTCTTCTTCAAAAGTGTGTTTTTCTCTTGGCTCCTTGCATTTTCATATAAATATTGGAATCTGTTCCATACTAAATAATCTGATAAAATATTGATCAGAATTGCCTTGATTGTATGTGTCTGTGTTAAGGAGATTAGAATCTGTTACAGTATTGTCTTCCATTCTGTGAATATGGTATACCCCTGTATATATTTAGCTGTAGTGTGTGTGACCTTGATCAATGGCTACAGTGTCTGTGTAGGCTAATTTTCCCCTCTTCTTTAAGGCTGAGCTTACCATTGGAACTCACCTTTTCAGAAGTACAAAAAGTAAAGTTGATCAGAAAGGTGTGTATTTCCTCTCAACATGTTTTGTGGAATTGTCTTTCTTTAATTGTTTAGAATTAATAATGGTCAAAGAAATATTACTATGAAAATTCTTATTTATTTTATTCTATGATTTTTGAAAATTTTTTCCTTTCAAAATGAGCCTCTCCGTGTCTCTTAATCCCATCTTTCATTGTTCCAAACTGTATGACTCTCCTCGCTCTTCTTTCATATCGAATTGATTTTTCTACCATTCTGCTACTGCTTTTCTAGTGATTTTTGGTTTTTAAATGGTCATGTATACTCTGTAACAACATTTAAACTTAGCATAGCTACACCATTATGTTTCTACCCAAAATTTCTAACATTAGTATCTTAATATTTATCTTTGAATTTTGGTTTATCAAAAGGGTACAAAGAAAATGGCTTATTCCATGCACATGCCAAAATAGATGTATCTCTTTGCTTAAATTTTGAAATCTCTTCTTTCTAATCCATTAAATATATAAGCATATATAATGAATTATAAGTCCTTATTTAATACTCCAATTATTTTAAAAGACAGGGAAAGAGATTTGGGTATATGTGTGTGCATGTTTGTGTGTAAGAAAAGTATTTATACTCAATAGTTTTAGAAGTGGTTTTATGTGATGTCCTACACCATCTTTATTTCAAAATATTTTTTAGAAAAACTCTGGGACTTTAGATTAATTTGCCTGTTTGCTATACTAAATTTGAGCAACAATAAAGTAATTTAAGGAAAATTTTAATAGACCCTTTACCAAGAGAATATTTTTAAAGTCTATGAAACTTTATCTTAAAAGTGTATCATATTGGTGAGGAAAGAATTTATATTTAGAGGAATAGTTGTTTATACAGTCATTGTAACTTTTTTTTTTTTTGAGAAGGAGTCTCGCTCTTTCGCCCAGGCTGGAGTGCAGTGGTGGGATCTCGGCTCACTGCAAGCTCCGCCTCCCGGGTTCACGCCATTCTCCTGCCTCAGCCTTCCAAGTAGCTGGGACTATAGGCGCCCGCCACGGCGCCCAGCTAATTTTTTGTATTTTTAGTAGAGATGGGGTTTCACCGTGTTAGCCAGGATGGTCTCGATCTCCTGACCTCGTGATCCGCCCGCCTCGGCCTCCCAAAGTGCTGGGATTACAGGCGTGAGCCACCGCGCATGGCCTCGTTGTAACTTTTTAATGATAACTTTTGCCTTTTCATTTAGTCAGTCATTCTAAAGGAATCATCATGCTTCACAGAAACAGAAAAAAACTGTTTAAATACCAATTACAACATTCTGTATTTTTAAAACTCAGATTTATAATTGTATATTTATATACATAGGCATATACATAGGCATATACATTAATAAAATTGGATAAGAAGGTGGCATACTTGGTACATGACTCTTCAATATTTATAATTTCTAGGACTGCATTCATGGTCTTCACTACTCTGCTATTTTATGTTAAAACCTTGCTTCAAGGGTTGAAATTTAACATTTATGGGATATTACTTTGGCTTTAAATAGTGATGATCTTGAAATGGCCCAAGGACTAAATGAAAAGTGGAATGTTCACACCACTGACACTCTTGTATTATGAGGGCATCTTATCAGTATGCCTTACTATTATACCCCAGTTTCCTGATTCTCAAGAATGCCTTGAAAGTATGTGCAATATAATCAATAACATCTGTCCCCACCGAACTTACTTTGCAGTTACTCTTTGAGCACATCAAATTCTTCCATTGCCGCTCTTCTCTGTGCCCTTTATCCGCACTTCCCAGCTCACAGCACTGACAACCGGTGAGTCTAGTGATTCTGTCTTCAATGTGATACTTATTAAGTTCTCTAAGGGGATCATTTGGTTGTATTTTGGTTTCATGGAATTATTTCCAAATTAGCATTGTTTTGTTCTTCAACTTAGTTATATTCCTGGCTAAATCTTTTAAGAAAATTATCTCACAAAGTATTAGACCAGAGGATAACTTTGGACACCTGATGACTGACCAGTCTTCCACCATTCTCAGATCTATAGAACTGCTCTAAACCCAAAAGGAGATCAAGTAAAGTTGTCTTTAGGGAAAAAATCATCAGGTAAAGGATAGTTGCCAAGGGAAGTTCAGGATACTTTTTTTGTGCTCTAATTATTTAATTCCAAGAGAAAAGTTTGTCTGATTTAGTGGCAATGTCTGTATGAGTTTCTTTTTTTCCTTTCACATAGATGCCGAGAAATTGTGTATAAATGACATAGACGGGACAAGAAAAGCAAAATACAGCAAAAAACCAGAGACAATTTAGAAGTGGCAGTGAGCGGTAGAACTTCAAACCATGTAGAAGCAGTTAAAAGCTCTGTGTTTTAGGGTACGAGGAACCACCAACACTTAAGTTTCCCTAGATATAGTTTGAGACATAGCAGATCTCTTGCATATGGGGGCAGAGAAGAAAATAGCCCCTATAAGACACCTGAGCCCTGTGCTCAACTGAAGGCATCCCATGTTGTCTCCCCAGAGACAGGTCAAGAGCCCTTTATTGTTTATGGGAGAAGGGTCAGGAGCACTTATCACAGTAACCTAAGCCATCATTTTAAACTACACTACAATGTATAACCAACGACAGAAGAAAGATAGCTGTTTTACAAAAGTAGCCTAATCTGAAGACCACACTCTGATGGTAGGTGCAGCACAAGAATATTGTTAAGTTAATACACTTCTGACATGTGGCCTCATGCCTGTCATTTAGGAAAGATTTTTTGAGTTGTTAAAGCCAATTATTGGCTAGGGTACAGTGGAGAGCCACACTCACATACTGCTGGTCATAGCTATTTGGCTTAGCTATTGTAAACGAAGCCATTTTCCATTGGTGACAAGAATCTTTTTTTTTTTTTTTCGAGATAGAGTCTCGCTCTGTCGCCCAGGCTGAAGTGCAGTGGCGTGATCTCGGGTCACTGCAAGCTCCGCCTCCCGGGTTCATGCCATTCTCCTGCCTCAGCCTCCCATGTAGCTGGGACTACAGGCACCTGCCACCACGCCCAGCTAACTTTTTGTATATTTTAGTAGAGACGGGGTTTCTCCGTATTAGCCAGGATGGTCTCCATCTCCTGACCTTGTGATCCGCCTGCCTCAGCCTCCCAAAGTGCTGGGATTACAGGCGTGAGCCACTGCGCCTGGCCGGTGACAAGAATCTTTATGTAATTTGTTAGTGTCATTTTTTCTGATCTTTATTGATTTTATTTTTAATAGATTTATAGAAATAAATGTATTTGAGTAAGAAGAGGGAAGTTACTGTCTATAAAGCTTTTTAAAATTGAAGTCTCATTTTATCCTTCTTTTTTTTTTTTTGAGACAGAGTCTCACTCTGTTGCCCAGGCTGGAGTGTAGTGGTGCGATCTCAGCTCACTGCAAGCTCCGCCTCCCAGGTTCACGCCATTCTCCTGTCTCAGCCTCCTGAGTAGCTGGGACTACAGGCGCCAGCCACTGCGCCTGGCTAATTTTTTTGTATTTTTAGTAGAGACGGGGTTTCACCGTGTTAGCCAGGATGGTCTCGATCTCCTGACCTCGTGATCCACCCATCTTGGCCTCCCAAAGTGCTGGGATTACAGGCGTGAGCCACTGCGCCTGGGCGATTTTTTTTTGTTTTTTCTTCTGAGATGGAGTCTTCCTCTGTTGCCCAGGCTGCAGTGCAGTGGTGTGATCTCAGCTCACTGCAACCTCCATCTCCTGGGTTCAAGTGATTCTCCTCCCTCAGCCTCCCGAGTAGCTGGGATTCCAGGCATGTGCCACCAGGCCTGGCTAACTTTTGTCTTTTTAGTAGAGATGGGGTTTCATCATGTTGGCCAGGCTCATCTCGAACTCCTGACCTCAGGTGATCCACCTGCCTTGGCCTCCCAAAGTGCTGGGATTACAGGTGTGAGCCACTGTGCCCAGCCTATTTTTCTTTTATGAGATCTTAAAATATGAAAACTTTTTTGTTTTTACATTCTAAAATAGAAATCTTAAAGTTTAAAAAACTGTTTGAGAACCCCAAAGAAAAATATTGCCATACCCACATAGATGTTTGATGTACTGTGTTTCAAGGACGTGTGTATATGTATGTGCAAGTATGTATGTGTAGAAGAACTTTGCTGTCTGAGAAGAATTGACATCCTGTCTTCCCCCTTCTTCCCTATCAATCCTTAAGGAAAAAGAAAAAAAAATCTGAGAAGATAAAAACAGATGCCTATGTTGAGTAGAAAGGGATTTTTGAGAGTGATTGATTTTATAAGTGGTCAGTTTGATAGTAAATATTTTCATATTATGATACTTTTTACCTCCCTGTAAAACCTCTTCACTGTGAAGACTAAAGTAAAGAATTATTGGGTCAAAGGTCAGTTATATAAAATTTTTAAAAGATAATTTCTCCATTACTTTTTAATAGAATCTTATCTGCCTTTAAGATTTCTGTTCATTTGAAGATATTACTTGAGCTTCTGTCCTGTCTTAGCTTATAGGCAACAGCAGATTGCAGAGCTCATATTGTCACAGTTGTTTGTTACCCACTCTCTGTCTTTTTTGTGAACAGGTATCATCTCCAGGCTCTCCGGCACCTCTATGTGCTGGCCGCGGAGCCCAGGCTTCTAGTGCCTGTGGATGTGGACACAAACACGCCCTGCTATGCCCTCTTAGAAGTTACCTACAAGGTATCTCTCCCTATCATTTACTTGTAATTTTATTACCACTCATCCGTCTTTGCAGGTCATAATATTTCAAATGTGTTGTCCAGTAAAAGGTGATAAGTAATGAATTGAACTTTCATAAAAATGGAAGCTTCCAAAGTTATTGTATATCCTGCCAGGCCATTCATGCTCATTTATATGATCTGGGTATCACTTTTTAGGGATCATCAGCTACTCTTTTGTCCTTAGAGCTTATAATTTGAAAATGTCCCTGTTAACTTTATGTGACTGACAGTAGTGTTTTGTATAACTGATTGAGTTAGACCCATTCTTAGATTTGTTAGCTGAAACTTGAAAACCCAAAATTGTGTATTTGATGACAGCTTTCATTTAGATGCATAGATTACAAGTTTTATATCCTCCTTTCATTCAGCAAATTATTAAGTACCTTCTGTGACTCAAAACCGTGCTAGGCTCTGGGGTACAAAATGAGATGACATTGTCATTTTCCTTAAGGAACTTCTATCCCCTGGGGAGCCAGGCATGGATACAATGGGAATAGAGGGTGATAATTGGAGATGTCTGTGGAATGCAGGGGAAGCAGAGAAGCACCCTCGCTTAGCTGTTAGTTATGGGGTTGAGGCTGTCAACAGTGGACAGTGTTTGGACTAGGCCTGGCCCACTGAGTGGAGCTCCTTCCCAGCGGAGAAGGCAATGTGCAGAAACCCAGCAGCATTGGAGCACGGCCTTTGGTGCTGCTGGCCTGTGAGGAGCAAGGCTTGAAGTGATGGGAAGGACACATACCCTGTGAGGAATTTAGACATCAGTCCTTTAAGATTTGAGTACCAGAGAGGATTTTATGCCATTTAAAGGTCTCTGTATGAACTGCGGGGATAGGGGGAGGTATAGCGTGGAGATGTTTCTTCTTTGTTGTTTCCACTGACTACCTAGTGAATTGTGGCTGGACTTTTACATTTGTAAAGGGCACTCAGTGGTATGAACAAACCAAAGAAGAATTGATGGCTCCTACCCTTCTTCCAGAACTCCATCTTTTAAAGCAGGTAAGCTGGGTGTGTTCGGGAGTTGGGTCCAAGGGGTCAATTCAACAGAATGGCATAGCGTTAAAGATAGCTAAATAAAAGCCTCTGCTTTCTTCATGTATTGTAGCAGATAAGAAAGCTGCAGCAGGAGGAAAAGTCAGAAAGAATAGAGCAAGTCTTTTCTTAGAGATCTTTATTGATAGCTTAGGTGGCCTCAGAACATGATTTACATTCATTTTTTGTCTGGAAATGGAGCTTGTTACCTTCCAGATGCCTCTTTCTGGCTGTTATTGTTTCCTCTGAGAAACATAGGTTTCAGTTTGTCAGATGAGCATATTTTTCAGCTTTGGGTTGACTATGTTTACGTTTATCTTGACAGATTAAAGTAAAAGGCCCAAGATACTGGGAACTGCTCATAGATTTAAGCAAAGGAACACAACACTTGAAGTAAGTACATTAAATTTCTCAAATTTACCTTTTAGGAAGTGAATAGAAGTATATAAGAAGGTATAAATTATAGATTATTATCTGGAATGTGACTCATCACCCTTTAATCTCATTCAAGACTATATGTAGGGTATGTCTTCTGTAAAACAGTCTGTATCTTTGAAACAAGACTTGTGTTAGAAAATGAAAGTTTTAATTTCAAACTCCAACCCTAAATATTTATTTATTGAGAAACTTGCACTGACTTCCTTGTGACAGTAATGGACTTATCTCTTGGTATATTAACATAAGATTTAGTTTAAGAAAGTGTATTAGTCCATTTTCACACTGCTATAAAGAACTACCTGAGACTGGGTAATTTCTAAAGAAAAGGGATTTAATTGACTCACAGTTCTGCCTGGCTGGGGAGGCCTCAGGAAACTTACAGTCATGGCAGAAGGCAAAGGGGAAGCAAGGCATGTCTTGTATGGCAGCAAGAGAGAGAGAGAGAGGTGCAACACTTTTAAACCATCAGATCTCATGAGAACTCACTCACTATCATGAGAACAGCATGAGGGAAATCTGCCCCCATGATCCAATCACCCCCAACCAGGTCCCTCTCCTGACATGTGGGGATTACAGTTTGACATGAGATTTGGGTGGGGACACAGAGCCTAACCATGTCAGAAAGTAAAGCTGATTTGTACACGCACAAAAGAACTTTATTAATCAGTGTTTATCAGACCACATCTTTTGTTGCATCTCTTTACCATTCTTTTGCTAGAAAGTTCTCCTAAATTTAAGATTATTGTAGATAATATATACTACTCAGCCAGTTTATTTTGGGTGGAAATAATCACGTGCAGTTATTTTAGAGTGTTGATACATTTATACCTAAAGTAGCATGTCAGTTAAGCCTTTAAATTTCAAGGAAGTTTAACAAGCATGTAAAAGTTTTTATAGTTTGGTCCCAATGTGAATTTTTCCAGACTGTATATTAGCTGTTTTCTGTATTGTTCTGTCCTTAGATTTGCAGCATTATTTTCTTCTTGCTGCAAACCAATTAATAGATATTTAGTACCTCATGTACCCTAGGCATAGAGCTAGGGGATATAGGGAATACAAAGAAATGTTAGACAAAATGTTATCTTCGAAGCTCATAATTGAGCCAATAGTCAAAGTGCCTCCTCATTTAACAAGTTCCATGAATCTAGACACCAAAGAAAAACAGAACTTTATTCTAGGCTTTCTCATAGGGACTGATTTAATCTTAGACACAGTAAATAATCATTTACCTTAGTGGAAAATGGTAAAAGCTTCATCTCCTGTGAACATGGTATTGGGAAAACACTGTTTCCAGCCAAGAACTGCCAGTAATACCTTATATTAAATTCATTCTTTTTCTTTCAGGTCCATCCTTTCCAAGGATGGGGTTTTATATGTTAAACTCCGGGCGGGTCAGCTCTCCTACAAAGAAGATCCAATGGGATGGCAAAGTTTGTTGGCTCAGACTGTTGCTAACAGGAACTCTGAAGCCCGGGCTTTCAAGGTAGTATTATTGATTGGTAAAAACGGAAAGAAATAATTCTAAATTGCTGGCTTCCTCGCCCATTGCTATAAACTTCAAAGGTGGATCTGCTTCCTTTTTCATTGTTGCAGATTGTAAAGACTGACTGTGGCTCTGTTTGCTTTTTATGTGATAAAATAAATAATAAAATATAATGAATATAAAATACTGTATATAATAAGTAATATATATATAATAAAGTAAAATACTGTAAGTTAATGTTTACATTTAGCAGCAAGGACAGTCACACCATATCTTGACACTGTAACAAATAGTGATTTTATTATTGATCTTCAAATCGGTGAAGATTTACTTAATTTCATAGCAAAAATAGAAAACGAGTTTTGCAAGCTAGCAATTATTAACTCCATTTAAAAACCACCATTTGTTTCCTTAATCTCGGTGAGGATAAACTGATGACAGATTCAGACTTCTTTTATTAGTTTGCTTTATTATTTGCACAGTACTTGACTGCCAGTGCAGTAGTGTTTGAAATAAGGAAATAGTTACGATAAATGAGGGTAGGAAGCAATCTCATTCCCTTGGCGGGGTCAGCACATATTTTGCTCTATATTCTTGACTCAGATAAGTTTCCAACACAAGAAATTTGTCCCATAATCAGGCATTAAGACTTCTGAATTTAACTTCAGTTTCCTGTAATTCCATGAGCAACTGTGTCCCTGCTGGTGATACAAAGTAGAGTAGTCTAAAGTAGTTAGGACCCTAAGGAATAATTAGACGGCAAAAGTGGGGCAGGCAGACTGGATGAGTGGCAGCCAGAGGACTGAGTTAGCATCCTTTGTTCTTCCAAGTACGGAGACAGCAGTTTATTTTAATTCAACTCATATTTCATTTTAGTCAGTTACTTATGACCGAGCCTTTATAATGGTTCCCAGGATTGAAATGTATAAATAGTTCCCAGGGTTGACATTGGTGAATTTTGTTTGGCAGTATTCAGTAAGTTGTTTATGAAATACTTTTGAAAGATTTTTGGACACAGTTTAACTTAAATTTGTAGTATTGCTTCTTCTAAAAATTAGAGCATATTCCAAAGACTCTAACCCAATTTGTGAAGAAAATAGATAAGTTTAGACTTGAGTTTGAACGAAGAAAGTATATAAAAATTAAAAGCTATTTCTATTTCCTGCCTACTGGAGTTCAGAAATAAAATATAAACCTCAGTGGAAAATAGTAATACCTTCATATTTCATTTTCAATCTTGAACCTTGAGTGATACTGTTTTTTTCCCAAGTTTAAAAAGTTGTGGTAAAATGCACACAATTTATTGTCTTAACCATTGCAAGTTACAGCTCAGTAATACTAAGTGCATTCACATTGTTGCGCAACCATCACCACCATCCATCTCTAGAACTGTTGCATCTTGCAGACCTGAGATCTATACCTGCAACAATAACGCACAACCATCACCACCATCCATCTCTAGAACTGTTGCATCTTGCAGACCTGAGATCTATACCTGCAACAATAACGCACAACCATCACCACCATCCATCTCTAGAACTGTTGCATCTTGCAGACCTGAGATCTATACCTGCAACAATAACGCACAACCATCACCACCATCCATCTCTAGAACTGTTGCATCTTGCAGACCTGAGATCTATACCTGCAACAATAACGCACAACCATCACCACCATCCATCTCTAGAACTGTTGCATCTTGCAGACCTGAGATCTATACCTGCAACAATAACGCACAACCATCACCACCATCCATCTCTAGAACTGTTGCATCTTGCAGACCTGAGATCTATACCTGCAACAATAACGCACAACCATCACCACCATCCATCTCTAGAACTGTTGCATCTTGCAGACCTGAGATCTATACCTGCAACAATAACGCACAACCATCACCACCATCCATCTCTAGAACTGTTGCATCTTGCAGACCTGAGATCTATACCTGCAACAATAACCCCTCATTCTACTTCCCCTAGTCCCTGGCAACCACCGTTCTATTTTATGTCTCTGTGATTTTGATTATACTAAGTACCTCATTTATGTGGTTTCATACACTGTTTATCTTTTTGTGGCTGGCTTGAGTGATATTCTTTTTTCCTTACCTTTTCAGTAACAATTCTAGTTTCTGGTAGGCTTTTTAATTAGTCAGTGAAGGAGGGAAAAGCCTTTTTTGGATGAGTTGTGTAAACAGGAAGACCTGTTTGTTATTGGCCTTTTGATAAATTAGCAGCTCATGTTAACTTGTGCAAAAGCTTCTTGTAACTTCTTAGCAGAACAGGTTGATGAGGCAAGTTTGCATCATCTGGGATTTTTTGGGAATGTTGGGTGACAAAGGGGAGGTAGAGTTGTTAGAACTGTGTGTATTACAGTTTAAGCGTAAGGAAAATAATCTTTTGTTGTCTTATACTGTTGTGGTTGTTTGTTTTTTTAGCCAGAAACAATCTCAGCATTCACTTCTGATCCAGCACTTCTGTCATTTGCTGAATATTTCTGCAAGCCAACTGTGAACATGGGTCAGGTATATATTCTATGGTTTGCCGAGCCCCAGGACTAGAATTTGTTATTATTTCTATGCATGGGTCACCCAAAACATCTCTACTATCTATATCTATCTTTGAGATTGATGACATGCGTCAGTCACATTGGATGACTTTTGCTTGGCACGTATAGATTTGCATAGCCTAAAACTATTAAATTCAGCAACTTTCTACCTTGATAGAAGAAACAACTTAAAATTTATAAGACATCAGTTTTGACAGATGATAGTTTCTGTCATCTACAAGAATGATACCCATCCATATTCTGCTTTATGTTTTCAGTGTTTACCACCTTTCTCTTATTTTTATGTAATTTCATTAACTGTTTCCTCTGTATATTATAACCCTTCTTTTTATTGTTCATACACCTGTTACCTTCAAGATTCCAAGGGTGCTGAGCAGATTTTTCTTTATTTTTTTGTTTTTTGCTTTTTGAGACAGGGTCGGTTTTTTCTGTTGCCCAGGCTGGAGTGCAGTGACGTGATCATGGCTCACTGCATCCTTGACCTCCCGGAGTGAAGCCATCCTTCCACCTCAGCCTCCTGAGTAGCTGGGACTACAGGCATGTAGCCACCATGCCTGGCTACTTTTTTAAAAAAATTTTTTGTAGAGATGGAGTCTCACTATATTGCCCAGGCTGGTCTTGAACTTCTGGGCTCAAATGATCCTCCCACCTTGGACTCCCAAAGTGCTGGGATTATAGGCATGAGCCACTGTGCCTGGCCCAGATCTTTGACTTAATCCACCATAGAGACAAGGAAAGATTGGATGCATATATGGCCTTCAGAAAATTTCTCAACCTCTCCAAAATGTAGTTTCCTCATTTCTAAAAGTGATTATAATAGAACCTACCTTACAGTATTGTTTTGAGGATTAAGTGAAATAACCTTCCCCTCTCTTTTTTATTGAATCTTTACTATACATGGGACACTCTGCTAATACTTAAATGTCATTTAATTATGACCCTGAGAATAGGTATTTTATCATTCTGGGCTTACAGATGAGGAAACTGCCACTGAGAGATGTCACATGCCCAAGATCTCACAGCTAGTAAGAGCTGGGCTGTGCACTCCAGGTCACGGGTCTCTAATAAAGCCCATGCCCACCCTTAACCCCAGCTGGACTTGACTCTGCCACCTCCCCTAAACTTGTTCTGGTCAGTGTTTTTTTTCTTGCAGCTTTGTTACTCGGTTTCCTTTCTGGATCCTACTCTTCCCAGCCCAACCCAAGGCATAGCTCTGTGATGTCCTATCTACTCATTTTGTCCTAGTTTGGTCCATTCCTCTCTTCTGTAGCACTTACTATCCTTAACTGTCTCTTGGGACTTAATTTTTTTTTTTTTATTAATGTTTAATGTTACATGTGCTGTGGCTTTTTTAAAAGATTGTAGTGTTACTTTTATGTCATTCATTATAAAACTTAAGAATGGGCCATAGTAGTGCTATACAATTTGTTTTTGAATTGATTTTGGAATATACTTTGTGCTACAAAACTTCTGATTTTCTGCAGAAACAGGAAATTCTGGATCTCTTTTCTTCAGTACTCTATGAATGTGTTACCCAGGAGACCTCAGAGATGTTGCCTGCATACATAGCAATGGATCAGGTATGGATCCAAAAACCTATACCAATTCTGGTGAAATTTGTCCTGTAGTTCAAGTAACTCACTGAATAGTGTGGTAAGGTTCCTAGTGTCCTTCCTTTTAGTTTCCCATTTGCTTTTGGAAATTTAAGAAAGGAAACCATATAAAATTTGAAAGCTCTCAAAAATCCAAAAAGCTTGGGCTTTATGTTGACAGGAGTGCCCCTTGGGGGGCTGTCTTCCTTTAAGGGTTCCCATTCCTCCCTTTTGTCTCCCCTGACTAGGAGAGGAGGGGAGCACTCCCTTCCTCTCTCCCATCTTATTTTTGCCTCCCTCCTGGCAATGCCTCTTTGTAGAAGTCTGCATGTGAGCCGTTAGTGAACAGAACCCTAGCGATGGCAGTACTGTGAAATTAGACCTATGTGATGAAGCTTGCAAGAGGTTACAGAGTCCATATGCAGTTATCTAGGCATTGGAGTTCATTTTTAAATTTCTCTTGTTATTGCTATTTTAAAAGAGCCTAAAGGGGTAATGCAGAAAATAATGCTTAATAATGTTCTTAAAGGATCAGACCAATTTATTCACTTTAGGCAAATTAGTAATACATACACCTTTTCAGTATTATCATATCTTTCAGACCCAGATTTGGAGCTAAGCCAAGCCAGTAGTTTTCTAACCTGGCAGAAATTTGCCTTGGTATCTTAAAAATACAGATCCTTTAATTCCATGTCTCATCTATTGAATCAGAATTTCTGGGGTGAGATCCAGAATCTAGTTTTAAACAGCTCTTTAAGTGAATATAGTAAGTTCACAGCTGAGCATCTGAGACTCAGTGTCTAAGAGAAATAACCTTTAATGATAAAAATAATTTGCTAAAAAGCTGAATGGAAAAATATATTTAGCCAGAGGATAATTCCCCCAAACCAGAAAACACACAGTGTTAAGTAACATCATTAAAAACCAAGTTCCAATATAACTAAGTAGGCCCAGAATGCCATTATTGTCTGGAATCCACCCTTTTTTGGTTGGAAAGTATGGATATATGGTATCCACGCTGGCACTGCTTCTCACAGTGCCTCTTTGTATAGCAGCCAAATAACAAGTTGTGTTATTTGCTGGATGAGAATGTTGCTGGCTGAGAATGTGTCTTTTTACTCTCTGAACCCTCACACCTTTACAGTCATGGGTGGCAGGTCTTTATGCATGAATATCTTCTCTGGTTGCAGCTGTAGTGACTTGCAGATGGATCTCAAGGGCAGTATTATTAGTAGTGTTCTTCTTGCCCTCTACCCCCTGGGATCTCTGCCATGTCATTGTACCCAGCTTGAGTTTCCCAGAGGTGACTGGCTATGACCTTTTGGGTCTTGGTTATTCGGAGCTGTTGAGCCAAGAATGAGCTCATTCACCTTTGTTACTTTTCCCTGCAAGCTCCTCATGTAGGGCCATATTGAAGGAGGTGAGCCATTCACCTGTACCCAGTGACGGCGCCTCTGTGGGCAGACTGCATCAAAACACAGAATGGACCACCCCCCGACCCTTTATAATTCGGAGCCACATTTAAAAAATACTCAGTCTACAACTCTGATGAAGAGACAGAGCACTCTTTGATTAAATAGATTGTTGTCCTCTTTCCTCTTCAAGGCTATAAGAAGACTTGGGAGAAGAGAAATGTCTGAGACTTCTGAACTTTGGCAGATAAAGTTGGTGTTAGAGTTTTTCAGCTCCCGAAGCCATCAGGAGCGGCTGCAGAACCACCCTAAGCGGGGGCTCTTTATGAACTCGGAATTCCTCCCTGTTGTGAAGTGCACCATTGATAATACCCTGGACCAGTGGCTACAAGGTAATAGTAGCATTGTAGCATAGCGCTCTTGTGCTTTTGAGATACATTCGGTTCAGGCTTTTCTGTTGTAACTTTGTTTTTTCATTGGTAAGCAAGATAAATCTGAGTATAAGCAAGAATGGCTATAGATTTAACGTTTCCAGCTAGATGAATTAGACTTTGATTATCTACTTTAGCTTCTTTAGTAAAATACATCTGACCCAGGCAGATAATATTTATAGCATTTTAAATACCACTTGGTGCTCAGGACCTTGTTCTCTCTTCCCTAGCATCAGATCACATTTCCTTTCCAGTGCCTCTGTCTCCTGTTTCCTAGGGGTGTGGCCTGTTGCCTTCCTGAGGCCAGCAGCCATCCTGTTTTTGTACTGGCACCACATGTACATGTAGAAGTTGACGTGTGCTTGCTGAGTGAGCTTGTTGTACCAACTCAGTTTTGAAAACCTGGGACCGCACAGCTATGTGATGTCACAGTGGTGGCTTTCTATCAGCAGGATTTGTGATTGCAAGGAAATTGTAGTTACTCGTTAACAGTGTAGAAGTGATTCTGACTTACATGAGGCAAGCGATGGGGCCTTTAGATTTATGGAAATGTGTCTGTGTGTTAAATACACCTGAAACTGATTTTCAGGAGTAGACTCCTTGATCTTTTCATTCTTTTTAGTTCATTCAAATGCTCCCAGTAAATATCTGACAGTTGCTTGCTTTGGGTTAATACTAACCTTAGTAATAGTAGTAGAAACAATTCTTGCTTTGATTAGTGAAAACTATTAGTAATCAATAGACCCTAAGCGTTTGAATATAATTCAGTTTAAAACTATCCACCTGTAACACTAGGAAATAAATTTCTGAAAAAAATTAAATTGTAAACCAAGTTGTGAGGGATATACTTGGAAAGCCTGATTGCAGACTCTCCATGTTTATATTTAAAAGCTGCATTGTATTTGTCATTTCCTGTTCAGATTCAAAGATCATATAACTTCATAATTTTTTGGATAGTCATTTTTATCCTCATTTTTGGGGAAAAACATGTTATTTCAAAGGTTTTCGTGTTTCGTTTTTATTCAATTTAACATTTGATCACCTATGGCAGACCTTTGCTATTGATAATAAATACTTCCTTAAATCTTTGCAGATTCCCTGATTTGCACATTTCATATAATGTATGGAACTTTGGCAGTGATTAGAACATTCTCTAAAACAGGGCCCTGATTGCCTTGTTGCTCTTTAGCGCATTTGGTGGTTTCCAGCATTGCTGTCAGCCTCCATTGAATTTGACTTGCCACACAGATTTATCAAAAATGTGTTTATTTTTTAGTGAAAAACTAGAATTTTTTTTTAAAACAAAACCTCTTAAATATATAGTCTCCTCTCTTACAAGCACTAGCAGTTGGCATTGGGGTAGAGAACAATAAATTAACTGAAAATTGGAAATTGCATTCATATTTGTGTGTAAAAATCACAGATGCATATGTGGACTTTCAGGATCACTCACTAACAACTCATTAGATCTGAGATAACCCATTGAATCACTACACTAATCTGAAAATGCAGCCAATTTATATTATATAAATGTCGGTTTTGTTTTTTCTTTTTTTGAGACAGAGTCTCGCTCTGTCACCAGGGTGGAGTGCAGTGGCGCGATCTCAGCTCACTGCAACCTCCACCTCCTGGGTTCAAGCAAGTGTCCTGCCTCAGCCTCCTGAGTAGCTGGGATTACAGGTGCATGCCACCACACCCAGCTAATTTTTGTACTTTTAGTTGAGACGGGGTTTCACCATGTTGTTCAGTCTGGTCTCGAACTCCTGACCTCATGATCTACGTGCCTTGGCCTCCCAAAGTGCTGGGATTACAGGCGTGAGCCATGGCGCCTGGCCTATATAAATGTTTTGTACAGTATTTATCTCCTCAAATTATAATTTTGGGCAAAGAAAGCGGGTTTCAAGTTTAAGAACTTTAAAAAGTTTTATTAACTTTTTCATATTTTGTTATGGAAATTTAAAGAATATACAAAGTAAGTAGACTAGTGTAATAAACCACAACACCAATTTTAATAGTTGCCAGCATTCTCCTATTTTTGCGTCATTTGTACCTTCACCCATTGCCACACTCAATTTTCCAAATTGTGCCATTTTACTTTCCCACCAGCAGTGGATTGCAATGCAATTTTTGGCATTGTCCTTTTTTTTTTTTTTTTTTTTTAAGACTTGTCAAGTGCAGTAGGAAAGCAAAGTAAACCCAAAGCAAGCAAATAAAAGCAGAAACCAATGAAACCAAAAACAGATAAGCAATAGAGAAAATCAGTGAAACAAAATGCTGGTAGACATGAGAAAGTCATTGAAGAGAGGCTGAACCACCATGCTCTCCTTCATGATGAGCTGTTCAAAGAAGAATCTCATCTGTTCTCCCTTAACCTTTCTCCCTCTGCTGCCTCCCCCAAACCTAAATGTTTCCACCTCCCAGTAGACTGACATCCTCACAACTGTGTTCAGTGGAGTCTACAGTTTTCATCTCACTCCATCTCTACAATGGTGAGGCTTTTAGCTACATTTTCCTTCTTGAAATGAGCCTCCCTTGACTTTGTCATAGCACACTTTCCCAATTTTTAAAAAAAATCCTCTTTAAAAATTCTCAGTATTTGTCACCATTTCACTGTCACTCCTTTGTTGACCCTTTTGGAAGTCATCCTTGCTCCTTTCCCTCCTTCCCTTCTCTGCGATAGCTGACCCATTGCTGATGCCTTTCAGTCCTCATCATAGATATTTCTTGAATTTGTCCACATTTTACTATTTCTACCTAGAACAGAATGATGATTTTGTGCCTGGACCACTGTTATAGCCTCCTAAATAGCCTCCTTGCTTTTTCTCATCTCCATTCCAACCATCTCAATTTAACTGACAGAACAGTCTTTTAAAGAATAAACTGATGTAACACTCCTGCTTAAAGCTTTTCAATGGCTCCTGATTCAGCTGTGAAAGAAATCCCTACTGTGTGGCACCAGGACCTGTGTGACCTGCAAGGCGCCTGTTTTCCTCAACAAAGCCTCTTTTATACCACTTGCTCCCCACACCACCCTGGCCCCTTCCACTTGCTCAAAAACACTGAGCTCCTTTTCACTGTGGGGCCATTGAATATGCTGTTTTCCCTCCCTAGAACCTTTTCCTCTCATTCTTCACCTGCCCAACTCATATTTATCCATGCAGCCTCAGTTTTAATGGCATTTCCTCCCAGGCCTTCCAAGACCACTCTCCCTCAGGCAGCTTTCCTGACATCTTTAGCCTGCCCGCTCATGCTCTCTACCTTTTTTCTGTATCAAAATGCCTTTGTTTGCAAGTAACAGAAGGCCTGACTTAACCTGCCTTTAAACAGTAAGGACACAAGTATGCCTATGTTATTAGAGGTCTGCAGGTAAGGCACGTAAAGGGTCATCTTTTTCCAGTGTCTTCAACTCCATTTCTCTGAGGTTCCATCAGCTACATTCTGTGCCATGACTTTATCCTCAGTGCATTTTTCAGATGGTAATCAAATGGCTGTAACATGTTCACCTCTAGCTCAGCATGATACTCAGAGGAAGAATAGAGTTGCTTCTAGGAGTTTTGTGATGAGAATGAGGGAATTTCTTTCCCTGGAGCCTCCAGCAAGCTTGTCATTAAGTACCTCCTCAGGTTTCTGGCTCGAGTTGCATCTCATGCACACCTCTCAATCTATCCCTGTGGCAGAGAATGTCTCTTATTGAAAAAATGGCCTGGGTTTGCCTGTCTCTGAACTAACACTGCATCAGGAGAATGGGATTGCCTTGATCACCCAAGATCAGTGATTCTCAAAGTGTGGTTTATGGAGCAGCATGACCTGGGCACTTGTTAGAAATGGAGTTTTTCTGGCCCCACCCCAGACCTACTGAATAAGAATCTCTGTGCTCTGTGCATGGAGTGGGGCCCA